>NW_018654717.1:4558042-4859623 GCF_000001405.40 Homo sapiens
CAGCCTCCGAAAATGCTGGGATTACAGGCATGAGCCACCGTGCCCAGCCAAGGTCAGGCTTTCTTAATCAGACCTGTTAAGTTAGAATTTCTCAGGGAAGGGACCAGGCATGAGTCACTAAAAAACAGAAGAAGCCACCCAGATGAGTCTAACGTGTGTACACGACTTTCTGATGGTTCAGTTCCAGTCCATGCCTCTAAGGGTGGGTTCCCTGGCCAGTGGGGCCTTAGGACTGCTCTGTGGTCAATACCTGCTCTGCAGCACAAAGGCAAAACTGTCCATGCTGTCTGCTCTCAGCCTCAGCACAGTCCCTCCCACTCTCAGGTAAGGTGAACATATCACTCACTGTTCAAATCAGGAGAGGATTGAGAGTGATGGGACGGCTGTCAGTCATGTTGGGATGATGGGTGCCCTAGAGAAAGCTCCCAGGTAGACCAGAATAATTACCCTAGGTGATTGCTGGCTTTTGTGGGGCTTAGGTGGCTGATCTGGATCTCATGATGGTTTTTAAAAAGACATTCCAAGCTCTTCTTTGGCTGGTTTAGCCCTCTCCTTTATTGGTCAAATCAGAGACTTGTCATTTAACTGCCTGTCTTTGACTAATGGTGCTGCAATGCTTTCTTTATAAAGAAGAAACTGTAGATGACTGTTACCTGATTGGCCTTTTTTAAATGAATTCCAAGCTTTTCTATTTCTTATTTTAAACAATTTGTAGACATTTTATTCCCCCATGGGGAGAGACAGAGAATAAGAAGTAGGTAGTGATATTTTTTTTTTTGTTTTAACAACATGATTTACTCTTATAACTTGTCTCAGTGGATTGGTGGTTGAGGTCTCCACCAGCGTTTCATTGGGAAGAGGTTTCAGGAACAGGATGAAATGCCTCCCCTTCTGCACCTCACCCTCCAGGGAGAAACAGGAGCTGAGTGGCTTCTTCTCCCCCTTGCTGATTATCAGATAGAAATGTGAGTCATTTCCATGCTTTGAATATCTTGAGATGATTTTCAAGGATATCTGCATTTAAGATGAGGTGAACATTCACCTAGTAGCAAATTTGCCTGGGTCGCTCTGAAAAATTCTGGCCTCCTCAAGGATACAGATTGTGACAGATACATTTTTAAAAGCTTTATTGATGTATAATTTCCATACCAGAAAATTCACCTGTGCAATGATTACTAACGTATTTGCAGAGTTGTATTTATACAACCATCACCACAATCTAATTTTAGAACGTTCCTTCACCCCAAAAAGAAATCTCCTGCCTATTTGCAGTTAACTTGTGTCTTATCCAACACCTAGTTCATGCAGTCAGTAAGTTTTTTTTGGTTTGTTTTTTTGGTTATTTTTTTGAGATGAAGTCTCACTCTGTAGCCCAGGCTGGAGTGCAGTGGCGTGATCTTGGCTCACCACAACCTCCGCCTCCTGGGTTCAAGCAATTCTTCTGCCTCAGCCTCCAGAGTAGCTGGGATTATAGGCACACGCCACTGCACCTAGCTAATTTTTTATTTTTTGTATTAGTAGAGAAGGAGTTTCACCATGTTGACCAGGCTGGTCTTGAACTCCCGACCTCAGATAATCTGCCCGCCTTGGCCTCCCAAAGTGCTAGGATTACAGGCGTGAGCCACGCGCCCGGCCAATAAATATTTTTAGTGTCACTTTCAGGAATGGTTTTGCAGGCTGGTGTGTTAGTATGAAGCAGATTTCTGAGCTTTTGTTTTGGGACAGAGTCTCACTCCTTCACCCAGGCTGGAGTACAGTGGCATGATCTCGGCTCACTGCAACCTCTGCCCCCTGGGTTCAAATGATTCTCCTGTTATCCCTGCCGAGTAGCTGGGACTACAGGTACATGCCACCATGCCTGGCTAATTTTTGTATTTTTGGTAGAGATAGGGTTTCACTGTGTTAGCCAGGATGGTCTCGATCTCCTGACCGTGATCCGCCTGCCTCGGCCTCCCAGAGTGCTGGGATTACAGGCGTGAGCCACCGTGCCTGGCCGATTTCTGAGTTTTAAAGAGGTTCTCATAAACACGTTATCCTTGGCACAGTTCAGTCTAAAGGCAGTGGCTTGTCTTGCTCCTGCCACTGCCAGCCCCCTATTTCCTGGATGGTGGAGAGGAGCTGGAGCTGCTTGGAGAGCTCCTCCTTTAGAACTTCTTCATGGCAGCCTAATTAGGCCCTAGATATTTCAGGGGTACTGAGCCTTGACATTAGGAGTCAAAAGATAGGGCAAACCTATACTTCCCGTGGGCAAGGTAGGAAGCAAGTAGACCGCATTATCTTTTAAAGCTTTTATTTGTGAATTCCTGTCTCTGTCCAGCTACTCTTCAGGTTGAGACCCAATATTCCATTTCCCAGGGAGTGTGAGCTTCTCTGGACAAATGGCAGCTTGCTGGTTGCGTTTCATTTCTAGGGTTCCTGCAGAATGCTTCTCTTTCTCCTTCTAAAGAGCTTTAGAGCAAATCCGTCCTCCACCAAACTGAAGACTCTTTGATAACCTGCCAGATAACCCAGTTTATCTACTGATTTTTGGGTAAAAGACCAAGCAAATTCAACAGGTCATCATATGAAAATGTTTTACCTTGAGGCATTACTGGAATGCGACCCACATTCTAACATGTGGTTTCTTAATGGACTGACCCTTGAATATACAGGAAATGGGCATGTGTCACTCTTATTTCCTGATGGTTGACGTTTCTCCTGCAGCGATACCGTATCTGTCTGTGCTCCGATATGTGGGGAATGGTGGGAGTTCTGAGACTGAAGAAGTTAGTTCATTCTGATTTTGGCTGATCATGTGTTAACAGAATTAGCAAAAAAAAAAAAAAAAAACGGGTGGGGTGGTGGTTTGAAAATGGTTGAGCTAAGCTTTCTCCTTTTTTAGGAAGTACTAATAATAATAGAGGGGAAGGCTGAGTTATTGCATTTCGAAATACCCTTTTAAAATCTTGGATTATTGCCTCTATACTGTAGAGTTCCCATTCAAGCAAGATCCCCACTAAATTCCAGTTACTTGCTAGCTGTTTGTAAGTATTCTCAGAAGTACCGTGGTTACTTTGCACAGGAATTTTGGCAGTAACATCGTTTTGACATAAAGACATTTAAGACCAGTTGCAGTAGCCTTTCATAAAAAGCAGGATGAAGTCTGTAGCCTTTATATCACCAAATAAACAGGCCACGTATGCCTAACAGCACACAAATTAGCATGAACTTGATAAAATATTTTTAAAAAGCAGTGGCGTGATATGAATTAGGCTTCATCACAATGGAGAATTTTTCACTGACCACAGAATTTTAAAATATAGAGGGTGAGGATGGGATGGTATTTTATAAGAAAAGGCCACATGTGGAGGTTGCCTGTGGGGTGTTTCACATTGATTTGCATTGATTTGTTTTGTTCTATGCAAGGAGTGAGGCAGCTCTTTGCCTTGCTGTTTTAACAAGCTAGGAGGAATTGTGTTTCTTTAATTATTTAGTCTCCCGTCAGCCACATTGATACTGGAATTTTTCCCTCTCTGCTTAGGTATCTTCATACTTTCTTGGAAAATTAAGTGGAAAAGATAGTGCTTCTTTTCCTTATGCCATCATTTTTACTGTACCCAAACTGTGACTTTAGGAGCACCAATTTTTAAGGGTAAGTCTCCGTGAAACAGAGAGAATTTCTTAAATAGGTAAGGCCCTCTTGAGGACTCAGAGAGATTAGGGGGGATATGGGGGTGTTGGGATGAAGAGATTTTGGAGAACAGGAATCCTAGACAAACCTTATACATCTCTAGAATCAAGTTGCATATGGGAATTAGGAAGAAGGGAACTGCTTGATTCTTTTGCTTAATTTACTATGATATTGCATAGACAGTGATCTTAGATCCTTGTTCAAAAAAGGAAGTCATTTTTGAAAAATGTTAATATTATGCAGAAATAAAACATCAAGTGGGTCCACACCTTCAGGAACTACACAGGAAAGTACCGGGATGGTCACAAGTAGGGAAAGGGAGGGACTGGGGGCAGGAGGGGAGAGGGGAGGAACGGGCAAGGCCGGGTAGGCAGGTCTAGGACAGGCTTATTTGAATAATCTCAGTGGCCCTGGGGCAGAGGGGTTGCCTTAGTCGTCTGGCACCTGGCTCAGGGGTGATTAGGGCAGGTGGATGGTGGCCTGGAGTGTGAGAGCCAGTAAAGGAGGTGTTCCAGGTGTGGGTTCAGGATTAGTTGGTTTGTATTGGAAGAGTATACTCCGGGCAAATTGTTTTACCATCTCTAGGAATTGGCTAATCCTAGGAGGGGCAGTCCCTCCAGAGTTTGCAAGGTCCGGAGTAGGAAAGCACCAGAATACAGAAAATAAAAGACATGGTTAATACAACATGCCATGGCTTCAGTTTCAGCCTAAGTGTCTCGGTACCTTGCGTCATAATTTCTTTGTTGCATCCTGGAAGGGCAGATTTCAATTCCCTAACCTGGGAGGACTCGGGGGCTGGGTGCCCCCCAGGCTGGACCCTCCCTTCAGCCCCAGACCTCTGTTTCCAATGTCTCACGTGGCATCATCCCTGGATGTCTGTAGGCTTCACAGGTGTACAGCTGAATTTATTGCCTTCCTCCCGCAAAGTTCTTCCTCAGTCTGTGACCTGTCTTGGGTAACAGCGTAGCTTTGTACCATCGGCTCCAAGCTAGGAGTCCGTAAGCCTCATTGCCTTCCTCTGCTTTCTTCCCTATATGTAGTAATTCTCCAACACCTTTTATCCCATCTCATCTGTGTCGTGACATGAATGAATTTGACCCACATCTTCAGCTTCAGCCTCGGGCTTCCCTCTAGGGCCCAACCCCCCCAGCCACCACTTCCCCCGTCTCTGCCAAGGTTCCTGTGACTGAGTCTCAGCTGGCTGCCTGCTCTCTTATCTTTTTGTCCTTCAAACCGACAATAATTGTCTTTTAACATCAGACCTCATCACATCTCTCCCTGTTGAAAAGCCTTGGATGGCTTCCTGGTGATCACAGGCTCAAGTTCAAACTCCTGGCCGTGGCTCACAAGGCCCTGCACAATCAGACCCAGCCACTCTGCCAACACACAGATACTCCCTTACCATGGGAGGTCAGCCGTGGTGGGCCGTGGCTGCCTCTCAGTCCACTGGCTGGCTGCTGCCCTTCTCTCCTACCCAGTTAAGGCCCATTGGTCGCTGAGGCCAAGGTCATATGTCAGCTCCTCTGGGGAGCCTCCCGTAACCATCCTAACTGTAACCAGTCACTCTGTTCTTCATGTCTCCTCAATACTTTTTGTTTCTTTGTTTGAGACAGAGTCTTGGTCTGTCACCCAGGCTGGAGTGTATTGGCACAATCTTGGTTCACTGCACCCTCCGCCTCCTGGGTTCAAGCAATTATCCTGCCTCAGCCCCCCGAGTAGCTGGGACTACAGGCATGCACCACCACGCCTGGCTAATTTTTGCATTTTTAGTAGAGACAGGGTTTTGCCATGTTGGCCAGGCTGGTCTCAAACTCCTGACCTCAGGTGATCTGCCTGCCTCAGCCTTCCAAAGCAGTGGGATTACAGGCATGAGCTGCCGCACCTGGCTCTCCTCAGTACTTTTTATATACCTCTTTTGGTAATGATCTCATAGTATCTTGGCTACTTTTTACCTGTGGCTTTTTCATCACATCTGACCCATCATTCATTCAACAGATCTTTGTTGAGTAATTATCCTCTAGTAGGCATTGGGCCGGGTGTTGAGGATACATAAAGAACTAAATCAAATCCTGCCCTCCAGAACCTAATAGCCTCTTTGGAGAAGATAGGAATCAAAGCCATAACCAGGCAAACTTATCAGAGTCTAATTATAATTGAAACATGGTACCTGCCATGATAGGTGTATGAACAGAGTCTTGTAAGCACAGGGAAGAAAGAACTCTACCAGGAAGAATCAGGAAAAGTTCCAGGAAGTCGTACTTGAGATGGATCTTGAAGAAGGAGGACAAGTTTATGGAGCTAGAGAGGTGGGGAGAAACAGAGAAGGTTGGTGATTTTGATGGTTGTTTTCTCTAAGATCCCAAATGTGGAAAAAGGCATATAGATGTGAAACAATTTTCAAGCTGGTTGAACAGTGGGATTTTCCGTCTAGGTGTCCTTGATTAGGTATTCTTGTGTTTCTCAGTCTTACGTGTAGCCCGGGGAGCAGACTGTCTGCATTTCTGAAGGTCTGTCAGATTCAGTGGGAAAATGTTTATGTAACACATCTCCCACGTGAACCCAAAACTCACACCACCAAAGTTAGCTGCTAGGTTGAGACGTGTGTTTTTACACTGGCGTCCTCCTTACAGTTAGATTGATTATATTATTAGTTGAATTTGAGGCAGTTTTCAAAACCCTCTCTTCTGGGAGTTTACTATATTAATAGGCATTCAAAAAATTCTCGTGGCAGAGTGCCTTAGAAATGTGAAACTCTTTCCTAGGGCTCCAAATATCCAACTTCTCTTTGAGCTTTGGAGTCAGATCACCCTAGTGAAAGGCCTGGCTCTGTCACTCGCTAGTATGCACCCTTGGGGAAGTTATTTCATCTTTTGGAACCTTAGTTCCCTTCCTAGTAAGATGCTGAGGCCGGGCGCAGTGGCTCACACCTGTAATCCCAGTACTTTGGGAGGCCAAGGTGGGCGGATCATGAGGTCAGGAGATCAAGATCATCCTGGCTAACATGGTGAAACCCCATCTCTACTAAAAATGCAAAAAATTAGCCGCGTGTGGTGGCGGGCACATGTAGTCCTAGCTACTCGGGAGGCTGAGGCAGGAGAATGGCATGAACCCAGGAGGCGGAGCTTGCAGTGAGCCGAGATTGCGCCACTGCACTCCAGCCTGGGCAACAGAGCGAGACTCTGTCTCAAAAAAAAAAAAATAATAATAATACTGAGTAAGATGGAGCTTACATGGTGGGATTATTAGGAGTTGAAGATAAATAATGCACTAGAGTGAACAACCTAATTCCTGGCATGTAGTTAGTAAATGAGAGGTTTTTGGTTTTTTTGTTTTGTTTTGTTTTGTTTTGCTTTGCTTTGCTTTGTTTTGGTGATGTCGTTATTATCATGCTTGAATGAGCCCATGACTGAATCTTGTATGGACTGGAGAAGTGTTTAGGCAGATGCTGAATTATCAGTGTCCATGAAATCAGCGTCTCTCCTAATGAGAGATGGGGGATTGGAGGAAACGAATCGTAACTCCTTTTTCCTTTCCTTTCAATGTCTTTGTATATTTTATTAAAAGTTGCTAAAAAAAAAAAACCACTTTCAAAAACATCCCATCACATGTCATTGTAGGGAAGCAAAAATGAGAAAAACACTTGATATTTTTTCCTCTAACCATTTTATCGGAACTGAATCCCGCTTTATTTGCTGAGGCTGCAGTAGTTTATTCATTCTATATTGATCAGACTCCAGATTTGCGTGGACAACTTAACTTATAACATTTTAAGTAAAATCATGCATTTTAGGCAGACAGACATCTCACTTTTTAGTATATATTCCTTCTTCTAGAGGATTATTTGGTGTGTGTCTGCGTGTGACCGTGTGTGTTTATTGAAAGGAAACAGTTCCGTGTTTAGAGTTTTGGGTTGTTAGTTAGAGGTCTAGTTAAGCTATAAAATTACAGTGGAATAAGTGATGACAGCCAGTTAGTACAGTTCCCTCTTATAGCTGAACTGAGCTTAACACACCAACAGAAATGTTTGGCAAATAGACTGCTAAAATGACTCTTTCCTTTGTGGGGACATAAGTTGCCTGACATTTACATGTTTATAATGAGTCCTGGAAGTAGAAATGAAAATATGTGCAGAAAATAGATTTCTATCATCACTTCCTTTTCTTATTGAGGGTAGCATTGTCCAGTACGTTTTTGTCATCTCTGTGCTTTCTTGTTGTCCACCCATACAGGAAGAATGTTGGTGAAAAGCACAGAAACCAGTGACGTTTGTGGCTGTGGAATTTCCATGGAGAAAAGAGAGCATCTGAACACCTGGACCATCTTTTGCACCTGGCAGACCCTCTGCACTCACCCCAGCGTGTTCTGTGAACTTGAGTGACAACGCGTGCTTGCAGGGTGCTTTTTGGACGACTGGGGAAGAGGTGGGGAGGGGGTGGTGGGGGGAAGCATGGACGAGAACATGGAGCAAATGTTTTACAACCTGAACCTCAGAACTGTGATCCTCCAAGGAGCGCGCTACTTGAAGAAAAGAAAAAAAAAAAAAAAAAGTCGAATGGCTTCTCAGGGATTTTGTTTTCCGTGCACATATAAGCCATAGTTACAGTACAGGTGGCAGTATTTAGAGCACTCAGATTTCAGTTCTGTTAAATGTGAAAGAGGGATCGACTGACGTTCATTGCTGTTCCATAACTAGTGTAAAATATGTATATGTTTATCTTTATTTTTATAATATGCAAATACATTTAAATTTATACAGTTTGAAGCTTCTAGCGTTAGTTCACACTGGGTGCAATATTCTGCATGAGAACTGTGCCAAGATGGGGCTGATTTCTTATTTTAGTATAAGACTTTTTTGTTTTTTCTTTATTCTTTAATCCTCTTCACATTAAAAAAAAAAAATCTCTCTGTTAGCCCATGGATTAAGTGTTGGTTCATAGAGATTGCCAATAATCAGAAAGAACCTTAAATGTGCATTTAAGACAGTGTCCCTTCCCTTCTTTTCAATGAAGGTCCCTGCCTATATAAATCATCTGGCACGCTGGTGGGAAATCCTTTGCTCTTCCAACGTGTTATTAGTGCTGGGCAGAGATGGGGCACACTCAGGGGCCAAAGAGGACAAAAAGTCCATGCAAAACTTGAGTCTTTTAATGGCTTAAGATAATCAGGAGTCAGTTCTGAATCTTACAAAGTGCTCTGCTTAATAAGTACCTTACTTAGCAGAGCACTTTGCAAACATATTACTTATTAGCAGAGCTCTTTGTAGACCTTCCATATCTGGCTGTCAGATCTTAAGGTTGTGAATTTAGGCTCCAGTTATATTCACTGGAGAGCATAATCCCACACGGGTTATTTATAAATACAGAGCCTCTGATTGGACGGTCTCCTGCCAAGAACTAGTAATACCCTTGTTTTAAAATCTTCACAAGGTAAAACTTAAAAAGCCAACCAAACAAATTGCTCTCCATTCTACTTTTAATTGGGCCAAACAGCATATGCTACAGTAGTAACATGTTTTTCGGAGAGTGTAAAAAACTCTGTTTACATTTGCCTCCTCCGTGGGTTGATCGAAAATGTATAAAACTGACTGCTTCTCGCCAGCCTCAGACAAGAAGAGTGAGTTGCTGGTACTCGCTACTCTTTTACTTCTTTTGTAAAGTATTGACTCTTGGAAGGCTACAGTATACAAAGTCTCAACATGTTTTTTAAAAGAAATAAGGAGCAAGCGACTGCCCTGCTAGAAATCACAAACCGATTTTTGTAGAATATTTTGTGCCCCAGGCATTAATTTCACTGACTCCAGAACCTGCAGTTCAGAGAATGATTTCTTATGATGATAAAAATCGAATGGGATCAGACGATGTTTGCATTTTTTTAATACTTGAATAGGACACCTCAAGTTTGAGATTTCATTTTCTTTTAGAACACAGTCACAAGATTAATCTGGTGAATCCTTTTGTCACAGTTCTCGTGTGTGTGTGCGCGTCTCCGTGTGTGTGTGTGTGCATGTGTGTAAAACTGGTCACATTTAATTGCTTTTTGGACCATTGAATAGTTGGGAAGTAAGAATTTTTTAATTGGCATGAGACGGTTCCTCAACTGTTAAATTAACCAACTTTGACCTGTCTTTAGAAAAAGGCTTATTTGTATGATTTTGGGCTAACTCCCCGGGGACCATATTAAATGACAAAAATGCTCCTTTGGGTGACACACCCTACAAAGTATTTGCTGTTACGAACATAAACGCCCACATTCTTAATATCTAATATTTTTGACCAGTGATGTTTTATGCTGTCATCTGAACCCTAGAGAAGCAGTGTCAGAGGAAACCTTGGTGTCACATGTGTCTTAGCAAAAGGGTTACCATGATCGAGGGTCATGTGACCAAAAGATGCTCCAGAGAAGCTTGAGAATTTGTTTCAAGTTGGGAGGAGGGTTGGAGATACAAAAATCACTCTCCTCTACAGGACTCTTCAGCTGTCTATGCAAGAAATTCCGTTTTCTCTTTCAGCACCTGGAAAGACACAGCAGCCCACCGAGGCGATAGGTGATTCACTAAGCACAAGAGGAATGTTTTCTAAGCAAGGCGTCCCTTGCCTCTCAAACAAATGCCCTCCAAGTTTGTTAGGGTTTCTATTCCTGCAACTTGTGGTATCAAAACCACTTCCTGGAATTGTCAAAGCACTGCCAAAATAAATGTTTTTCCCCCTTCTAAGAAAAAAAAAATGACAGTGCTCATATTTGACACTTGTGTATTGGACTCTCTTTTGAATGAATAAAAAGGAAAAGGGGTTTGGTGTAATTCCTGATGGGGTGCGTGTTGTTTTTCATGCCATGGTTTGTGAATTTTAATTGTGGTTTCCCATTTCGTTGTTGTAACTGGGCAGAAATTAAAAAAGAAAAATCAATAAAAATACAAAGAAATGGTTAAACAGTTGTATTCCCAGAACTTAATTATTTCAGATTTTGTTCATTTGTTTTTACTTTTAATTCTATCAGTTAAGGAATGACTTTTATAGTTTTAGTCCTTAGTGGTACTGTTGGAGCTGTGGGAGGTGGGTGGTGGTAGCTCTCTTCTGTTTGGTCTCCGAAGAGAAAACTAAAGAATCCCTGTTTTAAAACTGCCTCTGTTTTCAGGCTGAGGATATAACTTGAAGATCAGCTCTCTTAAATCAGAATCTTTTTTTTTTTTTTCAATGATCCACTATATTCCTAAGTCACAGCTGTTGAATTTATGGTAGCTTTGGAAGTTCCCCTGATCTTTCTTTCAAAGGCTCTTAGCAGAAGTCCTGCTACATACTGCCTCAGGGTGCCCTATTTGCAAACTGGAAGAGCAGGCCCCTCAGGTACCCATCAGAGGATTTAGTACTCCATATTGTTTAAATAAAGGCAAAGAGAAGATAAGGAAGGACCAAAGCCAGGGTGTTAACGTGGTGAATCCATAACGGGTCTGCAGCAACCTCAATTCTTGCCTCCTCAGAAGAAAGAATTCAAGCGAGGGGCATAAGACAGCAGGAGAGACGGAGGCAAGTTTTAGGGCAGGAGGGAAAGTTTATTAAAAAGCTTTAGAACAGGAACGAAAGGAAGTACACTTGGAAGAGGGCCAAGCAGGCGGCTTGAGAGATCAAGTGCACAGTTTGACCTTTGACCTGGGGTTTTATACGTGGGCATTTTTCCGAGGTCTCCCCTGATTCTTCCTTGGGGTTGGCCGTCCACATACGCAGAGGCCTGCCAGCGCTTGGGAGGGGGCGCATGCGCAGTGTATTACTGGAGTTGTGCGCATGCTCACTTGAGGTGTTCTTCCCTTACTAGTTGAATGTTCCTAGAAGGTCCTATACCAGTCAAGCGCCGTCCTTTTGCCTCTTAATGCGCATGCTTCAGCCCACGCACCCAAATCCTGAGCTCTTATCCGAAAGCTGCTGATCACCAGCTTCAGGTGTTTTCTGTCTGTTGGGAGCCTGCCTTTCCCTGGCACCGGCTGTCACCAATTATTTTAGAGAGACAGTGTAACAACCACCTGACCATCTCACCTGATGGTTGCTGGGGGGCGTTCTTCCGCCCTGCTTCTGTGTGCCTGACTACCTACTGTAACAAGAGGAGCCCTGCCCTGAAGACAGCGCAATACAGGGAAGAAGGGATCGCTTCAGACCAGGAGGGCCTCACTGCAAGACTCCTGACAAGGCAGGTAGAACCGTGGGGTGTGCAGAATTCAAAGCCACTTTTGCCAACAGAACAGAGGAAAGCAGGAGGCAACTAGAATTTCCAAAAGAAGTGTCACAAGAGGTGCGTCCCACGTGGGAGAGGTGTGGCTGGCCCTACGGCTGCATCCCGCTGAGAGGTGACAGCGTGCTGGCCCTCCTCACAGCCCTCGCTCGCTCTCGGCGCCTCCTCTGCCTGGGCTCCCACTTTAGCGGCACTTGAGGAGCCCTTCAGCCACCGCTGCACTGTGGGAGCCCCTTTCTGGGCTGGCCAAGGCCGGAGCCGGCTCCCTCAGCTTGCAGGGAGGTGTGGAGGGAGAGGCGCGAGCGGGAACCCGGGCTGCGCGCGGCGCTTGCGGGCCAGCTGGAGTTCCGGGTGGGCGTGGGCTTGGCGGGCCCCGCACTAGGAGCAGCCGGCCGGCCCTGCCGGCCCCGGGCAATGAGGGGCTTAGCACCCGGGCCAGCGGCTGCAGAGGGTGTACTGGGTGCCCCAGCAGTGCCAGCCCACCGGCGCTGCGCTCGATTTCTCACCGGGCCTTAGCTGCCTTCCCGCGGGGCAGGGCTCGGGACCTGCAGCCCGCCATGCCTGAACCTCCCACCCCCTCCGTGGGCTCCTGTGCGGCCCAAGCCTCCCCGATGAGCGCCGCCCCCTGCTCCACGGCGCCCAGTCCCATCGACCACCCAACGGCTGAGGAGTGCGGGCGCACGGCGCGCGACTGGCAGGCAGCTCCACCTGCAGCCCCGGTGCGGGATCCACTGGGTGAAGCCAGCTGGGCTCCTGAGTCTGGTAGGGACGTGGAGAACCTTTATGTCTAGCTCAGGGATTGTAAATACACTGATCAGCACCCTGTGTCTAGCTCAGGGTTTGTGAACGCACCAATTGACACTCTGTATCTAGCTATTCTGGTGGGGCCTTGGAGAACCTTTATGTCTAGCTCAGGGATTGTAAACACACCGATCAGCACCCTGTGTCTAGCTCAGGGTTTGTGAATGCACCAGTCGACACTGTATCTAGCTACTCTGGTGGGGACTTGGAGAACCTTTGTGTGACACTCTGTATCTAGCCAATCTAGTGGGGATGTGGAGAACCTTTGTGTCTAGCTCAGGGATTGTAAACGCACCAATAAGCGCCCTGTCAAAACAGACCACTTGGCTCTACCAATCAGCAGGATGTGGGTGGGGTCGGATAAGAGAATAAAAGCGGGCCGCCCGAGCCAGCATTGGCAACCTGCTCGGGTCTCCTTCCACGTTGTGGAAGCGTTGTTCCTTCGCTGTTTGTAGTAAATCCTGCTGCTGCTCACTCTTGGGGTCCACACTGCCTTTATGAGCTGTAACATTCACCTCAAAGGTCTGCATCTTCACTGCTGCCTGAGCCAGCGAGACCACCAACCCACCAGAAGGAAGAAACTCCCAACACATCCAAACATCAGGAGGAACAAAGAAACTCCAGACGCGCCACCTTAAGAGTTGTAACACTCACCACGAGAGTCCGCGGCTTCATTCTTGAAGTCAGTGAGACCAAGAACTCACCATTTCCGGACACACAGCAAACCCAAGCACTCACTCCGTGCCACTGCCTCCCTCCTCCTGGTGAAGGTCGTGCAATTAGCACACATCAATTTGGGCCTTGTTTTTCTTTATCAAGAAACAGTTCTTTGCTGAGCAGGCCACGCAGAAGTACCTGTCAGTGGTGACAATTAGAAGTGCATTACTTATCACATATGTTGTTCCCTCCTAAGGCAATTTCCCCTTTTTGTGAGTTTTTTGAAAGAACTTCCAGGTTCACTGAACTTTTGTAAACCAAAAGTTGAGTGAGGCAGGTTTCAATCTATTTGAGGTTTATTTAGCCAAAGTCAAGGACGCGCCTAGTAAAAAGCACAGATCACAGGAGCATCTGTGACCTGTGCTTTTTCCAAAGGGGTTTTGGGAACTTTGGTATTTAAAAGGGAAAGAGCAAGCAAGAGGGAAAAATAGGGAGGGTAGGCAATGCGGCGGATGGTTACCTTCTTGTGAGGCTCTGATCAGCTTCAGTGAATTTACATTTTACCTATGAAAAGAGGGAGTAGAGGAAAAAAACAATTATTCATTGTCTCCAGCTTAGTAAATCTACATTTTACACAAGATAAGCTCAGTAAATCTACATTTTACACAAGATAAAGTTAACGTTTAAAGAGGGAGTAGAGGAAATGAGGCTGTGACATGAGGTTGTGAAATTACAGCTGTCTGGGAACAGAAGGAACAGCAGTTTTTGCGTGACTCAGTTCCCATGCTGAAGTTTCCCTTTGCCATCCTGAGTTTGGGATCCTGAGATTCTATTTTCCTTTCACTCTTTGAATACAGAGTGCCTGACACATGGTGGCAGCTTCTGTGCCAAATTCAAATGCCCAGGGCTTCCTTTGCCCATGGCTGCTGGTGCCCCCCAGTGGAACTGGCAGTGACAAAGGCCATCACCTGGTGGAAATGCTGCTCCTGCTGCCAAGTCAGAAGTGGGTGTGGAAGGACTGGAAGGGGTGTTAGAAAGCAGATGACCTTCTGAAGTGATCTGTGTTCGACGGCATGAGAAATTTCACCAGGTAACAGAAACCCTATTTGAATATTTGTAACCTCTTTCAGGGAAGCAATACTTTCTTCATCTTTAAAAACTAGGAATATTTTTTAATGAAATGAATTTTATTCTAAATGCTGAGAAGGATTCAGACTGCTTAATGGAACATTTGCGTCTCCTGAGGTACAAATACAGGCTCCCCTTTAAAATGATTCTGAGATCCAATAAGAAATGCTGCATTAAAGAAAGCTTAAAAGAGGCTGGGCATAGTGGCTCATGCCTGTAACTCCACCACTTTGGAAGGCCAAGGAAGGAGGATTGCTTGAAGTCAAGAGTTTGAGACCAAACTGGGCAACATAGTGAGATCCCCATCTCTACCAAAAAGAATTTTTTTTTAAATCAGCCAGGCGTGGTGGCATACTTGTAGTCCCAGCTACTCAGGTAGCTGAGGTGGGAGGATTGCTTGACCTCAGGAGTTTGAGGCCAGTCTGAGCAACACAGTGAGACCTCATTTCTACAAAAAAAAAAAAAAAAAAAAAAAAAAAAGGCCGGTGTGGTGGCACATGCCCCAGCTACTCAGGAGGCTGAAGCAAGAGGCTCACTTGACCCCAGTAGGTCGAGGCTGCAGTGAGCCATGATCACACCACTGCACTCCAGCCTGGGCAACAGAATGAGACCCTGTCTCTAAAGAAGAAAAAGAAAGCTTAAGACAGTGTTTGCTGCAGGACTCTGAGAACCATTTAGATACCAATACAAAAGGTGAATCCCCAAAAGCTGAGAGAATGTGCAGCATTTCCATGTGTATCTGAGCGTGGAAGGAAGACGCCTCTCCCCAGAGCTGTCTGGACATCCCCCCAGACCAGTTTTTCCAAAGTAGGGCCATGTACTCCAATGCAGTCTCAGGCGTTTGTAATTGAGGCACAGATGGCATCAAATCATAGAGAATCACTTGTCTTTTGCATTATGTAGGAGGCAGCTAGGTGCACTGACTCCAGACTGCCTCCATTTGAATCCTGGCTATCCTGAGCGTCTCAAGGTCAGATAACCAGATCCACACATATTTGTGTCTTTCCACAATGTCAGACTTTTGTTGATGCTATTTCAGTCACAGAAGCCACGAGCTACCTAGAATTACCAAGGAGGCGACTCTCCTTACTATTACCCATTCAGTCAGTAGTCAGAGGTGTGAGGCTCAAACCGTTCCACAAGTCAGTCAGCATTGCAAACCATACATGGTGTGGTATGCTTAATCGATATATAAATGTTATAGATTAAACATTCCACATCAAATAAAGTAAATTTTACATCAAGAGAGGCCAGGTGCAGTGAATCATATCTGTAATGCTAGCACTTTGGGAGGCCGAGGCGGGCAGGTCGCTTGAGGTGACGGGTTAGAGAGCAGCCTGGCCAACGTAGTAAAACCCTATCTCTACTAAAAATACAAAAATTAGCCAGGTGTGGTGGTGTGCATCTGTAATCCCAGCTCCTTTGGAGGCTGAAGCTGGAGAATTGCTTGAACCTGAGAGCCAGAGGTTGCAGTGAGCCGAGATGGTGCCACTGCCCTCCAACCTGGGTGGCAGAGTGAGACTCCGTCTCAAAAAAAAAAAAATCAAGAGAAAAGGGATGAGGGAAAGAGTTAACCAGTCCAGGAAGAGCAATATAGACAAAAAGAATTTCCTGCAAGGTCTTGCAAGGAAGAGTCTTTTATGTGGGCACAGACTTCAGAGGTGGATGCCAGGTGCTTATCACAAGTGACAGCAAGACAGTGTCTGTTAAGATGGGCGTTTTGAGCTGGCGAAGTCCTGCTCTCCAGAGTCGTTTGGTGAGGCCTGATAGTGGAAAAGTGCGCCTGGTTTTGTCCTTATCTGGCTGGGTGCAGTGTCTATTGATTAGGTGAACATCTGGTCCCTGTCGGCATGATGGCTTTTAAAATGTAAGATGGAGTCTTTTTCTAAGATGGAGTTGCTTATGTTAATGCTGCTTGATCTGCTGCCTCTGCCATTTATTCTTTCTTGTCCCTCAGAGTATTAGTCCGTTCTCACACTGCTATAAAGAAATACTTGGCTGGGCACAGTGGCTTACGGCTGTAATCCCAGCACTTTGGGAGGTCAAGGTGGGTGGATTGCCTGAGGTCAGGAGTTCAAGACCAGCCTGGCCAACATGGTGAAACCCCGTCTCTACAAAAATACAAAAATTAGCTGGGCATGATGGTAGGTAGCTGTGATCCCAGCTACTCAGGAGGCTGAGGTGGGGGAATCGCTGGAACCTGGGAGGCAGAGGTTGCAGTGAGCTGGGATCATGCCACTGCACTCCAGTGTGGGTGACAGAGCGAGACTCCATCTGAAAAAAAAAAAAAAGAAAGATGAAAAGAAATACTTAAGACTGGGTAATTTATAAAGAAAAGTTTAATTGGCTCATAGTTTTGCAGGCTGTACAGGAAGCACGATGGCTTCTGAGACCTCATGAAACTTTCAATCATGGCAGAAGGTGAAAGGGAACCAGGCACGTCTTAGGCCTGGAGTAGGAAGAAGTGGGTGGGGCAGGGAGGGGTGGGGGTGGCATGGGGCTACATACCTAAACAGCCAGATCTCGAAATAACTCACTCACTATCGCAAGAACAGCACCAAAGGGGAAATCCACCCCCATGATCCAGTCACCACCCACCAGAACCCACCTCCAACCTTGGGTACTACAATTTGACATGAGATTTGAGTGGGGACATGGACCCACTATCACTCAGTTTCCTCTTGTGTAAAATGGGGAAACAATCTACCTCATACAATTGTTATAAATGTTAAATGAGATACCATGTATAAAGTGCTTATGACAGCACTAATCAAATACAATTGTTCTATTGCATAGCTCTCTCTTTTTTTTTTTTTGAGACGGAGTCTCGCTCTGTCTCCCAGGCCGGAGTGCAGTGGCGTGGTCTCAGCTCACTGTGAGCTCCGCCTCTCGGGTTCATGCCATTCTCCTGCCTCAGCCTCCGGAGTAGCTGGGACTACAAGCACCCGCCATCACACCTTGCTAATTTTTTGTACTTTCAGTAGAGCCGGGGTTTCACCGTGTTAGCCAGGATGGTCTCGACCTCCTGACCTCGTGATCCAGCCACCTCCGCCTCCCAAAGTGTTGGGATTACAGGCATGAGCCGCTGCACCTGGCCGCATAGCTCTCTTTATACAGAGAAAGCAGGCCTCAAGTTCAGAGCCTTTAACAGTGTGTAGCTAGAATGTTTAATTTTTGTTTTCATTATATTTATTAATTGGCTTTTTGCATGAGTGATAAAACATTTGTTTTAAAAATGAATGCATTTAGAAAGAAATACTTAAAAGTGTATTAGAAAAAGTTTTAATAAGTGCAGTTGATACACAGATGTAGAAAAAATGTGAAGATATGGTAAAAATTATGACAGTGGTATGTGAAAGTCTGCATAATATAATCAAACTAGACAGTCCGGGACTCCTGGTCTAATGTGATCCCACTGATTAATGCAACCCGTGGGAGAGACCAGGTGATTTGCCTGAGCAAGTCTGAAGCACCATAGAAGCTTTTAAAGATGACTAGGTGCAGTGGCTCATGCCTGTGGGAGAACTTTGGGAGGCCGATGTGGGTGGATCGTTTAAGCCCAGGAGTTCGAGACCAGTCTAGGCAACATGGCAAAAACCCATATCTACTAAAAATACAAAAATTAGCCAGGAACAGTGGCATGGGCCTGTAGTCCCAGCTACTTGGGAGGCTGAGGCAGGAGGATCACCTGAGCCTTGGGAGGTCAAGGCTGCAGTGAGCTGTGATTGGGCCACTGCACTCCAGCCTGGGAAACAGGGTGAGACCCTGTCTCAAAATAAATAAATAAATAAATAAATAATAAATAAAAAGATGCTTCCTCCAGTTTTAAAATTTCTGCTAGAAAGAGGCTTATTGGGAGATTATGGAACAATTATTATGTTATAAAACTAATATTTTTAAAATTTGAAAGGTAAAGTAAGTTGTGCATTCTTAACATTTGTTTCAGCACAGCCTTTTCACATAAATATAACTCTGAAACTTGGGAAAATTTGATTTGTGAAAACTTTCATGTTTTTCAGGAGGTCCTTATGGGTAGAATACTTTTTCTGGGAATGTTTTACTGAAGCCAAACTGAAAAAGTGAACCCACATGTTTCCCTCATTAGAAATAAAAGCCAAATCTTGCTAACCGATTTGGTACACATAGAACAGAACAAATTGCTTGGGTTTATTTTATGTTCAGTGCTTGAGAAATCATGATATGAAATGAGGTTGGGTACAGGCCACATACCCAGTGTGTGTGTTCAGGGGTTTACGCAATGCCCTGCCAACTAGAGATCCAGCCACTCTTTCCTACCCCAGAAAGCATTCCTCACTGGTAAATGAGCAGGACTTCCAGAATGGAAGGGACACAGAATGAAGCTCAGTTGAAATTCTCCCCAGCAAAACAGCCCATTTCACTGGGGAAAAACATTAAATTAATTAATTAATTTTTTTTTTTTTAGACAGAGTCTCATTCTGTTGTCCAGGCTGGAATGCAGTGGCATGATATCAGCACATGCAATCTCTGCCTCCCGGGTTCAAGCGTTTCTCCTGCCTCAGTCTCCTGAGTAGCTCAGAGTACAGGTGTGCACCACCACACCCGGCTAATTTTTGTATTTTTAGTAGAGATGTGGTTTTGCCAGGTTGGCCAGGCTGGTCTCAAGCTCCTGACCTCAAGTGATCCGCCCACCTGGGCCTCCCAAAGTGCTAGGATTACCGGTGTGAGCCACCGCGCCCAGCTGAAAAGTATTTTAAAAAGCAAAATACAAACAAGTCATAATTGAAAGTCTCTGGAAATTGTCCTAAAACATATAGCAGATGGAGAAACAGTCATTTGAGAAAATGTATAAACAGCCGGACATGGTGGCTCACTCCTGTAATCCCAGAACTTTGGGAGCTTGAGGTGGGCAGATCACCTGAGGTCAGGAGTTCGAGACCAGCCTGGCCAACATGGCAAAACCCTGTCTCTACTAAAAATACAAAAATCAGCCAGGCGTGGTGGCGGGCACCTGTAATCCCAGCTACTCGGGAGGCTGAGGCAGGAGAATCTCTTGAACCTGGGAAGGAGAGGTTGCAGTCAGCGGAGATCATCAGTCTGGGCAACAGAGTGAGACTCTGTCTCAAAAAAAAAAAAAAAGGAAAAAGAAAATAAAAAAAAGAGAAAAAGGAAAAGGAAATGTACTAAACACTGGTAAGAAGAATAGCCAAAGTCTGTGGCCTTTGATCCATGACCTTGCCTACCCCTCCTCCCCATATCTCCAGAAGCTCTATTCTGGGCCCCATTCTCGGGCAGATACGACCAAGAAGACAGAGATTCCCGCTCCACTTAACACCCTGTCTGGGGCTGCAGTTTCACCTTGGGAGTGTTAAAGCAAACTAAATATGGCCTGAGAAGGCCTCCGTACCTCTATATTTGAGTCCTTGCAGATGAACTGTAACTTAGCTTAATAGACAAGATTGAAAACCTAATTTAGGAGTATGCCCTGTTGTCATGCCTATAATCCCAGCACTTTGGGAGACCGAGGCGGGTGGATCACCTGAGGTCAGTAGTTCAAGACCAGCCTAGCCAACACGGTGAAACCCCCGTCTCTACTGAAAATACAAAAATTACTTTGGGAGGCTGAGCCAATCTCAGTGGCCATACTTCAATCGCTCATAGACTGCTAAGTGTTCAAACTGTTGAAATAAGGCAAACACCAACCTGCAACCAATCCAGCTGTTCTGTACCTCACTGCCAATTTCTGCACATCATTTCACTTGTTATGTCTGTAAATCTTCCACCGTGTGGCTGTGCTGGAGTCTCTGTGAATCTGCTGTGATTCTGGGGGCTGCCCGATTTGCGAATCGTTCATTGCTCAATTAAACTCCTTTACATTTAATTCGGCTGAAGTTTTTCTTTTACCAGGAGGGAGGGACTGCTGGCATTTCTCATCCTCCCTAGCCCCTTATTGTGGAAGATCTATTCCAAGCGAGGGTAGCTCACAGGACTAGGGCCTCCTTGCACTTAAAGGGCAGGAGCTCTGCAGCAGGCCACCAATAAGAGGCCTGATTGCCCCTGCCAGCTCTCTCACAGGGCAGAGATTCTATACCAGGGAAGGCAAACCAAGAAGACCAGGGCTGCTACATCATCCTCCCTCAGTGCCCCCCTGTAGAGCAGGGATGTCATTCCTAGAAAAAGGCCCTGTGGTGGTGGGGTCGGCGGGGAGGGCATGCTGTCAGGGTGAAGAGCTCTGCAGCTCTGCCTGAGGGAACTGACTTTATTTGAAACAGTACCTGGAGAACTGTATGCCTGAGGGTGTTGTCAAAACAGTGGAGACTGCGTGGAGAGCAGTGAAGGAGGCTGGAGCTCCAGGATATGAGTGGAACGGCAGAGCAGCTGGAAGTTTCATAGAACCAGGTCAAGAGCCCAGAACAGCGCTGCTGGGATCCCAGTCAATTCTGGGATCCCAGTCAATTCTGCGAGTTGGGAAGGCGGTGAACGTGCACTAGGTTTCACCCACTCAAGGCCAGTCAGAGCAGGATGTTGGGCAGACCTGAAAGCTTTCCCCAAGCTGTGCACAGGCCAATCAACACAAGGCAGAGGGCTTGTAACCAAATGCAAGTCCAGCTGCTCACTGCTTGCACAGTCCAATTAATGAGTGAGGGCTGATAGAAAGAAAGCGAGTTTTATTTCAGAGCTTAGCTGAGGGGAAGAGGTACAGGCTTCTGCCTTAAGGGAACCACTTCAGCTTTGGGGGCAGAAAGCAGAGGCTTTAAGGGGGACTTGGAGTGCATGCTATGGAGAGGAGGAGGCGCGGGGTCTGCGTGACTCGCGACTTGCAGGCTGCCACCATGAAGGGCAGAGCTGAGTTGTAAATTGACTGTCATCTTGAGGCAATTTCCTGGTGGGGGAGAATCCGGGAGAGTTCATGGTTTGGTTCAACATTTGGTCCTTAGAATTTCTAAGCAAACATGTAGTTAGATAAGCTCTCAGTGCAGGGAGTGCCAGGTGGAGAGAAGGTAAAGGTTAGAGTTGCATTCCTAAAGAGCTAAGTAAGAGGTGAACATGCAGGGAAAAAGTGAAAAGATAAAGATAATTTTTAGGAAAATGGGGTAGTCGTTTACAGTCTCACTGGTACAAGAGGCGTAAACACAACCTCTGAGCAAACACTGGCTTAAAAATAAGCTACTCCAACCCAGGGGTGAGGCCTAGGAAGCCAGGCTTAAAACTAAAATTGCTCTCATTCCTGACTGTCTGGAAGGCTGTGTGTGTGTTTGAGGCTGAGACATCTCAGGAGTGATTAAAGAGGGACTCCAAGCTACTAGTCCCTGGCTGAATGCAGAGCCAAACAAAATGTAAATTCCCCAATGTGTGATAGCAACCTCTGAACTACACACATATCCAACAGTAAAGGATGAAAATCTAACTAAGGGGCTTAAGCACAACCTTTGAGTAACAGTGAGCTATGCAGATCCAACAAGGGGAAATATATGAGCAGGGACATCAAAGAGCTTCAATAAAGGAAATTATGTAGCTAATGATAAAAGCTGCATAATTACATGTCTTCATTTTTCTTCTCTTAACTGATTTAAGAAAGCAATTGCACAAAACAATAGGTATCTAATTGTGTTGTTGGTCCTGTAACATACAGAAATGTAATATATTTGACAACAAGAGCACAAAGGAACCAGATGGAAAAAAGCTGTATTGGTGTAAGGAAATACACAGGATGGTATCAATTAAACAGCACACTCTTTAATAACTGAATCAAAGAAGAAAGCACAAGGGAAACTAGAAAATATATTGAGATAAATACAAATTAAAACCACAACATACCAAGACCCATAGGATCTAGCTAAAAAAGTGCCCGGGGGAAATTTAGAGCTGTAAATGCCTATATTAAAAAGAAGAAAGATCTCAAATCAGTAATCTAAACTTGAGCTGCAGATGCTTGAAGAATAAAAGCTAACTAAATGCAAAACAAGTAGGAGGAAAGAATAAAGAACAGAAATAAATGAAACAGATAATAGAAAAACAGATAAAAGCAACAAAATTAAAAGTTGGTTCTTCAAAAAGATCCACAAAATTTGGAAAACCTTTAGCAAGACTGATCAGGAAAAAAGGAGAGAAGACTCAAATGTGAAGGAAAGAGAGGACGTCACTACTGACCCCACAGAAATAAAAAGGGTTATATGGAAACACTATTGTATGCCAAAAAGTTAGATAACCTAGATGAAACTGGGCAGATTTCTATAAAGACAAACGTTACCAAAACTGATTCGAAAAGAAATAGAAAATCTAAATAGACCTGTGTGAAGCAAAGAGATTGAGTTGGTCATTTTAAAATTTCTTACAAAAACAAAAAAAAAAGACTGGGACCAGATGACTTCACTAGTGAAATCTAGCAAACATTAAAAGAACTAAGACCAGTTCTTCTCAATTTTTCCAAAAACCAGAACACTTCCTAACTCATTTTATGAGGCTAATATGATCAAAACCAGACAATGACATCACAAGACAAGAAATCTATAGATCAATATCCCTAAAAAATGTAGAGGCGAAATTTATGGGAAAAAAAAAGCTAGAAAACTGAATCCAGCCACACATACAAAGAAGTATATGCCATAACCAAATGGGATTTATCACAGAAATTCAATGTTGGCTTAACATTTGAAAATTAATTGATGTAATTTACTATATCAATGGAATAAAAGACAAAAACCAAAGATTTCAGAATAAAAAAGCTAAAACCCATTTATGATTTAAAAACACAGTAATAATTTAAAAAAAAAAACCTAACCATCCAACAAAGTAGAGATGGAAGGGAACTTCATCAATCTGATAAAGAATATCTATTAAAAACCCAAAGCTGACATAATATTTAATAACATGCTAATATTTCAGAAGGACTAAAATCTTTTCTTCTAACTTTAGGTATAAGATAAGCATATTTGTTCTCATGAACTGGCACATACTACTGGAGATTCTAGCCAGGCAAGAAAAAGAAATAAAGCCATCCAGATTGGAAAAAAGAAACAAAATACCTCTATTTCCAGACAGCATGATCTTGTACGTAAAAAATTCTAAAGAATCCACCAAAAAAAGGAGGCATTAGAACTAACTATGAGTTCAGTAAGGTTACAGGATACAAGATCATACAAAAATCAGTTGTGTTTCTACACACTAGCAATGAACATTCCAAAAATTAAGAAAACAATTTTCAATAGTATCAAAAAGAATAAAATGCTTTGGAACAAAGTTAACAAAATGAGTGTAAGACTTGTATACTGAAAACTCCAAAACGTTGAAAGAAGTCAAATAAATGAAAAAACAGTCTATATTCATGGATCACAAGATGCTAAGACGGCAATACTCTTTTTTTTTCTTTTTTTTTCCTTTATGAGACAGAGTCTTGCTCCGTTGCCCAGGTTAGCGTGCAGTGGTGCAATCTTGGCTCACTGCAGCCACCACCTCCCAGGTTCAAGTGATTCTCCTGCCTCAGCCTCCGAAGTAGCTGGGACTACAGGCACGTGCCACCATGACCAGCTAATTTTTGTATTTTTAGTAGACATGGGTTTTCACCATGTTGGCTAGGCTAGTCTCAGACTCCTGACCTCAAGTGATCTGCCCACCTCGGACTCCCAAAGTGCTAGGATTATAGGTGTGAGCTGCTGTGCCTGGCTGTCAATACTCTTTAAATTTATCTCCAGATTCAACACAATGCCTGTCAAAATTCCAGTTGCCTTTTTTTTGTAGAAGTTGACAAGATGATCCTAAAATTCATTAGGAAATGCTAAAGATGCAGAATAGCCAAAAAATCTTAAATTAAAAAAAAATGGAGGATTCTCACTTCCCAAACTCAAAAATTGCAACACAGCTACAGTAATCAAGACAATGTATTATAGTACTGGTATAAGGAGATAAACACATAGACCAATAGAATAGAATTGAGATTCCCAAAATTAACCCTTACATTTATTTATGTTTATTGATTTTTGACAAAGGTGACAAGACAACTCAA
Source organism: Homo sapiens (assembly GCF_000001405.40). Taxonomy (NCBI): domain Eukaryota; kingdom Metazoa; phylum Chordata; class Mammalia; order Primates; family Hominidae; genus Homo; species Homo sapiens. The sequence continues at coordinate 4,582,501 of NW_018654717.1, forward strand.
TGTGAGAAAGAATAGTTTCAACAAGTAGTGTTGGGACAACTGGGAATCAACATGGAAAAGAATGAATTTGGACCCCTACCTCATACCACACACAACATTTAACTCAAAATAGATTATAAACCTAAATGTAGGAGCCAAAAACGATCAAACTCTTTGAAGAACATATAGTAGTCAATCTTTGTGACCTGAGGTCAGATAATATTTTCTTAAGATTCGAAACCAAAAGCACAATTGACAAAAGAAAAAATAGATAAATAGAACTGAACTGTATCTAAAGGTTAAAACTCTGTGCTACAGACAAGGCTGTCAAGAAAATGAAAGCAACACACAGAATGGGAGAAAATATTTATAAATCATATATCTGGTAAGAAACTGGAATCCAAAATATATAAAGAGCATTTATCATTCAATAAAAGACAAATAATTCAATGGAAAAATTGGCAAAGGATTTGAATACACTTTTCTCCAAAGAAGATATCAAATGGCTAATGAGCACATGAAAAGATACTAAAAATCATTAGCCATTCAGGTAATGCAAATCAAAACCACAATGAGATACTACTTTGCACCCATAATAATGGTATAATGATGACTATAATATAGAAGATAACAACTGTTCATGAGGATGTAGAGAAATTGGAATCCTGATACGTGGCTGGTAAAACGGCACAGACACTTGGAAAACAGTTTGGCAGTTCCTTAAAATGTTAAACATACAGTTACCTTATGACTAGGCAATTCCACTCCTCCAGTTCCAAGAGAACTGAAAATACATATCCATCCAAACACTTGTCAAGAAACATTCATGGCATCGTTATTTATACTAGCTAAAAAGTGGAAACACTTATATATATACCAATGAATGGATAAATAAAATGTGGTGTATTCACACAATGGAATATTATTTGACAATAAAAAGGAATGACATGCTAACGCTTGGATGATCCAGAAAACATTATGCTAGGTTAAAAAAAAAAAAAGCCAGTCATAGAAGACCACACCGTATGATTTAATTTCTATAAAATATCCAGAATAGGCCAGGCATGGTGGCTCACGCCTGTAATCACAGCACTTTGGGAGGCTGAGGCAGGAGGATCTCTTGAGCCCAGGAGTTAGAGACCAGCGTGGGCAACATAGGGAGACTCCATCTCTACAACATTTTTTTGAAAAAAATTAACAGGGCATGGTGGCACATGTTGGTAGTCCCAGCTACTTGGGAGGCTTAGGTGGGAGGATCACTTGAGCCCAGGAGGTTGAGACTGCAGTGCAGTGAGCTGTGAGCTGTGATCACACTACAGCCTGAATAACAGAGCAAGACCCTGTCTCAAAACTAAATAAATAAATATCTAGAATAGGTAAATAGATAGAGACAGAAAGATTAGTGGTTGCTTACAGATAGAGTGATAACACATAGAGAATGATTGTGCATGGGTATAGAATTTCTTTAGGGGGAACGAAAATGTTCTAAAATTAGATTGTAATGACAGGTGGACAACCCTATAACTATACTAAAAAAGTCATTGAATTGTATACTTTAAAAGGGTGGATTATATGGTAAAAGCAGTAAAATTATTTTTAAATATGATAGATGAGCAAGATTGCCACTATATGAAAAGGTAAACTGTATATAGTCTTTAGTTTATTAGTTGCAACAGATTACTGGACATACCTGAAAACTCAATGAGGAACCTCTGTGTGTTATAAACACTTTGCTTAAGAATTTCTATCCTGGCCAGGTGAGATGGCTCCTGTCTGTAATCCCAGCACTTTGGGAGGCTGAGGTGGGCGGATCATCTGAGGTCGGGAGTTTGAGACCAGCCTGACCAACATGACGAAACCCCGTCTCTACTGAAAATACACAATTAGCCGGACATGGTGGCGCGTGCCTGTAATCCCAGCTACTCGGGAGGCTGAGGCAGGAGAATTGCTTGAACCCAGGAGGCGGAGGTTGCAGTGAGCCGAGATCGTGCCATTGCACTCCAGCCTGGGCAACAAGAGTGAACCTCCCTCTCAAAAAAAAAAAAAAAAAAAAGAATTTCCATCCTACATGGTCTTCGGAAGAAATAGTAGATAAATTTTACTTTTAGTTGTTAATACTGCCTTGAATTTATTCTAAGAGTTTATGTTTAACTTTTGTTAGGCAACTCCTTTGAACTTAGTTCCTAGGGTTCTTTCCCGAGTGCATGTTGCTGGAAGGAGGTAGCAAGTAAACACGGCTCCCCATTTCTTTGCTTTGAACATTGAGGAGGTTTGAAAAAGTCAGCTTGATGTCAGGTCACATGTAGCAGCACAAATAGGAGCTCTGCAATAATAATAAGAGAAAGATGGAGGATTAAGAGGTTTGGAAATTAATTGCTAATCCTTCTTGTACTGGTCCAAGTGTTTTAAGTGCCTTAATCAATTTTATCTTCCCAATAACTACATGAGGTAGTGTGTTATTCTGCTGGGACTGCCATAGCAAAGTACCATAGTCTGGGTGACCTAAGCAACAGAAATGTATTTTCTCACAGTTCTTGAGGCTGAAAATCAGAGATCAAAGTGTTGGCAGGGTTGATTCCTTCTGAGGGCTGGGAGCGAAGGCGTCACTCTCTCCGTGGCTTGTAGATGGCTGTGTTCTTCCTTTGTCTTCACATGGTCTTCTCTCTGTACGTCTGTGTCCAAATATCCTCATCTTATAAGAACACCAGTCATATCAGATTTAGGGCCTACCCTAATGATCTCATTTAAACTTAATTACTCCTTTAAAGACCCTATCTTCAAATAAGGCCACATTCGAAGGTACTTTGCGTCAGAACTGCAACTTATGATTTTTTTTTTTTTTTTTTTTTGAGACGGAGTCTCCCTCTGTTGCCCAGGCTGGAGTGCAATGGCACGATCTCAGCTCACTGCAACTTCTGCCTCCTAGATTCAAGCGATTCTCCTGCCTCAGTCTCCCAAGTAGCTGGGACTACAGGTGTGTGCCACCACGCACGGCTAATTTTTTTGTATTTTTAGTAGAGATGGGGTTTCATCATGTTGGCCAGGCTAGTCTCGAACTCCTGACCTCAGGTGATCCACTCACCTCGGCCTCCCATTACAGGCCTGAGCCACCATGCCTGGCCTACATAAGAATTTTTTAGGGGAGAAATAATTCAGCTCATAACAGGCAAGTACTATTATTATTATACATCCCACTTCCCTGCTGTTAGGAGAGGTAAGAGCACAGGTTTCTAAGAGAAAGCCCCGGAGAACATAGGCAGAGACTGATGGAGCCATATTGAGGATGGAGTGATGATGTTTTCAGGTGAAACACAAGACTGAAATAAAGGAAAAGATTTGGAGTCACAAGTGGTTAGGCTGCTGGCCAGTGGCCTGGTAGAGTCTGAGGTCATGAAGGAATGTGCCTACTGAATACAACTCAAATTTCTTGGTCAATTGGCTTAAATGTAACTTAATTCTGTTCCCTGTACAGGTGTACTTGAGATGGTGAGTGCAAGCATGCCTTTGCTTCCAAGGGGGACTCCCTTGCCCACAGTCCCTGCTGCCTCTCCCTGAGTCCCTCATTGCTGGTTGAAGTAGGCATGGGCATTGCTGGCCTGGCATGCAAAAATGGACCAGTCCAGTAAGGCTTCTACTTTTAGGACTAGAAATGGGCAAGGCAACAAAAAGTAGGGGCAGAGGGAATGTGATTCGGAGAGAGGGGTCAGACTGGCCACTAAGGCCACTTCCGGGTCAAAGCTAAGATGGAACAGACCTGGATAAGGCAGAAGAAGCTGGCTGAAAGAGAACTGAACAATGCAGAAAAGCATGCCAGAGACCATACATTCTGTGAGTGGATCTGAAGATGATCAGGGGTCTCTAGAGTCACCTCCATCTCCCTAGTTCAAATATATTCTTAAAAGGACCCATCTCCCCCAGAAACCCACTGATTGCAAGAATTTGAATGGATCCTTGCATTTGCAACAACAATACCCAGTTGAAGCAATACCCCTTTCCTAAGAATTCCTTCATTCCATTACTGGGCACTGCCATGGTCTCAATGCTTGTGTCCCCTCAGAATTCATATATGGAAACCTAATCCCCAGTGCAATAGTATTGAGAGACATTTAGGAGGTGATTAGGTCATGAGGGTGGAGCCCTCATGAATGGGATTAGTGCCCTTATAAAAGAGGCCTGAGGGAGTTGTTTGCCCCTTGCATCATGCCAGATCACAACAGGAAAGTGCCATCTATAAAGCAAAGAGCAAGCCCTCATCAGACACTGTATCTGCTGGCTCACTGATCTTAGACTTTGCAAGATCTAGTACTGTAAGAAATAACTTTCTGTTATTTATAAATGACTCAGTCTAAGGTATTTGGCTATGGCAGCCTGAATGGACTGAGACAGGCACTCATGTGCTAGCTGCTATTTGGGGCAATGAAGATTCAATACTAGATAAGACCCTTGCATAGAGCTGATTTGCTTGTGTTCGCAGATGGTAATGTTCGATGCTCACTGCTGGATTACTCAGCACAGCTCCGTGCCCCGCGCTGACCCATCCTGGCCACAAGCTTTTCACTCACACTGTTCAGAGTATTTCCTGATCATAGAACTCCCTTCACCAGCTGAAATCCTAACCCATTTCCTAGTCTAGCTCAAATGCTACCTCTTCCTTATAGCTTTCTAGAAACTCTCAGACAAGGTTAATTTCCCTCTTTCCTATATCACTTAACACTTCTGTGGCCATCGTGGCCCTATGCCATTTGGCCTCAGAGTTCAGGTTATTTACATGCCTAATCATCTTCAGCACTGTAAACTCCTAAAGAACCAGAAATGAGCCTGATTTCCCCCTTTTCCTAGGGCTTATCATGGAACTTTCCCCATATGATCCATTCAATGAATATCAGTTAAAATTAAATTCAACCTATGAGGACCCAGTGAGGGAGAAAGTGAGCAGGACATTGACCTTCATCCCTTATTCCCAGCTTCCATATCCAAGAATATGACCCACCCTATTTCCTAAAGTAAAATGAAATAGTGATACATAATTAAAGGCTTCAGTCTAGCTGCCCTCCTACAAATCTAAATTATCACCAGCTCATGGATAAGCTAGTTTGTTTTTCAGCCTTGGCATGTGGTCAGGATTGCATAGCTAGGAAGAAAGCATAATAAAACACTTCCAAGTGCTTTGAACTGGCAAAACTGTGTTTATACAATTACATGAAAACAAGCTAATGTGATGGCATTGCGGACATTTCATGATGTTTGGGGTCAGGAAATTACAGTTCCCTGGTTATATGTTTTACTGCAGAGTGGTTTGCATCTCATCAGAAAAGAATCTCGCTTTGGAGTTAGCCCTTCGTGCATGGGGCTTGCTACAAATAAGGGGCTGGGGAAATGAATTCTTAAGTGAATTTTATTTCCTCCTGAGAGGTGAATATGATAAGTGGATTCAGCTTCTGGGATGCACCAGAAAATTCCACTACTGATGTGCAGGTGGCAGCAACGTGGAGAATAATAAAAGATATCGTCTGTGTCTTCTGTATATGTGTCCAGGATTTTTTTCAACCACTTCTTCTATGGAGCCCTATGGACCTTGCCAAGACCTCATGGACATGGGCCAGAGATGAGCTAATGCAGTACTAGAAAGAGCATTGAACTTGCAATTGGAAGACCTAATTAAAGACTCAGATAGTCACTGAGCAGCCAGGGGATCTTGGGCATCTTGCTGGACTTCTTTAAATCTTTGATTGCTCATCTGTATACTCAATAATTGCTTAGGGTCCGTTCCATGGTTTGAGTTGAATCTACGTCAGTTCATTAGACTGTTGTCCCACATCTACAAAATTACTGGAGCTGACCCATCAACATTAGTGTTATTCTTCTAATTACACTGATTCATACACATGTTCTGACCTGGCTCTTTTTGTGACTAACGCTGCATTTTCAAACAGTGGCCTGGGGTAAGGCGATTTGGCTGGGACTGTGACAGTGTGTCCATACATGGTATTAGGGGCACAGCTTCCAGGACTGCTATTATCTCTCTAGCAGCATGTTCTAATAGATAGTTCATTCATGTGATCACCAGTCTTCAAGGATTTTATCACAGTATTATTTTTATTTTTATTTTATTTTAATTTATTTTACTATTATTATACTTTAAGTTTTAGGGTACATGTGCACAATGTGCAGGTTAGGTACATATGTATACATGTGCCATGCTGGTGTGCTGCACCCATTAACTCGTCACTTAGCATTAGCTATATCTCCTAAAGCTATCCCTCCCCCCTCCCCCCACCCCACAACAGGCCCCAGAGTGTGATGTTCCCCTTCCTGTGTCCATGTGTTCTCATTGTTCAGTTCCCACCTATGAGTGAGAATATGCGGTGTTCGGTTTTTTGTTCTTGTGATAGTTTACTGAGAATGATGATTTCCAGTTTCATCCATGTCCCTACAAAGGACATGAACTCATCGTTTTTTATGGCTGCATAGTATTCCATGGTGTATATGTGCCATATTTTCTTAATCCAGTCTATCATTGTGGGACATTTGGGTTGATTCCAAGTCTTTGCTATGGTGAATAGTGCCGCAATAAACATACGTGTGCATGTGTCTTTATAGCAGCATGATTTATAGTCCTTTGAGTATATACCCAGTAATGGGATGGCTGGGTCAAATGGTATTTCTAGTTCTAGATCCCTGAGGAATCGCCACACTGACTTCCACAGGGTTGAACTAGTTCACAGTCCCACCAACAGTGTAAAAGTGTTCCTATTTCTCCACATCCTCTCCAGCACCTGTTGTTTCCTGACTTTTTAATGATCGCCATTCTAACTGGTGTGAGATGGTATCTCATTGTGGTTTTGATTTGCATTTCTCTGATGGCCAGTGATGGTGAGCATTTTTTCGTGTGTTTTTTGGCTGCATAAATGTCTTCTTTTGAGAAGTGTCCGTTCATGTCCTTCGCCCGCTTTTTGATGGGGTTGTTTGTTTTTTTCTTGTAAATTTGTTTGAGTTCATTGTAGATTCTGGATATTTTTAAACTCCAAAGAACTACATGTTCAAGTTCTTAAGCTGTTGGATGAGGGATACATTTTCTGTGCAGGGGTAATCACTTGTAGAAATAAGGAGATTTGACACAATTCTAGGAAAATGGTAAATCTGACTTCAGAAATATTTACCCTTTGGGCACCTCTAAAATGCTCTTCTTGGAATCCATGTCTTTGAAACATGGACCGATGAGACTATGAAGTGCAGCATTCCTGAGGCCAAACTGCCCAGACGGAATCCAAAACAGATTTGCAATACATTGAGAAGACTGTAGCTGGGAATGGCGGTGCATGCCTATAACCTCAGCTACTTGTGAGGCTGAGGCAGGAGGATTGCTTGAGCCCAGGAGTTCAAGACCAGCCTGGGCAACATAGCAAGATCTTGTCTCATAAAAAAAAAAAAAAAAGGATTATAAAATACAGATGCTAAGAGGGATTGTGTTAGTAAACCCATTTTATTTTTGACATGTAGTGCTATAGATGCTTTCAAACACTATCCCTTTAAAGGTTGCCTTTTTTGGACTCATAGGTCACAGCACACTGAGGTTACAGCAGTGGAAGTTGGAGCGCTATGGAAAGCAATTAGCAATATCTGTTAAAAGTCATTAAAGCATCCAAATCCCTTCATCAAGTAACTCTACTCTCAGACGTCTATCCCAACATTATAAAGAGATGGTCAAAAATGTATGTATAAAAGATGTTTCCAACAAAAATTAAAAGCAACAGCAGGAAAATGATTCAGCACAGTATGTGATAGAAAATGTCACTAAAATGATGCTTCTGAAGACTGTTCTAATAATATACAGAAATTTGTATGCAGTCTTAGTAAAGAAATGAGGTTGTGAGTTTTGCATACAATATTTTTCAACACACGTGAAGACAAATGCAAGACAAAAAGTTAACAGAGGGGGCCGGCACAACGGCTGACACCTGTAATCCCAGCACTTTGGGAGGCGAAGGTGGGTGGATTGCTTGAGCCCAGGAGTTTGAGTCCACCTTGGGCAACACGGCAAAACCCTGTCTCTACAAAAAATAAAAAAGTTAGCCAGGCATGCTGGTGCACATCTGTTGTCCCAGCTACTCCGGAGGCCGTGGTGGGAAGATCCCTTGAACCTGGGAGGCAGAGTGCTGAGATCGGGCCACTGTACTCCAGCCTGGATGACGGAGTGAGAGACTGTCTCAAAAAGATAAGGCTGGGTGCAGTGGTTCATGCTTGTAATCCCAGCATTTTGGGAGGCCGAGGTGGGCAGATGACTTGAGGTGAGGAGATCGAGACCAGCCTGGCCAACATGGTGATGCCCCATTCTTACTTAAAATACAAAAATTAGGCGGGCTTTGGTGGCATGTGCCATAGTCCCAGCTAGTCAGGATGCTGAGGCAAGAGAATCACTTGAACTTGGGAAGTGGAGGTTGCAGTGAGTAGAGATCATGCCACTGCACTCCAGCCTGGGTGACAGAGCAAGACTTCATCTCAATAAAAATAAAATAAAATAAAATAAAATAAAATAAAAAGATAAAAAGCTAACAGATTACTTTAGATTTGGGAGGATGGGTTATTTTTCCCTTCTCCTTAATACTTCACTCTGTTTCACAAACACCCACAATAAGCTTTACCTTAAAGCTTTTATAATTATAAATTTTTAAAATTATAAAAGTCATTTAAGAAACACAGCTGCTGTTCGTCCCTTAATTACTTGTTCCTTATTTGAGATTGCCTTGTCTCCCAGCTGGTCACCTGGTTCCTCTCTCCCTGCAGAACATCAAAGCTACAGAATTGACTTCTGCTGGTGTTGACTACGAATGTCACAGCCCATAAAGCCAGGTTTAATGGAAAATCCCAAGGTGGTGGGGACAACAGCCTATTTATTTTCAAATGATTATTTTAAGGATAACAGAAAGAAACACAGCAAGATGGGCCTTCATGGATGACTCTGGCTCTGAATCCCTGAGCAAAGTCAAGGGCCAGAGAGAGCAAACCAGTGCCAGCACACCTTGATCCTACAGGAAGGCAAGGATGGTTTCATACTTTTTTGGAACAGGCTTTTCTGCAGGAACTCCAAACTCTTGGAAGATTCCAGTGTTTTCCCCCTAAGTTAACCCATCCTAAAATAGTCAAGGTGGGGCCAAGGAAAATCAGAGAGCAGACTTTAAGCTTTGGATTTTTGGGCCACATCCAGTGTATGGCTTTTTCCACAAGTTTGTCTTATGGGGTAACAGCAAGTATACTTTGAAGGCATATCCCCCAGGGTAGTTACATCTCTGAATAATGAAATTATTGGCAGTGTTATTTTCTTTTTGATGCTTTTCTGTATTTTCTAATCTTTTTGAGTGAGTTTGTGTTGCTTTTATAAGGAAAAGAATACTTTTTATTTTTAACATCATAACTGAGGGTGATATATGAAAAAGGTGCATAGGAAAGAAGACTCAGAAGGTGGTGAAGTAAGACTTTATATATATCTTATTTATAATAAATAAGATATATCTTATTTATAATAAATAATATTACATATCTCTTATTTATAATAAATAATATACATATCTTATTTATAATAAATAATATTATATATATATAAAATACTTCCTTTGCATTTCCTAATTACTTTGTAATGGAACTACCTTCCATTTCCCATCAGAAAAATATACATTTATTGAAATGTACCTGAGTCCTAAAGTTCTAAGTGAACTCTAGAGAAATGTTTATTTTCATGGATAGATATTATTTTATTTCTGGGGTGGGAGGAGCAATTCATTGGCTCCAGATCATTAGACATCCACACAACTCAAGCTTGATGCTGTCGTAAGTATTTACTAAGCATTTTACTTAGGACTGCACTAGTCTATTTGTTTCACTCATTTATTCATGCAACATACATTTCGGATATTCTATACTTAACAAAAATTGAGACAGAGTCTTGCTCTGTTACCCAGGCTGGAATACAGTGGCATGATCATAGCTCACTGCAGCCTCGAACTCCTGGGCTTAAGTCATCCTCCTGCCTCAGCCTCCCAAGTAGCTGGGACTACAGGTGTGCACCATCACACTTGGCTGATTTTTCTTTTTTACTTTATTTATTTCATTTATCTATTTTTTGAAGAGAAGGGTGTCTCACTATGTTGCCCAGGCTTGTCTCAAACTCCAGGCGTCAAGTGATCTTCCCACTTCGGCCTCCCAAAGTGCTGGGATTACAGGTATGGGCCACTGCACTCAGCCATAATATTCTGTACTTTAAGTGTATTGATAAATACATTTGTCTGTATGCTGAAGGAACTTTCTGTCTTGCTGAGAATATAGATGAGTTAATCAACAATTATAGTTCTGCAGTGGGTCTTAAAATTAAGCATGCATCAGGCCAGGCACAGTGGCTCACGTCTGTAATCCCAGCACTTTCGGATAGTGAGGTGGGTGGATCACTTGAGGTCACGAGTTCAAGACCAGCCTGGCCCATATGGCGAAACCCCGCCTCTACTAAAAATACAAAAATTAGCCAGGCATGGTGACATGCGCCTGTAGTCCCAGCTACTTGGGAGGCTGAGGCAGGAGAATTGCTTGAGCTGGGGAGGCGGAGGTTGCAGTGAACCAAGATCATGCCATTGCACTCCAGCCTGGGCGACAGAGGGAGGCTCCGTCTCAAAAAAAAAAAAAAATTGTGTATGCATCAGAATCATCTGGAGGGCTTTTTAAATCACAGATTTTTGGGCTACACCCCAGAGCTACTGATTCAGTCAGTCTGGGAATCCCAGGAAATGCTGCTATGACTGGCCTAGGGCTCACACTTGGAGAACCACTGCAATATCAGTGCTTAAAAGAGAGGTATATAGGGTGCAGTGGGACCACCTGCAGTGGTCCATTAGTGTTGAAAGCTGTGAAAGTGGAAATGAGATGGCAGACAGCATGGGCCAACGAGGCAGAATTTGCAATCAGCCCATTAGAATCCTGGAAGACTTAGTTACTAGGTAGCTCTTCTCCTCTTTCAGAGCCTGGCAACAGCTATCACCTCTTTCCCTGCTACTCTCTGGGACAGAATTCCCCCAACTCCATTTCTCTCCTGCCTCCTCTCAAGACTCTCTTTAAACTCCAAAGAAATAAAGAAGGGGTTCTACATCCTCTGAAGAGGATAGACTCCAGGCTGTAGGTGGCTAGGAACTGGCCTCAAAACAAAAAGGATGCCAAATCATTAAAACAGTTCTGATGCCATTAGACATGCAAGGAACACAACCTCACCACTCTTGAGTCAGGCACCGAACCATAAGGCCCTTCAAGAAGGAGACGTCACTAATAATAGCATCATTGGCCCTGGCAGAGACTCTTCCAAATGCTTGGGTAGGTGAGGATGGGTGGGAAGGAAAGGATCCGTGTCCCCTCCACTGAAAATGCCTATAAAGTTGACTGTGTTGGATAGATCCTTTGCTGTAGCTGCAGTGACCCCCATTTAGTGACTCTATGAGTACATAATGTAACGAATGGTTTCTCCTAAGTCTGTGTAATCATAAAATGTTGTAAAGCTTTGCTGTATTATTAAGTTAGTAAGGCCACATATAAAATACCTCCTGGGTGAAGGTCGAGTAGATGATTACAGTATTCCCTGAGTGGAAGTTCAGCTGTCAAACAGAAATGGCATGAGCTTTAATTTCTGCAACTGTGAACCTTGTATTTTGTCAGCTGGGTAAATTTAAATGTACCAGGACAGCTAGTCCTTTAAAGTGACCCATAGAATAGATAATTTTGCAGTAGTATACTCATTCTCTAGTTTTTATTTAATATAAACTTGGAGTTTTATGGATTGCATGTGAAGGGTTCTATCTACAATTTTTAATAAGTCTATAAAGGTGAGAGTCAGTACACCACAATATATTTCTTTCTTGAACAAATGTGTGTGTGTAAGGAATAAATGTGAGAATAAATATAGCATATAGAGAGGCGAGGTGCGGTGGCTCATGCCTGTAATCCCAGCACTTAGGGAGGCTGAGGAGCGTGGATCACCCTCTGAGGTCAGGAGTTCAAGACCAGCCTGGCCAACATGGTGAAACCCCATCTCTACTAAAAATATAAAAAATTAGCTGAGCATGGTGATGGTCACCTATAATCCCAGTTACTCAGGAGGCTGAGGCAGGGGAATTGCTTGAACCTGGGAAGCAGAGGTTGCCGTGAGCCAAGATCACGCCATTGCACTCCAGCCTGGGCAACAAGAGCAAAACTCCATCTTAAAAAAAAAAGGGCATATAGAGAAGAAATTTGGGGTACCATTCTTCACAGGTTTCTTTTTTAATCTAGTAAATTTTGCTAGTCACTTGCTTCCTTCCCTTTCTTGTCTTGCAGCTGATCTGATTTATCTTCCTATGTATCTGATGAATGGTTTATCCAGGGACTGGCAAAAGGAGAAAAACAAGATGCAGAGGAATGAGACTGAGAGTACCACAGTGTGAACAGTTTCCCCAAAGTGCTTCATTTTGGCTCCAGGTAAGTTATAATCAACTGAAGCTGTCTTTGGTACATTAATTCAGGGCATCAGATGTCAGAATCCACATTTCAAAGTGCTTTCCTTGCATATAAGAACACACTAGGCTGTTCTCTATAGAAAAAAAAAAAAAGGAGCACAATAGTCTGGCAGGACTTGAGTTCATGTTTTCTTTTTTTTTTGTGACAGGGTCTCACTCCTTTGCCCAGGCTGGAGTGCAGTGGCATGATCTTGGCTCACTGCAAACTCCATCTCCTGGGCTCAAGCGATTCTCCTGCCTCAACCTCCAGAGTTGCTGGGAGTACAAGTGCGCCACCACGCCCAGCTAATTTTTGTATTTTTAGTAGAGCCGGGGTTTCACCATATTGGTGAGGCTGGTTTCGAACTCCTGGCCTCAAGTGATCCACCCGCCTCGGCCTACCAAAATATTGGGATTACAGGCATGAGCCACCGTACCCAGCCGAGTTCATGTTTTCTGTGTGCAATGCAATGATGAGGTGGAAATTATTATCCCCAGTTTACAGATAGGAAAACACAGATGATAAAAATAGAAATATTTGTTTTTTTTAAATGGCCATTTAGTTTTTAAACAGCAAAAATGTCCTAGGAAATATGCTTGACTACATGTGGGAAAAAAGTTAGATTTTTCTTCTTAACACATACGTAAGTAAATTCCAGAAGAGAATACGGAGATTAACTGTAAACATTGAAAATACAAAACTACTAGATGAATAGAATGAATCTTTACCTAATTTCAAATACAGTAGAATTTTCTAACAAAAGCCATGAAAGAAATTACTTCTTTTGATAATATGCATCTTGTAAAAGTTCTAACAGTACTGCAGACAAAATATAAACGTGGAAAATAAATTTAAAGAAATATTTGCAACATAGATGAATGAAGAGATGGTGTACTATAAAAAGAAATTTAAAAAATTTGGGCTGGACATGGCAGTTCACGCCTGTAATCCCAGCACTTTGGGAGGCCGAGGTGGGTGGATTACTTGAGGTCAGGAGTTAGAGACCAGCCTGGCCAACATGGTGCAATCCTGTCTCTACTAAAAATACAAAAATTAGCTCGGTGTTGTGGCGCATGCCTGTAGCCCCAGCTACTTGGAAGGCTGAGGCATGAGAATCACTTGAACCCGGGAGGTGGAGGTTGCAGTGAGCTGAGGTCGAGCCTTTGAACTCCAGCCTGGGTGACAAGACTGAAACTCTGTCTCAAAAAAAAAACAACAAAAAAACAAAAATTAAAATAAACAGTCACCACCAGAAAGGGAGCAAGGAGAAGCAACCAAGTATTTTTGAAAAGAAGAATTTGACTTTATGTCCTCAGGTTAAAGACAAAAACTGTAAGCAATTATTGTAGTTAGTAGGGTTGTAGGTTTGTTTTTCACAGTGTTATGTGTTAGCCTTCTGAAGCTATGTATATTCCATAATTGACAAAATAATGGAATCCAGGTTTTTTTTTACTATCAAAGAATGGAATTACAAATACACGAAGGGAGAAAGCTACAAAGCATCTTGTAGTGTTGGATTGTAATTGGAGGTATCAGTATAAATATGTGGTTTTAAATATATAGTTATAGAAATCAATATGAATCTCAGGACACAGACATATACCTGGTTCTGTTTGCTGAGAGTGTCTAAAAGTAACGACATTCGGTAGCATTGAGCACATTTAGTGCCCAGACATGGTTTCTAAATACCACCCTCCACTGAAAGGAACCAGAGCTCCTTGGAGAGTTGGCTGAATCCAAAAATGAAACATTTTGCTGTGCAAGTAAGTAAAGAAATGCTCAAGGAATGATAGGGACATGTCACAAAGACATAGGAACCGGATCGAAGAGGCTCCCACTGACCAACTCTGGAACAATTTGAGCGTCAAAATAAAAGATAGCGCAACAGATTATCATTCATTGAATAAAATTAGAATTCATAAGTATCTACATTGATATAAACGAATGAATGAATGAATGAATACATAAATAAATGGATGGAGAGAATGAAGAGTGCTTCCTTAGAGCAGGATGCAAACTAATAAATGAGGAATGATGGAATGAGAGAATTGCCTTTTGATAACCTTCATAATAATAACAGATTCAGCAAGAATCATCAAAGGATGGTAAAAATAGCAAGTAAAATGTTATTTTATTTTATTTTTGAGACAAGGTCTCGCTCTGTCACCAAGCTGGAGTGCAGTGGTGCAATCTCGACTCATTGCAGCCTCAACCTCCTAGGCTCAAGCAATCCTTCCACCTCAGCCTCCCGAGTAGCCTGGACTACAGGCGCACACCACCACACCCAGCTGATTTTTGTATTTTTTTGTAGAGACAGGGTTTTGCCATGGTGTCCAGGCTGGTCTTGAACTCCTGGGCTCAAGCGATCCACCTGCCTTGGCCTCCCAAAGTGCTGGGATTACAGGTGTGAGCCACCATGCCCAGCCACAAGTACCATTTTAAAGATTTAATAGGATACTTACATAATATCTAGTTGCTCCCTATCAGATAGCTTTTAATTTCAAAGAGTAAAATGGCAGCTTTTATATTAGCGCATGTTGGTAGGAGCCACCTTAATCAAATGCTCAGAGTTAACAACATCCGTAGTGTGTCAGAACCACAGCACGTGCCTCCTGCACTAAGAAAAACACTGCATCACTTCTGCAGTATTCCTGCCAAGATGCATGACATGAACCTAACCAAGAGGAAGCACCAAGAAACTCAAAACTCTTTTACAGCATAATTGACCTGTACTCTTCCAAAGTGTCAAAGCCCGACAAGAAAGGCCAAAGAACCCAGATTAAAGGATACCAAGGGTACAAATGTCATAGGTGTTGTTGGATTAGATCCTGGACCAGAATCTTTTATTTTGCTAAAAGAGCAATTGTGAGCCAATTAGTGACATTAAATAAATTCTGTGTAGATTAAATTCTACTATAATCTCAACGTTAACTTTCTGATTTTGATAAATCGAATCTGGGGGTATATATAAGACTGGTCTTGTTTTTAGAGAATACACACAGAAGTATTTATTTATTTATTTTGAGTCAGGGTCTTGCTCTGTCTCCAGGCTGGAGTGCACCTCATAGCTCGATGTGTGGTCATGGCTCACTGCAGCCTCAAACTCCCAGGCTCAAGGGATCCTCCCACCTCAGCCTCCTGAGTATCTGGGACTACAGGTATGCACCACCACACCCCAGCTAATTAAAAAAAATTTTTTTTTGTAGAGATGTGGTTTTGCTATGTTGCCCAGGCTGTTCTCAAATTCCTGGCCCCAAGCAATCCTCCCTCCTTGGCCTCCCAAAGTTTTGGGATTGTAGACATGATCCACTGTGCCCAGCCACACGGAAGTATTTAAAGGGAAGCGGGCTTGAGGTTCGCAATTTACCATCAGATAGTTCAAAAAAAGTAATATACGTAGGAGAGAGAGAAAGCTGGAGAGATATGAAGCAAACATGACAATATCTGTATTTGGGGAATCTGGGTAAGACCGTATTGGAATTCTTTATTCTGTTTTTGCAATCTTTCTATAAGCTTGAAATTATTTCAAAGTAATTGGTAGAGACAGTGAGAATTTTTTAAAAAAGTCTCTCCACAAACACACACAGAGACACACACATGCAAAAACATGACTGACAGAAATTTAGCGAAAGTGTTAATAAAGTTTGTATCTGGATGGTGAGATTACGTAGTAATAAAAACATTACATTTGAAATTAATCTTTGTGTTTTTACATACTACACATGCTCAATCATGTGTATTTATTTTAAAAATATCCATTTATTTAAATTTTTAGAAGCTCTAGCAGGGCCTGTGGCCCTTGCTCTGCCTGTCACGAAAGGCACCTTTTTGATGACAGTTGTTTGTCTTTGTTGCTGCTTGGCTATGCGTGGACACACCCATCTGGGCTCCACCAGCAGCTGTGGTGGTGGCAAAATAGTTCTGGGTATGACCATGACAGCAAGACAGCTGTAGTCTCATATGACTGAGAGTGTCACATGCTTTTCCCCTGAGGTGCTGAGTAGACCGTATACCAGAAGGAATTCTAAAAACAGCAATGTGCATGCTTTCTGCTGCGGAAGCACCCTGTCACTTTCTTGTGGCCCAAGCATTCCAGAGTGAGAAACTTGGAGTGTGTCTGCATTGTTAAAAGTATCCTTTGATTTTTTTTTTTTTGAGACAGTTTCGCTCTTGTCGCCTAGGCTGGAGTGCAGTGGAGTGCAGTGGCTCAGTCTCGGTTCACTGCAACCTCCGTCTCCTGGGTTCAAACAATTCTCCTACCTCAGCCTCCTGAGTATTTGGGATTACAGGTGCCCACCACGATGTCCAGCTAATTGTTTGTGTATTTTTAGTAGAGACAGGGTTTCGCCAGGTTGGCGAGACTGGTCTCGAACTCTTGACCTCAGGTGATCTACCCGCCTCGGCATCCCAAAGTGCTGGGACTACAGGCATGAGCCACCACACCTGGCCTGATTTTTAGAAAATTATTATTTATTACAGATTTATAGAGCATGCCTTGTTGTGCCTTGTTGTGCCTTGAAAAAGTATTCTTTTCCCTGTGGTTGTAGTTTTTAAAATAAATTTTTCAACAGCACATCTCATAGTATTGGGTAGAAATAACAGGAAATCAATACATACGAGTCTGATTGGCTCATTAAAATACAATAAGTGAGTCAAAAAGGTAAGCGGCTGGAGTGAGCAGAAAGCGCTGCAGTTCTGGACTTTAAAGTATAGATGATGCAATGAGTTTGACAGCCTCTTTGACCAATTAGTTTCACAGCTTTCTAATTTCTGCCAGTTAGAAGTGACATAGGTGGGTCACTGAGTATTCATTCCTCTGGCCTCAGGCCAGGTGACTCTTAATGTCAGGATGTCAGAGGGTAGGTCGCAACCCAACTTTCTCCAAAACTTCTAGAAAAGTCTCACAATTTTATGTAAGCAGACACCCTGAATTTTTTATCAATCAAAATCCAGACCTAATTGATGAAGCTCCTTAAAACATAAAGCTGAGTCTTTTATTTACTTTGTGGTTTCAGAGAAAGTCACATGTCTAGTTGTTCTAGATTGTTCTACTTTCCTTCTGTCGCTATGAGAGATCATTTCATCTATTTATTCTCAAAGGCTGCCACCATCCAAAACATGGAGAAAAACCCTTAGCCCCTCATTAGAGGAATGAGACTTGGAGTTTCTATTAACCCAATTTCTGAGCAACCTCTGTTTGACTCAACTTGAGACATACTCATGTTAAATGGCATACTCTTTGGGAAACCCAACTGACTTTCTGATATTTACAAAATATTTAAAGAAAGAGAATAAAAAGCCTTTAGAGCAAAACCCTGGAAATATATAATTTACTTCCCAAACATTCAAAAGAGAATTTATGATAGTAAAAAGCTTATTATTCTGGATTAAAACCAACCAATGTGTTTAGTCACTTTACAGAAAATAAATTTAAATCAGGATCTGAAATTAAATATAAAAATATAACGAGATTGGTAAATAGCTTTAAGGTCTTAAAATTCAAGTGTGTCTCTGTTGTTTACATCGTAATGATTTCTGAATTAATGGTATTAATAATTTCATCACCTTTTAGTAATAGTAATATCTAACACATATAGTTATTTTAAGGTGACTTATACAGTAGCCTTACTAAGTAGGTACAATTATATCTTTTTTACAGATGAAGAGATGGGCACCAAGAGTTGATTGCCCAACTCTACACAGCTAATAAATGGCAGAGCTTAATCTTAAACAACAGATTTAAGTCCTAAATCCTGAATACAGAGTCCAAGTTTTTAGCTGCTACATTTGACTTTGTCCGAGTTATTATCAGAAGCAAATTGCCAAACTTTCCTCTTTTGCCTCCCAGCACAATTTATGGGCGGTCTCTCCTTCTCACCCAGGAGTGTTGGGTAAATGTTTAACAACCAACCCTCTGAAGAACTGATTTATAGCATTTGCCAATTTCCATGGTGTAAATATTCCTTCCTGGCCAATTTCACGTTACCAACTTGGTGTCACTGACCATGAGGTTGAGAAAAGATGGGCTAAAAATTTAGCAATTGGCTCTCAAGAGCGAGTCCTATCAGTTCATTTTCTGGGTGTAATTTTAAGGGTAAAACTGAGGCAAGGGTGAAATTAAGGTCTTGGGTTACCGTTTCAATGGTGTCTGCCTCTAAGCCCTTCTCCAGACGAATTTCTGAGGCTACCAAATTTCTTAGGGGAGAAGAACCAGGATGTGGGTTTGCCTTGCGCTCCTGAGAGTTTGGCTTTCTGCTGCGCCACCTGGTGGCTGTAACTGACAGTTGCTGTATTCCCTGCTGCTGTCTTGAATTCAGGCTTTAGGGTTCTTCTCCCCGAGATGGTCAGCATTCTTTGCCCAGGAGCAAGTTCAGTTACTAATAAGGCTTCTCGTGGGTAATTGGACTCTTTAACTGACAATCTCCTTTACTGAGGCCTTTAGGATAAATTCCCAGGCGTTGGGCCAAAGGGCAGTTGAGTAACAAATTAGCAGCCTTGTTGTCCTCCGCTGAAACCACCCCAACTCCACAGCAGTAGAGAGCATCCCCAGGCTTGGTTCATAAATGCCAGAATATCCGGTGTCCTAGCAAATGTCCCAAAGCTCTTGTCACTGTTTTCTAAGAGGCTTAGAGGGTCTTCAGCAAACAGGTCTTCAAGTCTTCCACATTGATATTCGATAGTTCCAAAAGCCGAAGGCATAATCCCATCCGCCATCGCATAAGCCTGCCCTTTCTATCACTACATAATTTTAAGATTATATATAGATATATATAAATTACATACATATATAGATTATATATACAATATATAGATTACATATATATATATATAGATAATAGATAGATGATAGTCAGATAGCAATGATTTGGAGGTTACCTTTTGGTTGCGCTGATCCATACCAATAATCTGCTCCTTAGTGTATTAGTAACTGAGCACTAATCCTATATTTGGGAGTTCCTCAAACATTCTTCCCTTCTTCATTTATTTTATTTTATTTTATTTTTTGTAGAGACGGGGTTTTGCCATGTTGCCCAGGCTGGTCTTGAACTCCTCAACTCAAGCGATCCTCCCGCCTCAGCCTCCCAAAATGCTAGGATTATGGCATGAGCCACTGCACCCAGCCACCTTCTTCATTTTTGTATCTTCTACTTACTATGAATTTATTCATACAACAAGTATCTATTGAGCACAGCTATGTGCTAGTCATGTGGCTAGGATGTGGACACAATGATGAATTAGACATAGATCCAGCCCGGAGCTTGAGGGGCTACCGTGGTGTGGTGGAAACTAGGGAATACATTTGGAAGCCTTAGACAAAGCAGAATGCTGTGGGTGTGATGATGAGGGGCCACTGCACTCCAGCCTGGGCAACAGAGTGAGACCCCGTCTAAACAACAACAACAACAACAAAAAGCCCATACGTTGCTGTAGGTTGCTTCAACAAACAGTTTCACATGTCCCTCTTCCTAAAGATTCCTTTTCAGCTGGTTTGAGACAGAGCCTAGGAATCTTCATGTTAAACATATTGAATAAACACTCAGATAATATTTGATGCAGGTGATCTAGGGAACCCATTTTGAAAAGCATCGACCTTTAGAGGTGGGTTGCTCCCAAGTCCCGCTGGCATCTTGCCTAAACAGTGCTTTTGTCAGCAGGCTGGATGCTTAGCAAGAACCTGCAGTCCTGGAGTTCTGAATGAGTAGATTTTAAACTGGGGCCTATATCACCCTGAGGTTACAGAGAAACTTTACAAGGGTTTCTTGCCAGGTGGTTTTCAGGGCATTCATTTATTGACCCTCAGCTTCCCTTTGTACTGTTTTGTAAAATCCATCCACAGAGGCGCTGCAGGGCCACCAGGTTGGGTCTTCTCTCCCCACCTGCCCTTTTGTCCTCCCACTCTCAGCCTCAAGCTCCTGGGCTCAGTTGATGCTACTGCCTCAGTGATTCTTCCATATTTTTGAATATTTGAGATCATAGACTACATGGATTTGTAACATTAGGTCTCAAACTAACACAGTTTGAGATTCATCTGGGAAACAGAGGATGAAATCAGAGAGGGGTGGACGGTGGGGAGGTGGGCTTTCTAGGACAATGGAGAATAGCAGGCAGAGCTGTCATTCAGGGCCATCTAGACACAGCCTCTGCTTTCTACCTGGAAGGGGAGGTGGCCTTGTAGATTGTGAGACAGGTTCAGGAACAAGGAGAGGCTGATGCTTTCCAATACTACCTCAAATGGAAGCACATGGATTACCAGCGTATATTATTCCAGATTGGCAATGCCTGCCTGAGTCTAAAAGGGTTGTTGCACTACAAGGGTTTAGCTGTTTTCTCAACATTGACGAGGACCTACCTGGACAGAGAATGACACCAGTCCCTTGAGTACTATAGGCAAGTCAGGAGCCAGGACAAACCTCTCCGGGTCTCTCACCCACTCTCTGGGAGCCTCCTTGTTTCTGTTAATTTCTCTCTCTTCGCCGAATTCAATTGGGAAATATAGCAGGTGTATGGGAATGTGTGTATTTCTGAGGGGGAATGTCACTTCTCACTGATCTACAACCCACCTTAAACACTGCAGCATTACATCATGAACAATTTCCCTGGTCAAAACAACAACAACAACAACTCAGTCTAATGAATACACAAGATTTTACTACATGGCCATGTCATACTTTATTTTTCTAGAAGGCAGTATTATTTATATGTATATATATATTAGGTTTCTAAATTTTTATGGTTATATATAAAGTGCTGTATCTTTCAACTTTTAGAAAGTTGCTCTACAAATCTTATGTATTCATTCAAAGAGTATTTATTGATATTTACTATGTGTAAGTCACTGGTCTGGGTAATTTAGAGAGTCCAAAGATAAATCATAATTAGACACTGCCCCAGAGGAGCTTATGACTTACAAGGGAATTAGTACTCTATGGATGGAAGTTATGCTTTATTTCATCTTGATAAGGATCCTCTGAGATGGGCAAGGCGGTGCTACCATCTTCATTGCTTTTGTATGGAGGAACAGGAAGTGCAGACACGTTATGACCCTTGCCTGAGGTCACAGATGGTCTTCAGTCTAGCCTCACACTTGATTGATAGTTTGGCTATGATAATCTAGGTAAATTGTTAAAAATAAATACATTAGGAAAATGCAATGTGATAAACATTTATAAATAAACTTGTGAAATTTTCAGGTTATGTTAAATTAGGTAATAGATATTCACAAAATGTCTGAGTCATTTCTAAGTAAGTTAAAATACTGAAACATAAATTGCTGAACATAAATATATGTTTGTTCTTGGCTTCTTGAATTTTATATAAAGACTAAATATATTTGGGTTTATTAATACACACAAAAATTATGTTTTGGGGAAATGCTTTTTGAAATGATAAAATGGTTCACATCTGCAACATATTGATATGTGACAGACACTAAAAAACATCTTATTTCCTAGGTTTTCAGTAGAAATTAAAGTTATTAAGAGTTAAAAATTCTAACTAATATATATAATTCTGCATATAAAGTTTACCAAAAAATGCGATATGTTTTTAATGAGGATTCTCCTTTTATGACCTTCCCTGGCTCTATTTGTTAGAATTTTAAACATGTGACTGAATTTTGATTCTGACAACTTTCACACACCTGCAAATGATCTTCTAATTTACCTACCTTCGCCCTCCTGTTGTCTTTTTTTTTTTTTTTTTCTTGAGACAGAGTCTCGCTCTGTCGCACAGGCTGGAGTGCAATAGCATGATCTTGGCTCACTGCAACCTCCACCTCCCAGGTTCAAACAATTCTCCTGCCTCAGCCTCCCAGGTAGCTGGGATTACAGGTGTGCACCACCATGCCCGGCTAATTTTTGTATTTTAGTAGAGACGGGGTTTCCCCATGTTGGCTAGGCTGGTCTTGAGCTCCTGACCTCAGGTGATCCACCTGCCTTGGCCTCCCAAAGTGCTGGGATTACAGGTGTGAGCCACCGCACCCGGCCCCTCCTATTGTCCTTTTCAAAAACTATCCGGACCATTTGACCCAGCAATCCCATTACTGGGTAAATATTCAAAAGAAAACAAATGATTCTACCAAAGAGACACATGCAGGTGCACGTTCATCACAGTGCTATTCATAATAGCAAAGACATAGAATCAACAGAGGTGCCCAACAACAGTAGATCGGATAAAGAAAATATGGTACATGTACACCATGGAATACTACACAGCCCATAAAGAAGAAAAAATCATGTCCTTTTTAGAAATATGGATGCAGCTGGAGGCCATTATCCTAAGCGAATTAATGCAAGAACAGAAAACCAATTACCACGTGTTTTCACTTATAAGTGGAAGCTAAACATTGAGTACTCGTGAACATAAATATGGGAACAACAGACAGTGGGGACTACTAGAGGAGAGGAAGAAGGGAGTGGGGCAAGGCCTGAGAAATGACCTATTGGATACTACGTCCACTACCTGGGTGATGGGATCATTCATACCTCAAACCTCAGCATCACACAATACATCCAAGTAACAAATCTGCACTTGAACTCCCTGAGTCTAAAACAAACGTTGAAAAAAACCTATCTGAAAAGATTTTTAAAACTCTATTTTTGAATACTTTTATTGATTTTTTAAGAAAAGTTGTGTCAGACTTTTAATTGTCAAAGCTTTTCTTGTTCTTTGATTTTTATTTTAAGGTGATACTGTTCTTGTTTTATAGATGTCTTGTGTTTGCTTATTTCTCAAACAGTCATAGTTTCTATGGAACTCTCTTATGCTCCCTGTGTTGTCTCTGTTTCTCTGAATTTCTGGTTTCCATTAGTCTGTTTTGGTCTTTTTCTCTTTACTTTTTTTTTTTTTTTTGAGATGAAGTCTTGATCTGTTGCCTAGGCTGGAGTGTAGTGGCATAATCTCAGCTCACTGCAACCTCTGCTTCCCAGGTTCAAGTGATTCTCCTGCCTCAGCCTCCCTGGTAGCTGGGACTACAGGTGTAGCACTACCACGTCCAGCTAATTTTTCTATTTTTAGTAGAGACGGGGTTTCCCCATGTTGTCTAGGCTGGTCTCGAACTCCTGATCTCAAATGATCCACCCACAGCCTCTTAAAGTGTTGGGATTACAGGTGTGAGGCACCGTGCCCAGCCTCTTTCACTTTACTTTTATTTTAGATCTTGTTTTCCCCAAATGCCTGGCAAGTTTGGCCCAGCCATTTATGAGCGAGGCATATTTTTGAGCTGATTGTAGGTTGTGTATCTCATGAGGCTTGTGTCTAGTGGTCTTTACTATAACAGGGTTGGGAAGCGACTGCGCTGCTTTATTGGGCAACCTCTAAGTGTTAATATCCCCAGAGAAGGATGCATGCCCCCGTTTCCTGTTGGGAGAGTGTAAGCTTGGGTGCAGGTGTGACGGACCCGGGCGGAGGAAGAGGCTGGGTGGAGAAAGGTAGGTAGACTCTCACGTACTCCTTGTATTTTTGGATCTGGCATCTCACTCTACTCTTGGAGAAATCTTGAGAATCACCTCTAAAGAAACTTGTGGCTGTTCTTGTGGGTTTCTTGATGACATTGAGTTATTAGGTTGGTGCAATAGTAATTGCAGTTTTCACAATTTTAATGACAAAAACCGCAATTACTTTTTTTTTGGAGATGGAGTTTCGCTCTGTTATCCAGGCTGGAGTGCAGTGGTGCCATCTCAGCTCACTGCAACCTCCACCCCCTGGGTTCAAGCAATTCTTGTGCCTCAGCTTTCTGAGTAGCTGGAATTACAGGTGCTCACCACCACGAGTGGCTAATTTTTGTATTTTTAGTAGAGATGGGTTTCACCATGTTGGCCAGGCTGGTTTTGAATTCCTGATCCTTAAGTGATCCACCTGCTTCAGCCTCCCGAAGTGCTGGGATTGCAGGTGTGACCCACCACGCCCGGCCGCAATTACTTTTGCACTAACCTAATACTAATTTAGCCTGTCTGCATTGTTGCCCTTTTTTTTCTCTCACAATCTTGTGACTTTTAGTCCATGTGGACATTAGAGGCACAGTTGTTGGTTCTGTGATCATGTATCAGGGAGATAAGAGTGATGGCTCAATTAATATATACTCTGAGCTACTTAAATTTCAGTCATGATATATAAGGAAGAAAAGAATCAATAAAATGAGCATATTATTGACAACTGCTCAAACACCTGTCAGTATAAGCTGTCAACAGCAATTGTTTATAACAGATGATATTAAAAGTCTCATGTCATGAGAAAGATAAATCTGTTTAGAAATCTTTTTTTGGTGACAAGTTGTCAAGCACAGCAAATAAAAGTAGTCTGGCATCTTCTAGTTGCTGAAAGTGAAGTTTGAAATGATGCCACTGCTCATGGTTCAATGACTCTGAAAACCATAGGCCAGGAGATCTGCAGTAGATCTTAGGGTCCATGTGGTATCATTTCCTCTTTTTACGAGAAGGAGGCTGAGGTTCGGAGTGGTATATAAATTGACTGTTCCTCATAATTAAATGTTACATACCCTTTTATAACATAGATGCTTTTTTTTTTTTTTTTGAGATGGAGTCTTGCCCTGTCGCCCGGGCTGGTGTGCAGTGGTGCGATCTTGGCTCACTGCAACCTCCACCTCCCAGGTTCAAGCAATTATTCTGCCTCAGCCTCTGGATTAGCTGGAATTACAGGCACCCATCTGTACGCTCAGCTAATTTTTTTTTTTTTTTGTATTTTTAGTAGAAACAGAGTTTCACTATGTTGGCCAGGTTGGTCTTAAACTGCTGACGTTGTGATCTGCCCGCCTCGGCCTCCCAAAGTGCTGGGATTACAGGCATGAGCCACTAAGCCCGGCCAACATAGATGCTTTTTAAAAGTTGGACATCTCTGCAACAATTACACTAGGTCTTTTGTGTTTCTCAGATCGTGCTTAGATTGTATGGTGTAATGTCAGGAATGAGATATCTTTCCTTACACACTTGATAAAGCTTAGAATTCATGTGTTAGAAGACAGGGTTTTGCATTCCACGTTGGGAGATGAAGCTTCCAGAGCAAATTCCTGAGCTGTAGTCAACTCCTTTGTTCCCCGGCATTCCTCTAACAAAAGCCCCTCAACAGGCTCACGCACTGACTGCTAGACAGAGCCTGGCTTCTTTGACGGGGTCTGCTATCTAACCCCCACCATGGGTGAACCGTCCAGAGCCTGTGCCCACACCTGCTCCAGAGGTCATGTGGGCTTGCAGTGCCCCTAAGACCCTGGCTCTTAGCCAAGCACATCTAATTCCCTTTGATCCTCCAATCTGACTTCCTCATGGAAGCTGTATGTGTCCTTCTGGCCCACAGTGAGGATAATAGGATGAGGCCCCTTGAAGAAATTGAGTCCTCTGATAAGAAGATACCAAGACAGGATTAGATGTGCAGGAGATTTCCTGCGGGAATGCCTGTGAAGGATGAAGGGGAGAAAGCAGGACCAGGCAAAGGAGCATCAGACAGAGATGCAGGCTGGCTTCTGTAGGGGAGAGGAGGAAGGAGGGAGGGCGGGGGACGAGGAGTTCCAGGCAGCAGTGCAGCTCTGCGGGCATTGCAGCCGGGCTGGAGAGGAGCTCCTGAGCCGAGGGGCCCATAGAGGAGTTCCAGTCATGGAGGACTTGGCAGAGAGCAGCTCAGGGCCAGGAGCAGCGGCTGGGGCTGTCAGTCAACTTGCTCCCTGCAGCAGGAGGCTGGGGCTGTGCATTTCCATGGCTGCTGTGCTTCTGAACCTTTCGCCATTTGCTACTTTCTCATCGTGCCACGATGACTTGTTATTTAAGCTTGTGTGGGTAGTAATGATCATTATTAACGTTTATGGAGCATTTACTACATGCCCGATGCTGTGCTAAGTGCTTATTTGCTTAGGAGATACAAATGTCTCAGACCTCAAATTCAAGCTTTAGAAATTATTTTTTATCCCTGATTTTATATTTTGGGCCCACGTTGCACTGGTGATAGGAATGCAATCTTAGCCACTTCAGGTATTCTCCAGTTAATCCAGGAGTTTCTCACCTCCCTCCTTCCTCCTCTGGTTGCATCTGAGTTTCAAGGGGGTTTAGTGCCAAGGAGTGGGTGAAGGGCCTGGCCCCTGGGGCTTGTGTGCCCACCCTGGCATCTTTTGCTGAATCCTCATTCTCACTGGCCTCTGATCGTCTGTGCCCATTGGCACCTGGAAGATGTTCAAAGTTTATCTGGTTTCCTAGTGAAAGGCTTTCAGATAACCCTGCTTCCTCCTTTCTCCAGCTCGAGGCCTCTCTGGGCTGCTGGCCTCTGACCACATCTGTGCCCGTCTTGATGGCCACCTGTGCCAGGCTGCATCTGGAGCTGTCTCCTTAATGACTCCACACTGCCATTTATGTGTGACCCTTATGACATCTCCTTCATTTAGGGGCGAGAGATGCTGGGTCCTGCTGCTTTCCCAGGGGGCCACCCAGGAAATAGGGCCCAGGCTCCTTCTGCGTGCAGATTCTCAGCCTTCTCTGAGTGTTGTGTCCTTGCTTTGCCCATATACCCCAGTCTCTGGTTCACTCAGCAGCATTTTAGTGCTTGCTTCCCTTCTGACACCAGAGTAGCTATGATTACAAAGTCAAAAGGGCTGGGCCTGGTGGCTCATGCCTGTAGTCCCAGTACTTTGGGAGGCCGAGGTGGGCGGATCACTTGAGGACAAAAATTTGAGACCAGCCTGGCCAACATGGTGAAACCCTATCTCTGCTGAAAATATAAAAATCAGCTGGGCAGGGTGGCATGTGCCTGTAGTCCCAGCTACTCGGGAGGCTGAGGCAGGAGAATTGCTTGAACCTGGGAGGCAGAGGCTGCGGTGAGCCGAGATCATACCACTGCATTCCAGCCTGGGTGATAGAGCAAGAATCCCTCTCAAAATAAATAAATAAGTAAATAAATAAATAAATAGTAAAAAAATAACTGATGTTGCTGAGGCCGCAGAGAAAAAGGAGCTCTTCCACACTGTTGGTATGGATGGGGATGTAAATTAAATCAGCCACTGTAGAAAGCAGTTTAGAGATTTCTCAAAGAACTTAAAATAGAACGACCGTTTGACCCAGCAAACCCATCACTGGGTATATACCCAAAGAAATAGAAATCATTCTATCAAAAAGAGACATGCACTTGTATGTCCATCACTGTGCTGTTTACAATAGCAAAGACATGAAATCAACTTAGGTGCCCATCAATGGTGTACTGGATTTTTTTAAGCTTATAAGCAACAGAAATTTATTTCTAGTTCTTAAATAATTTCAACTTTTATTTTAGATTCAAGAGGTACATGTACAGGTTTGTTACCTAGGTATATTGTGTGACACTGAGGTTTGGGGTATGAACAATTCCATCACCCAGGTAATGAGTATAGTACCTAAAAGGTAGTTTTTAAACCCCTGAGGCCCGCCTGCCCTCTCTCCTCTAGTGGTTCACAGTATCTGTTGTTCCCATATTTATGTCCATGAGTACCCAATGCTTAGCTCCCACTTGCAAGTGAGAACATGTGGTTATTTGGTTTTCTGTTTCTGTGTTAATTTGCTTGGAATAATGGCCTCCAGCTGCATCCTCTTAGCTGCAAAGGATATAACTTCATTCTGTTTTTATGGCTGCGTAGTATTCCGTGGTGTATATGTATCACATTTTCTTTATCCAATCCACTGTTGATGGGCATCTAGGATGATTCTTTGTCGTTGCTATTGTGAATAGTGTTGCAATGAATATATGAGTGCATGTGTCTTTTCGGTAGAACGATTTATTTTCCTTTGAAAATATACGCAGTAGTGGGATTGCTGGGTCGAATGGTAGATCTATTTCCAAGTTTTTTGAGAAATCTCCAAACTGCTTTCCATAGTGGCTGAAGTAATTTACATTCCTGCCAACAGTGTATAAACATTCCCTTTTTTTCTGCAACCTTGCCAACATCTGTTATTTTTTCACTTTTTAATAATTGCCATTCTAACCGGTATGAGATGGTATCTCATTGTGGTTTTGATTTGCATTTCTCTGATGATTAATGATGTTGAGAATTTTTTCATGTTTGTCTTCTTTTGAGAAGAGTCTGTTCATGTCCTTTGCCCTTTTTTAATGAGGTTGGTTTTTGCTTGTTGAACTGTTTAATTCCCTTGTAGATTCTAAATGTGAGATCTTTGTCAGATGCATCGTTTGCAAATATTTTCTCCCATTCTGTAGGTTGTCTGTGTACTCTGTTGATAGTTTCTTTTGTCGTGCAGCTCTTGTGTTTAATTAGGTTCCACTTGTCAATTTTTTTGTTGCCATTGCTTTTGAGGACATATGGAGGACTGAGAAAAACAGAAGTTTTCTGAAATAAATTCTTTGCCAAGCCTCATGTCCAGAATGATGTTTCCTAGGTTTTCCCCTAGGACCTTTATAGTTTGAGGTCTTACATTTAAATCTTCAATCCATCTTGAGTTAATTTTTGTGTATGGGGAAGATAAGGGGTCCAGTTTCATTCTTCTTTATATGGCTAGCCAGTTATTCTGGCACCATTTATAAAATAGGGAGTGCCTTCTGCATTGCTTATTTTTGCTGACTTTGTCACATATCAGATGGTTGTAGGTGTGCAGCTTTATTTCTGGATTCTCTATTCTGTTTCATTGGTCTATATGTCTGTTTTTATACCAGTACCATACTGTTTTCGTTACTGTGGCCTTATAGTATAGTTTGAAGTTGGGTAATATGATGTCTCCAATTTTCTTTTGCTTAGGCTTGCTTTGGCTAATCAGGCTTTTTTGTAGGGGGAGGCTCTATGAATTTTAAAATCGGTTTTTCTAATTTTATGAATAGTGACATTGATAATTTGATAGGAATAGTACTGAATCTGTAAATTGCTTTGGGCAGTATGGCCATTTTTATGATATTGATTCCTTCAATCCATGATCATAGAATGTTTTTCCATTTGTTTGTGTCATCTATGATGTCTTTCAGCAGTATTTTGTAGTTCTCCTTGTAGAGATTTTTTACCTCCTTGGTTAGATGTATTCCTAGGTATTTTGTTTTTTTGGTGGCTACTATAAATGGGATTGTGTTCTTGATTTGGATCTCAGCTTGAATGTTATTGGTGTATAGAAATGCTACTGAATTTTTGCACATTAATTTTGTATCCTGAGACTTTACCGAGGTTGTTTATTGGTTCTAGGAGCCTTTTGGTGGAGTCTTCAGGCTTTTCTAGGTATAGAATCATTAAATCTATGAAGAGAGATAATTTGACTTATTTTCTTGTTTGGATGCCTTTTATGTCTTTCTCTTGCCTGATTGCTCTGGATAGAAATTCCAGTACTATATTTAATAGGAGTGGTGAGAGTAGGCAACTCTATCTTGTACCTGTTCTTAAAAGGAATGCCTCCAGCTTTTGCCCATTCACTGTGATGCTGGCTGTGGGTTTGTCATAGATGGATGGCTCTTATTATTTTGAAGTATATTCCTTTGATACCCAGTTTGTGGAGGGCTTTTTTTTTTTTTTATCATGTCCTCTGCTTCTATCTGTCAAGCCAAGGGAATCATCTCTTCTGGGGTTGAAAACTGGGTCAGCAGCATTTTTCTGAAATCTATTACTCATACCAGAGCCTTGGCTTTTGCTCTGTGCTTTGTATGTATTACCTCAATTCTTAGAAGTCTATGATATAGAAACAATGCACAGAAAGATTAACTGGTTTGCTAAATGCCATACAGCATGTAAGTGTGAAGCTGGAATTTGAATATACTTGATCACACTTCAGAAATTATACTTTGTTTTTTTTTTTTTTTTTTGAGATAGTCTGCTCTGTCACTGAGGCTGGAGTGCAGTGGCATGATCTTGGCTCTCCGAAACCTCCGCCTCCCAGGTTCAAGCGAATCTCCTGCCTTAGCCTCCCGAGTAGCTGGGATTACAGGCACCTGCCACCACGCCTGGCTAATTTTTGTATTTTTAATAAAGATGGGGTTTAACTATGTGGGCTAGGCTGGTCACGAACACCTGACCTCAAGTGATCTGCCCACCTTGGCCTCCCAAAGTGCTGGGATTACAGGTGTGAGCTACTGCACCTGGCCTTGGAAATTACACTCTTATCCACTCCTTGGAATCATCATTGACTTTCTCTTTTAGGGTAGGTTTTGTTTCCTCAATTAACTTTTAATAATTTTAGGAACAGATGATCCAATAAGGATTTATTTAATCTGTAAAATCACTTTATATAGAAGCTGGAGATATATTATTTGGACTTAAGAAAACATCTTTTTACCTACCCTAGAAGACAAAACACAGAAATGTTTTTTACCTGCCTAGGGTCATCACTACGTCTTTGATCTGGAAGATCTTTAAGGGAGAATAATCTGACTTAGAGGCTTATTCAATCACTTGCTATGAGGCAGAGGTTGAAGTAAGAGGGCTCTGAATCCTTTTAGCTGAGTCTGTGGAGTCTGGGAGTTCACTAGGCATCAAAGGAATATACCTCAAAATATTGAGAGCCGTCCATTTATGACAAACTCACAGACAACATCATAGTGAATGGGCAATGTTATGTTGCTCAGGTTGAGTGCAGTGGCTATTCCCAGGCATGATCATGGCTCACTGCAGCCTTGAACTCCTGGGCTCAAGCAATCCTCCTGCCTCAGCCTCTCGAGTAGCTGGGACTACAGGCGTGAACCACTGCACGTGGATTTTAGTCTATGGATTCTGAGTGGCCAAGAGATTTTATCAAACAATAGCCTTGAAAATTGTATGGGTACACACATAAAGTGGATTTGGGGAGGGGCTTTCCTCTCCAAATGTGTACGTATTTATATGTCTCTACAGGGATATGTAAACATGTAGTACAAAGCATAATATTTATTATATGTTTTACCTTGATAAGTGGGGATTACTGAGAGGAATGTGAAGAAAAAACAAAGACAGGGTGAAGACAAGCAAAGGAAAAGAAAAAAAAAAAACTGCCCTGAACCTTCCCTCAGTGATGTATAATACAATCAAATTAATGCATTTAAAGTTACATTATTTAAATGAAATTGAAAACATAAACTTGAAAGAAATAGAAAGAACAATGAAAAGAAAGGCTTTCATTGCCTGTGGGTAAATTCTTTGTAGTTTTTGTGAAAAAGGATTCTGAAGAAGAAAAAACAGAAACTGACTTCAGATTAGTGCTGTTAGGTGACATCATACCCACAGCACACCCCGGGTTCCCCTTATGTCCCTGTGGATGCAGGTACTCTATTGTATCTTGATATGGTTTGGGTGGCTTGCAGGAGCATGTTGGAATAAATGAATGAATGAATGAACGAATGGAAGTATCTTTACCAAGAAGAAGAGCTCATTGAAGCTATTGTGGCCATTTAGTATGGGCACTTACTAATTTTTCTTCCGAAGAATTTAGTAGTTTCATGTGGTCAGTTGCTGTAGATTTTTTGGGAGTTGGACATTGTTACCAACAGGAAAATACAGCATGAAAGTAACACATTTTACCCTTCTTCAAGGAAGGTTGTTCAAGTTGCTCGGCAATGGGGTTGATTTTTCCATGAATAAATCAAGGATGTCACACTCTGAAGAGTTGTTGAGTTTGAACTGCAAGATTTGGGTTTAAACCCAGAATCTATCATTTACTAGTTGTATTTTTTGGACAAGTTATTTGGTTTCTCTGAAACTCGGTTTGTTTCCTTGTCTGTAAAAAGAGGTGATGAGAGTTATTATCTCATAGTATTGTTGTGAATAATAAATGAGATAATGCATGGGGAAGATGCCGGGCACATAGGATGCATGGAATAAATGTGGGTGTTTGCAGTGAGAAGTGATGAATTTCCAGGCTGGAAAGATGGCATGATTCTGGGATTCCATGCTCAATGGTCATCTCAGGGTCCGGCAAGGGAAGATATTCCTGGTGAGAATTAATTGCTTTACCGCTGTCCCTTATATGTAGAGGACGTGTCCCTGTAGCTCCTGTCTGGGGATACTTGCCATATTCATGGAGGCTGGATACTTACTTTGGTTCCTTGGGCAATTTGCAACGTAGACGCTATTTAAGGGACCTTTTGGTATGAGTCAAAAGTGGCATTAAGGGCAAAGTGTGCTGCCCAGATTGAGCCTGTAGGTGGCAGCAAAAACTCAGACTTGGAAAGCCAGCCCACAAAGCTCCAGGTGTATCCTAGAGGGTTCTGCTTTTAGTGGTTTATGGAAAAGACCTGGAAGCTGTAAGCAGCTGTAATTTTAGTGGCGTCAACACACCATTCACAGCTGTAGTCTTTTCTCCAGGGTGAGTAGAGATGTCTCAGATCATTAGAACAAACTTCACAAAAATCACGTATGCACGTTTCTATACGTTAAAAAAAAAATCAGAACCGTCTTCTCGGCAATAGGAAATTAGGCTGTTAGTGAGAGACCGCCCCCAGATGATGACCAATGAAACCATCATTAATGCCATTTATGCTGGAACAAAGGGGTGGACTGGGTTGTTAAGGAAACGTGGCACACCCTCCTCGGGGTAGAAAGAAAATAGGGAGGTATCAAATGATTTCTCATCACCTGCAAACTCATGTGGCTCTCCTACAGCTGATAGCAAAGTCACTGCTTTTGAATTTCATTTTATTTAAATTATTTGGTTTGCCTGTGCTTGGTATCTCTGCCTATCCCTTAAGTTTCAAATTTTCTGTCAAAAGTTTTACATGTGTGTCTTGTAGGAAGCATATAGTTTGGTATTATGTCTTAATCCGTTCTGAGAGTCCTTATCATCTAATACTGGTGTTCAATCCGTTCACATTTCTCCCTGTATCTCATGGATTTGATTTCACATCTTCTTATTACTTTGCATTTTTCTATTTATTATACCTATTGTTGTTCATGCTTTTCTCCTTTTCACATTTCTTCCAGATTAATCAGGACATTAATTTAAAAAACTCTCTGTGTCCTTCTAAAATATAAAGCAATACAAATTTTACTATATATCTTCTATATTTTAACTCATAGGGTTAGAAGTCTCTGTGAATATGTGACTATACTAAAATAGTCACTCTGACTCTCTAAAGATTCATCATCATTCCTATTCCCCACCAACTACGACATTGAGAAGACATTCACTTTCCCCATGGGTCTCCCATTCCTAACCTCTATATTTTATTAATGAAGTTAAGAATTGAGTTATGGATAATTTTTATAACTTTTTTCTTTTTTGAGATGGAGTCTTGCTCTGTCGCCCAGGTTGGAGTGCAGTGGCACGATCTCGGCTCACTGCAGCTTCTACCTCCCGGGTTCAAGTAATTCTCCTGCCTCAGCCTCCAGAGTAGCTGGGATTACAGGCGCACACCACCACACCTGGCTAACTTTTGTATTTTTAGTAGAGATGGGGTTTCACCATGCTGGCCAGGCTGGTCTTGAACTCCTGGCCTCAAGAGATCCACCCACCTCAGCCTCCCAAAGTGTTAGGATTACTGGTGTGAGCCATCACACCTGGTCAATTTTTATAACATTTTTGAAAACACTTTATAATTAGTAAAATACAATAGTACAAAGAATACTGGTAATGCCCTTTACTCAGATTTACCTGTTATTAATATGTTATAACATTTGCTCTATTCATTTGCTTTCTCTCTGTACACACACACACGCACACACACATACACATGTGTGTGATTATTTTCAGAACCATTTGAGGGTAAGGTACGTATATCATGGCTGTTATCCCTAAACACTTCAGTGTGTACTTCCTAAGAAGAGTGACATTCTCTTACATATCCATAGTATAGTTACAGATTTCATAAATTTCTATTAATGTCATATTTTTATCTAATCTATGGCCCATATTCATGTCTTGTTGGTTGACCTAATAATGTCTTTCACAGGACTCCTCACTCCTCTCCAGGGAGGATCCAGGCCAGGGTTAAATATCACATTTAGTTGGCATGTCTCTTTAGCCTCCTTTGACCTGCAACTCCCCACAGCCTTTCTTAGTCTTTTATGACATCAATAGTTTTTAGGCATACATTCCCCTCTGACATTTTAAAAACAGAATGTTGTTTCGTTTGCATTTTTCTGATGATTCTATTGTGATTAGATTCAGGTTACACATTCTCATGAAGGGATTTTGTGTCTTCTTCAGGACATTCTATCTGGAGGCATGCAGCATCCACTGCCCTTCATGAACCATGTTAATTTTGATCCCCTACGCAGGTTGTGTCCCTGATAATTTTAATTGTTTCTGATATTTATCTGATGTGAATGTAGCCATTCTAGCTTTCTTTTAATTAGTATTTGCATAATGTATGCTTTCCATCCTTTCATTACATTTATCACATTTTAAAATATCAATGTCATTGCATTTAAAGTGGATTACTTACAGAAGGCATATAGTTGGGTCTTTTTGTAAAATGCATGTTTATAAATTTCTGTCTTTTAATTAGTTTGTTTAGATCACATCTTAGTCTGCTGGGTTTTTATAACAAAACACCATAAACTAGGTGGCTTATAAACAACATAAATTTATTCTTCAGAGTTCTAGTGGCTGGGAAGTCCAAGATCCAGGTGCTGGCAGATGCAAAGTCTGGTGAGAGCCCACTTTCTGGCTCACATGGTGGGAGGGGCAGGGCAGTTCTCTGGGACCTCTTTTATAAGGGTATTAATCCCATTCATGAGGGCTCTGGTCTTCATGACCTAATCACCTTCCAAAGGCCCCGTCTCCTAATATCATGACTTTGGTGATTGAGGCTCAACATATTAATTTTGGGGAGATGCAAACATTCAGATTATAACCAATTAGTATAATTTAATGTAATTATTTAAATGGTTAAACTTAGGTCTATCATTTTATTATTTGTTTCCTGTTTGCTTTATACGAAAAAAAGAAAAAACAAACCCTGGCAGGGGTGAAGGTTAATAAACACGTAAACCATACATGTGCAGGGGAATTGATCCATTAAGTAAATGCATGGCAGATGGTGGGAGCTAGTTTTCTCACTGTTGCAGTGAGATGTTACAGATAAGCAAGGGGAAAATGCTAGGATGATCCATATGGTAATGGATTAGAGATGCAGACATGACATTAGTATGAATTCATTTTGTTTAATACAGATACAGATGGTTGTAGATGGAAACATTGATAGATATATGTATATATAGGGGTTAGTATACACACATATGTTTCTTTGCTCTATCATCTGAGAAGGCCTGTAAGCAATAACCTGCCAGTGCAATGGGCATATGTTGCGTCCAGATCTTGATTTCGAATCCCATTCTCCAATAAAAGGAACTAGGGCTTCCTGAGAAATGGCTGATTCTAGGGCTTGAGCAGGAAATATACAAGATGAGCCTGGAGGCTGGGTGTGATGGCCCACGCCTGTAACCCCAGCACTTTGGGAGGCCGAGGTGTGTGCATCACCTGAGGTCAGGAGTTCAAGACCAGCCTGGACAACATGGTGAAAACCCATCGCTACTAAAAATACAAACAAACAAACAAACAAAAAAGCTGGGCATGGTGGTGGGCGCTTGTAATCTCAGCCACTTGGGAGGCTGAGGCAGGAGAATTGCTTGAACCTGGGAGGCGGAGGTCGCAGTGACCCGAGATCACGCCACTGCACTTCAGCCTGGGTGACAGAGTGAGAGTCCATCTCAAAAAAAAAAAAAGAAAAATAAAAAAACAAGATGAGAGTGGAGTATCTTGTAGCATCAGAAAGTGAGGAAATGCTCAAAGAACAGCAATAACAGTAACATTAATGAAGATATGTCAAAAGACTGCAGGAGCACTCTCAAAGGTCAACTTGAGCAACAGTTTTTCTTCTCATATTCATTTTTAAATTTTCATTCATTTTTATTGTAGTGCTTAAAAATATTACAAGATTAGAACAAATCTTTTTTCAAGTCAGTCTTGGAGTATACAAAAATATTAGTCATCTCTCTACCTTCTAATACCACATAGCGAAGAATGGATGTTAACAGCTGATGCATCTTTTTACATTTCTTTAAACTTTTATTTTAGATTCAAGGGTATATGTGCAGGTTTGTTACATAGGTAAACTCATGTCATGGGGGTTTGGGGTACAGATTATTTTGTCACCCAGGTACTAAGTATAGTACCCAATGGTTATTTTTCCTGATCCTTTCCCTCTTCCCACCCTTCACCACCAACATGCTTTCATGTCATGACCATGGCGAAAGGTGCACATAGAGAAAGTATCATTCCCTCCCAGGTTCCTCCTATCCATTTCCTGCTCTCCTCCACTCCTTGTAGGAAATCCACTTCTTTGATATCTGGTTTATCTTTCCTGCGTTTCTTTTTATAAAGATAAGTAGAGAAATGTATGTGTTCTTATTTTTCTTTCTTCTTACATGAAGGTAACATAAATATATGTTTGTTTGCAGTTTGATTATTTTTCACTTACAGTAATAATGTCACCAATTCCAGGTCATTAAAATTTTTTCCTTATAAGATATTTATTTTTCTGTTTCAAAAGCATTTATTATCACTCAGAGTTTACAATTATATTATTTGGGATATAACTGTAGGAAAGTGTCAGATAGGAAAATTGTTTCTTTTTTCTCTTTTTTTTTTTTTTTTTTTTTTTTTGAGATAGGGTCTCGCTCTATTGCCAAAGCTGAAGTACAGTGGCATGACCCTGGCTCACTGCAACCTCCACCTCCCAAGCTCAAGCCTCATGCCTCAGCTTCCCAAGTAGCTGGAACTACAGGTGCACACCAACATGTTGGCTAATTTTTGTATTTTTTGTAGAGATGGGGTTTCACCATGTTGGCCAGGCTGGTCTCAAACTCCTGGCCATAAGTGATATGGCTGCCTCAGCCTCCCAAAAAGGAACAATTAACACTTGTGTGATGAGGTAGGACCCACAGGGAGAGTACAGACGCCTAGGTGTGCCACAGCAGAGACTTCACTCCAGAGTGTGATGGAACAGAGTGCGGGAGAGACTGCCAAAATTGGGAAGGAGAGAGTAGTGGAGAGTAGTCAACTTAAGAGGCTCAATGGCCTTCTTGAGAGGCACATGGCCAGCCCGGGAGACTTTGCCAGATGGTGAATGAAGACTCTGACCTCACTCTTCCCTTCCTTGAGACTCCTGATGGGGCTCCTCAGTGTCTGAACCCAGTGGTAGCCAGAGGACACAGGGCCTCATTGAAGAGTCCATGTCTGTCAGTCTCCCAGGCAGGGCGGGGAAGACAGAAGGTGACCTTCACACACTTTTGCAGTATCTAATGAAATTGTACTTTTTACAAGAATATATATTCCATTCCCAGTATTCTGTATTCTTATTTTGCTTCCCTGTCATTAAATCTTAGAATTGAATTAATCTTTACTTTCTTTTTGAGCATTTTGTGATTTTCTTTGTAGTGGTACAACAATGATCAACTTCTGAATTCTTGAAAGTCTAAAAATATCCTTTTTTTTTTTTTTAAATGAGACAGAGTCTTGCTCTGTTGTCCAGGCTGGAATGCAGTGCCATGATCTCAGCTCACTGCAACCTCCAGCTCCTGGATTCAAGCGATCCTCCCACCTCAGCCTCCAAAGTAGTTGAGATTAGAAGCATGTGCCACCATCCCTGGCTAATTTTTGTATTTTTAGTACAGATGGGTTTTCACCATGTAGCCCAGGCTGGTCTTGAACTCCTGACCTCAGGTGATCCACCTGCCTTGGCCTTCGGAAGTGTTGGGATTACAGGTGTCAGCCACTGCACCTGGCCTAAAAATAGTCTTCTTTTGCACTCATATTTGAACATGATGCATCTGTACAGGATTCTCAGCCCATGGGAAATAAGACTATCAATAGAAACTTCCATGTTTCTTTCTATCGAAAGTCTGAAATGAGAAGTTTGGTGCTAGCCTGGATTCTCTTCCTATTCAAGAACTCGTTTTCTCTGTCTAACATTTTGTACAGCTTGAGGGTCCCTAATCCGAGTATGCAAAATCTGAAAGGCTCCAATATCTGAAACTTTTTGAGTACCAACATGACTCCACAAGTAAAAAATTCCACACCTGACCTCATGTACAGAAAGTTTGTTTCAAGTACAAAGTTGTTAAAATAATGTATAAAATTACCTTCAGGCTATGTGTATCAGGTGTATATGAAACGTAAATGAATTTCATGTTTAGACTTGGTACCATCTCCAGGATATCTCATTATGCATATGCAAATATTCCAAAATCGGAAAAGATCAGAGATCTGAAACATTTCTGGTCCAAGCATTTAGGATTAGAGATACTCAATCTGTGTTTTCTCCATCCTCGGGGTTCAGAAATTTCAGTGATGTATGGCCGAGGATATCCAATCTCATTCATTTTGCTTGGGAATTAATGAACACTTTCTAACAGGAAACAAGTCTCTTCAGCTCAGGGAAGTTTTTCCTTCCTTCCTTCCTTCCTTCCTCCCTCCCCCCCTCCCTCCCTCCCTCCCTTCCTTTCTTTCTTTCTTCCTTTTTTTTTTCTTTTGAGATGGAGTTTTGCTCTTGTCACCCAGGCTGGAGTGCAATGGCGTGATCTCGGCTCACTACAACCTCCACCTCCCTGGTTCAAGTGATTCTCCTGCCTC
The DNA here is from genome assembly GCF_000001405.40 of Homo sapiens. Classification (NCBI taxonomy): domain Eukaryota; kingdom Metazoa; phylum Chordata; class Mammalia; order Primates; family Hominidae; genus Homo; species Homo sapiens. The sequence continues at coordinate 4,621,479 of NW_018654717.1, forward strand.
AGCCTCCTGAGTAGCTGGGATTATAGGCACCTGCCACCTTGCCCAGCTAATTTTTGTATTTTTCTTAGAGACGGGGCTTCACCATGTTGCCCAGGCTGGTATTGAACTCCTGACCTCAGGTGATCCACCCACCTTGGCCTCCAAAGTGCTGGGATTACAGGTGTGAGCCACCGCAACTGGCTTTTTTTTTTTTTTTTTTTTTTTGAGATGGAATCTCGCTCTGTCACCCAAGCTGGAGTGCAGTGGCACCATATTGGCTCACTGCAACGTCTGTCTCCCGAGTTCAAGCGATTCTCATGCCTCAGCTTCCTGAGTAGCTGGGATTACAGGTGCCTGCCACCAAACCCATCTAATTTTTGTATTTTTAGTAGAGACGGGGTTTTGTTATACTGGCCAGGCTAGTTTCAAACTCCTGACCTCAGGTGATCCGCCCGCCTCGTCCTCCCAAATTGCTGGGATTACAGGCATGAACCACCACACCCGGCCTCAGGGAAGTTTTCTTATGTATACATATGTGAACATTACCATTTCCTCATCAAGTGCTTTTTGTCCCTCTGAAACTGCTATTATTCGCAAAGTTAAACTCCAGGCTAGGCTCTCCATTCTTATCTCTTCTTTCATATTTTCTGTTTGCTTGTATTTTATTTGGTGTTCTCAGCTCTTTCTTCCATTTCTCCTCCCCAAATCACAGTTCATTTATCAATATTTTTCGTGTCCTTTCCATTAAGTGTATAAATCTGTAAATCATACTTTGAATTTCTGAACATCTTATTTTTGCTCCCATTACATCTCCTAAGTGTTCTCTAATGTTTTTTTTATCAACTTTCTCTCCTGTCTTATCAGTGAGTTCTGCCTCAGTAGAAACCACCTGTCTACCCTGGCCAGGCATCCTACCTGTGAGGCAGGTACTTCTTCAGTGTCTGCCTGTTCGTGAAGGTGGGCTCCCTCAGTCACCACAAAAGTCAGGATTTTGAAGAACAATGGCAAACGCTGGACTGGCAGGAAATGATGAATGAGATGGCAGATTGGTTTTATGGTGGACGAGAGGAGGCCTTATTATTTTGAGGGTGAAGAGAGGTGCAAGTTATGGGGCAAAGCTCAAGGGAGAGAAGAAAAGGCACTTACAACCATAGAGCCTTGGAACAAGTCATTTCTCAGCTGTCGCTCAGCCCAGGTTCTTCAGTCTCCCAAAAGATCACGTTCAGCAAACATGCAGAGTACCAAAAAAGGGACCCAGTAGAGTCTCTCAGTTGGACTTCAGCATTTGCAGCCTGTACCTTGGAGGTTCCCTGCTGGGGGGCAAAACCCATCTCATTAGCCTAGGCTTTCTGCTTTCCACATAGCATGTCAAGCTGTGAGTCTCTGCACCTGTCCATCCTCTGGAGAATTCAGTCCTCAGGTGCACTCAAGAATCCCTTTGGAGATCTGTGCTGCGCAAAGAGGGGACACGGGTCAATGGCATTAGCCTTACGTTGGAGTTTGTTAGAAATGCAGAAACTCATGCCTCACCCCAGATCTATTCAAAGGAATGTACATAGTAACAAGATCCCCAGATCATTTGTGTGCACCTTAAAGCATAACAAATGCATGCCCTTGGCCACTGCCCGCAGCCACGGGCACCTGCTGGCATGTCACCCTTATCTCAATTGTTGGGTAGTGCTTGCAAAAAGGTGGGAGGATGAAAGGTCAGGAAATTGCATGCTTAACCTGGCATTTTCTCTGAATCCCTTCCATGTAGATTTTCAAGCATGTTTTTAGACGTTTGTAACAATATGGTTTGGGATGTACAGAATACTGACGTTTGAAAATATCTGAGATGACTGGGTGTGGTGGCTCACGCCTGTAATCCCAGCACTTTGGGAGGCTGAGGTCAGGAGCTAGAGACCAGCCTGGCCAACATGGCAAAACCCTGTCTTTACTAAAAATGCAAAAATTAGCCAAGCATGGTGGTGGGTGCCTGTAATCCCAGCTACTCAGGAGGCTGAGGTAGAAGAATCCTTTGAATTTGGGAGGTGGAAGTTGCAGTGAGCCAGGATTGCACCACTGCACTCCAGCCTGGGTGACAGAACAAGACTCTGTCTCAAAACAAAACAAACAACAACAAAAACTAAGAGAGGGCCAATCTCTACCTTCTGATTTTACATAAGAATCCCAGAGGGTCTAAGAAACTTAACAAAAATCATACAGCTAACAAGGAGCAGAGCAAGAAATAGAATTCCAGTCTCTTAATTTCTTGGCTGCTGCTTTCTTTTCCCATTTATTGCCTAGATCTTATTGGGGAATAATTTCTGTTGTTCCATAAACAAATGAACATTAATCTTCAAATATTAGCAGGACAAACCTAAATAAGAAGCAAATTGGTAAAAACAAAAACAGCAACAATCACAAAAAAAAAGAAAAGAGAGAAAGAAGAGAGAGAATCTGTTAAATAAAGTAGCAAGCTACACTTTTTAAATTTAACTTTTATTTTCAGGTCGGGGTAGATGTGCAGGTTTGCTATATAGGTGAACTCACGTCATGGGAGTTTGTTGTACAGATTATTTCATCACCCAGGTATTAAGCCTAGTTCCCATTAGTTATTTTTCCTGATCCTCTCCCTCCTCCCACCCTCCACCCTCAACCAGGCTCCAGTGTTTGTTGTTCCCCTACTTAAGTCCATGTGTTCTCATCATTTGGCCCCCACTTATAAGTGAGAACATGCGGTATTTGGTTTTCTGTTTCTGCAAAAGATAAAGGCAGTTTCTGTTAATTTGAAAAGGATAATGGCCTCTAGCTCCATCCATGTTCCTGCAAAGGACATGATCTCATTCTTTTTAATGGCTGCATAGTATTCCATGCTTTACATGTATAAAACAGATGGACTCTTTCAAAGTGACTCAGTTTGCCATATTGCCAAACAAATAGCTGAGAAAATTCACACAGATTTGACTTACTTCATAAACAATCCTCTGTGGCATGTTTCTTTTTTCTTTCAAATTGCTGCTTAAATTTCATCTTGTTCGTGAAATCTTTTCAGGCTAGTATCTCCTGGCACATCATCATTCAACATTCATTCTCTTTAGTTGTTTGATGCACACACCCACACAGCTCTCTGCTATCCAGAATGAAAGAGTATAAAGTATTGGTGAATTGACTCATAGATGGAGATTAATATACTGAACATACATAAATCAGCAAATTTCACAGGTAGAAAACAAAATATAACACTAAATAAAAACATTTGTGTAGCAATTTGCCTCATCTATTTTGTTATTTTATTTTTGTTTGCTATTTGCTTTTTTTTTGTTTTTGTTTTTGATGGAGTTTTGTTCTTGTTGCCCAGGCTGGAGTGCAATGGCATGATCTCGGCTCATCACAACCTCTGCCTCCTGGGTTCAAGCAATTCTCCTGCCTCAGGCTCCTGAGTAGCTAGGATTACAGGCATGTGCCACCACACCCAGCTAATTTTGTATTTTTAGTAGAGAAGGGATTTCTCCATGTTGGTCAGGCTGGTCTCAAACTCCTAACCTCAGGTGATCTGCCTGCCTTGGTGTCTCAAAGTGCTGGGATTACAGGCATGAGCCACTGTGCCCGGCCCTGCTATTTGCTTTTTATTTTATTCATACATAATATATGTACTTATTTTCAGGGTACATGTGATATTTTGATACATTCATATAGTGTGAAAGATCAAATCAGGGTAATTGGGTTATCCATCATCTTAAGTGCTTATCTTTTTTTATGCTAGGAACATTTGAATTACTGTCTTCTAGCTGTTTTGAAATATACACTAGATTAGTGTTAACTATAGTCCCCTGCCGATCTATTAAACACCAGCTCTTATTACTTCTATCTAACTGTATTAATGTATCCACTAATCAACCTCTTTTCATGCCCCCTCCTCTTCCTGGCCTCTGGAAACCACTAGTCTACTCTTTATCTTCATGGGATCTGCCTTTTTAGCTCCCATAGATGAATGAGAACACGCAACATTTGTTAAATGTTCATTTATATGGTTTCAGAGGTTCATATGTTTCCTTAGCTAAATTCCAAGCTGTACATGTATAGGGTGGGATTTCATGAGGCCAGGCAAAGAATGACTACTGAAGAGTTATAAGATAAACAACTCATGGATCTTAACAGGTTTCAGAGACGTTTGAGTTCTGAGCCATTACTGAACACCTGGGATATTTTGTAGGTTCCCGGAAGCCTACTGGCTCTAGAATAAAGGCTTAAGAATTATTAAGGCCTGGGCCCATTGGTGTATGCCTGTAGTCTCAGCTGTTTGAGAGGCTGAGGCCGGAGGACAGCATGAGCCCTATAGTTCTAGGCTATGGTGAGCTATGATCATGCATTGCAACTAATCATTAGAAAATTACCACTTCTTGGATTTTGGTGTTAGTATCTACATAAATTTCCTAGGGCCGACATAACACACTATCACAAATTGGATGGCTTGGCAGAACAGAAGTGTATTGGCTTACAGTTCTGGAGGTTAGACGTTTGAAATCCAGGTGTCAATGGGTCTGGACTCTCTGGGAAGCCTCTAGGGAAGGATGTTCCTTTTGCCACCACAGCTCCTGGTAGCCCCACACCTTCTTTGGCTTATGGATAATCCTGCCCTCGACCTCCCTCCATCTTTCCATGGCCTTCTCTCTATGTCTCCTCACATTGGTTTCCTTCACAGATAGGTATGTGTCTGTGTCCAAATTTCCCCTTTTCTTTCTTTTTCTGAGATGGAGTTTCACTCTTATTGGCCAGGCTGGAGTGCAATGGCTCGATCTTGGCTCACCACAACCTCCGCCTCCTGGGTTCAAGTTCCTCTGCTGCCTGAGCCTCCCAAGTACCTGGGATTACAGGCATGCACAAGCACGCCCAGCTAAGTTTTGTACTTTTAGTAGAGATGGGGTTTCTCCATGTCGGCCAGGCTGGTCTCAAAATCCCAACCTCAGGTGATCCACCCGCCTCGGCCTCCCAAAGTGCTAGGATTATAGCCATAAGCCAACATGCCCGGCCCAAATTTCCCCTTTTCATAAGGACATTGGACATCTTGGATTAGGCCACATTCTATGAATTTGGTTAAATTTGCAAAGACCCTATTTCCAAATAAGGTCATGTATTGAGGTACTGGGAGTTAGGATTTCAACATATCCTTTTTAGGGGACATAAATGAACCCATAACAGCACCAAAGAAGAATATCAGCAATTATCTGAAAGGGCTATTGAAATACTTTTTCCACGGCCAACTGCATATCTGTGTAAGGCCAGATTTTCTTTGTATACTGGAACCAAAACAACACACTAATAGATGGAATGCAAACGCACAGGAGAGTGCAGCTGTCTTCTATTAATGTCATTAAAGAGGCTTTCAGAATGTAAAACAATACTACTGTTGTCATTAGTTTTTTATTTTGGAAAATGTGATTATTCATAAAAATGTGTTATATATGTTAACATGTAATCAGTTTATTATTGCTATTTTAATTGAATTAATAAATAAATATTCTTTACCATTCTTAGCTTTAATTTAGGATACAGTAAGTATTGATAGATTTAGGTAGATATTCATAAACAAAAGTTCTTGGTGGAGGGGGATCCTAAAAATTTTTTTTGTTTGTTTTTTTTTGTTTTTTTTTAGAGACAGTCTATGTTGCTGAGGCTGGAGTGCAGTGACTATTCCCAGGCATGATCATAGCTCACTACAGCCTAGAACTACAGGGCTCAAGCCATCTTCCTGCCTCAGCCTTTCAAGTAGCTGTGACTACAGGTGAACACTTTAGAGCCAGAAGCCTTTTGGGCCCCTGTGAAATATCTCAGGTGTTCAATAACTGCTTAGAACTTAGATGTCTGAAACCTGTCAAAATCTATGAATTGTTGATAACTCTTCGGTAGTCATTCTTTCCCTGGTCTCGTGAAATCTCACCCTATACATGCACACCTTGGGATTTAGCCAAAGATACAAACAAACTCCTGTAAAGATTTTGTAAACTCTTTTATGTAGCTCTTTTTTTTCTTTTCTTTTCTTTTCTTTTTTTTGAGACGGAGTTTTGCTCTTGTTGCCCATGCTAGAGTGCAATGGTGTGATCTCTGCTCACCGCAAACTCTGTCTCCTGGGTTCAAGCGATTCTCCTGCCTCAGCCTCCCAAGTAGCTGGGATTACAGGCATGTGCCACCACACTGGGCTAATTTTGTATTTTTAGTAGAGACGGGGTTTCTCCATGTTGGCCAGGCTGGTCTTGAACTCCTAACCTGAGGTGATCCGCCTGCCTCAGCCTCCCAAAGTGCTGGGATTACAGGCATGAGCCACCGCGCCCAGCCAGCTCTCTTCTCTTTAGTGCTCTGCCTCTCAAGTTCCAGCTGCTTCAGGCTGCCCAAATTCTGATCTCTGTCTCCTTAATTATATGAGACTACTGTGTTCCTCCTCTATTGCCAGGTTTGGCAAATGCCTCCAGATGGAAACTCATGGTGATTGTTTTCTTTCTTTGGGGGATTAATCTCCCTGAAAACAATTTTTTCATGGGAAGTTGACCAGTTTTCTAGGTGTTTATTTAGAGGGAGAGGGTTGGTTCCCTGCCAGTTCCTCTGTCATACCCGTGACCCTATGCCTTTTATAACAACAGCTCTTAATTCATCTTTTTTTTTTTAAGTTCTGGGGAACATGTGCAGAACATGCAGGTTTATTACATACGTATACATGTGTCATGGTCATTTGCTGCACCTATCAATCCGTCATCTAGGTTTTAAGCCCTGCATGCATTAAGTATTTGCCCTAATACTCTCTCTCCCCATTCCCCTTCACCCCCAACAGGCCCCGGTGGGTGATGTTCCCCTCCCTGTGTCCATGTGTTCTCATTGTTCAACTGCCACTTATGAGTTAGAACATCTTAATTCATCTTTTAAACATTTTGAATTTCTTTTCGTAACTACTTTCAGATTACCCAGAGCTCCTAGGGAAACTGAGCCCGCACCTCGCGCGCCTCTCTGCTACTCCCAGCGAGCGCAGCTGCAGCCCGGAGACGCCGGTATCCAGCGCCAGGTCTTCCACGCCCGACCCCTCCCGGGTCTGGGGCGCTGGACACCCGTCCTCCTCCTTTCGCCGGGATTGGCCACGCTGGTAGCGTCGCGGTGTCCAGGTCAGGTGAGTGGGTCGGGCTGCCAAGGGCGCCCAGAGAGAGGACTGCTCTGCAGGGCGCAGGCGTCGCGTGTCGCCGAGGGGCGCGGCAGGGGCCGGCGGCTGGGGCTCCCTCGCGGGGTGTGTCCTGTCCCATGCTGCAGCGTCGGGTTGTCCAGGATCTAGCAGGGCGTGGCTGGGCCTTCTGCAGGGGCCGCCGTCCATGCCCCGGGCTCGGACCACCTGCTTCTCGGCCCTTTACAGACCTCCCAGTGGCTGGGAGGGGAGGTGGGCTCAGCGGACAAATTCAGTGTCTTTCCGTTTTTGCACCCTCAAACAGGTGGGAGAAGAGGTCCGCTCCAAACCTGAGAGCGGGCCGCACCCTCCCACCTGGGCTCTTCCTTCTAACGTCGGGGCCGAGTGGGATTCGCTTTCGCCTAGATCTCGGTGGGTCGGGCCCCGCGCCCCGGGTTTTACAGGCAGCAGGTTTAGCCTCCTGGAGACGCCGGACCTCGCAGACAGGTGCCCAACTCCAGAAACAGCCCAGAGGAAAGGGTGTTGGGGGCTTGAGGTGCATTTAGGAAGACACTTTCTGGAGGCACTTATTGACACCGTTCAGGTGTAGGCAGACCCCAAAGCAGGGGTGAGATGAGTGCCGGTTCCAGGGTGACCCAGACACGCACAGTTCCCGAAGGGTGAAGGCGGTGCCTGGAGATATAGCCCGGCGCCCAGCACTTGTTAAACCACCTGGCCAGGCAGGTGCTCCTGGTTAGCCCCCTATGATTGGAAAGTCGATTTTAAGCCATTTTAACTTATGCAGACTCTTTCTTGGTCAAGATACTGTGAACCAGTTTGGAGGGGGCGCCACTTAGCATCTGAGTTGCATCTCTTTCAGGAAGGATTCTAACCCTCCGATTTTGCTTCAGAATTTTTGCCAAACCGGGTCCAGCCTCTCTGTTGAAGCTGATCTGCCCACACCAGTTCTGAAACAGGAGTCAATGTTACTTACCTTTCTTGCTTCTACCAAGCAGTGATTTCTAACACCTTCTAGTGTGAAGACACCTTTATGATGTCTGTTTTAGAACGGCACGTAGTCATTGTACTTGGTATAGTGACAGACTATGAGAAAGCTACCAGGAATTTAATATGAAAATAAATACATTCATAAATAAATTGCTTATGTATTCACAGCAAGCATTTCCTTAAATTTGGAAAGTAAGGTTTGAGACTCATCTGCAGATAATGTGTAGAATCCACATGCACTTTTGGTCCCTGGACCAAGAATCATCATTGTTCAAGTTGTCACTCACCTGATGTGAGTCTTTGAGGGCTGACTGCAACCTTGTGATCCTTCTGGGAGAATCTGTGGGAAGAGGGAGCAAAAGAGTTACTAGTTTATGAGCATTTATGTGGTGGGTATTGTGCCGAGCGGTTTTGTGCTCACTTAATTCCTGAACCTTCGTAGCGTCACTTATTTACTACCCGCATTTTATGAACAAGAAAACTGAAGTCCAGAGAGAGGAAGGAACTCTCCCAAGGTCGCGCTTCTAGTAAGTGATCCAACTGAAACTTCAACCCAAGTAGCCTGTTGACTGAGCCTGAGCTCCCATGTTAGTTACTGACATCGACTACTCTCAGTTTAATAGTTTTCTTCAAGTCATGTGAGGTACAGATAGAATGTGAGTAGACAGCAAAGTTGTTAGCTATCCATTAAAAACTAATATTGCCTCAGTATTTTATTTTTAATGGTTTTTATAAGCCAGACTTTTAAAATCAAATGACTATCTATACTAAGTACAACTTAGTAAGAACTAAGTACTGGTTTTTTATAAGCCAGACTTTTAAAATCAAATGAGTAACTATACTAAGTACAACTTAGTAAGTAGTAAGTACTAAGTACTTAGTGGTACTACACTAAGTACCACTAAGTATTTAGTACAAGTACAACTAACTACAACTAAGACATGATCCCTTTACCAAGATACTTGAACATTGGTGTTCAATGATCTGTTTGAATTTCTGCTTTCAATTCTCTAGATATAAACCAGAAGTGGAACTGCTAAGTCATATGGTAATTCTGTGTTTAACTTTTTGAGGAACCGCCAAACTGTTTTCTGTAGTGCTTGTACCATTGACAGTCTCACCAGCAGTAATTAAGTGTTTCAGTGTCTCCACATCCTCACCAATGCCTGTTATCATCCTCTTTTGTGGGAACTGCTGGTCAACTGTAGCCTAATGAGAAAACATTAAATTTAGCATATTTCTCTTATGGAATTGAAGGGTTTCTGTCATGGAAAAAAATAGATGTTTGTTACTTCATGGCCATGTCTGAGGTACACACCTTGGCATCAGAACAGATTCTGAAATTAGAACCCACTGTATGTTTATCCTTTCGTGTTTCTGCTAGCTGAGCTTCTCCAAGTCTTCAAGTCTCATTTCTCCTCTTTATAAAATGGGATTCTTGTGCCAGAATGGTTGAAATAAATCTCATATATCTTCACCATTCATTAATAATGTGTAAAGGTTATGGCTGCTATTGTAGCACTTGTCCATAAAAATACAGGATGGTATTTTAGGTTAAAATGTGATTAGGAGGTTAAAGGATTTATTGTCTTGATGCTTTGGCCTGTTCGGTAGATCAGTCTTGCCACCCTGAGCCTTAATATCAGTTACCCTTAATCAATAGTTCCCTCTGTCTACATGGGCTCTACCTGCAGCCTTACCTATTTAGGTGGAAAGGTGTATTAGTCTGTTCTCACGCTGCTAATAAAGACATACCCAAGACTGGGTAATTTGTAAAGTAAAAGAGGTTTAATGGACTCACAGTTCCACATGGCCGGGGAGGCCTCACAATCACGGCAGAAGGCAAATGAGCAAAGTCACATTTTACATGGTGGCAGGCAAGAGAGCATGTGCAGGGGAAATCCCCTTTTTAAAACCAACAGATCTCATGTCTTATTCACTATCTCCAGAACAGCACGGGAAAGACCTGCCCCCATGATTCAGTTACCTCCCACAGGGTCCCTCTCATGACACATGGGAATTATGGGAGCTACAATTCAAGATGAGATTTGGGTGGGAACACAGCCAAACCATATCAGAAGGATACAAGAGAAAAGGCCCTGGTTTAATAACATGAGAGTTACAGTCAATGATGATTTTATATTGAGAATTCATCAATAAGTTTTTGTCATATTATGAATAATTATTAAGCCTATTTTGGATAAAACAACTTATTTATTCATTCTTTATTAGGAGTCTGAAGTCAGTTTCTGGTCCTGACCCTGGAGAGGTCTGGGTTTTGTATTATACATACGCCCAGGCTCCTGCGGCATCTTTCCGCAGGCATCCTGCAGCATTCCGGGCCCACTGCAGGACTTGACTGGCCACTGAACTTGACTTGTAGCCATACATTGATTATTCTCCTGGGATGGGAAGGCATCATTCTATTCTAGAACCCCATGGTTTTGGAGAAATGATGTTTTTCTGGCAATGCCCCAAGGAACCACACTTCTTTCTGCCAAACAAACAACAAACACCAAAATAAATCATTCCTGGTCCTGTGACTCATATTCTAAAGGGTCCCTGCCGTCGAGCTTTGAGAAATGATAATACTTGATCTAAATGTCACCAGTTATACCTGGGAAGCTTAAGTTGTTTCCATCACCTTGGACAGGTTGTCCCATGACACCAGTAGTGAAGTCCAGGCAGTAACATTTGTCATTCTGAGTTACACTCTGGCCAGCTTGACATGTGGCATCCCAATAAATGTTGCTAAAGTAACATAAATCAATATTCTGTACCAGTCAAACGTCTGGGGTTCCTATACTGATGTGTCTGTTAAATTATATTCATGTGAGTGGGAACTCTATAGAGAAAGAGACTGTCTATTCTGGCCCCTGGCTCAGTGACTTCCACATAGTACATATTCAGTGAGCATCTGGGAAGTGGCTCCGGAGAACAAAAATACTGAAAAGATTGTTCCTGGGTCCTCTCTAACTTAGGGATCTCTGTCATCACATGTAGACGAGTGCTCTCTGGCATGTGGTCCTAGCAACCGACTATGTCATGATACCCCAGGCTGTTACTCCTGTGGCTGTATTCAAGGTCACCAGCTCTACGATGGCAACAACTGTCCAGTTACAAGTAAGTTTCAATACTGGAGGCAAAGCCTGGCTCCTGCTCTATTCTTAGCAGTAATAGATAAAAGTGATATAGATGATTCATGTGAAAGTCTAGTATAGAAACGACTTTATTTTTTCCATAAGGAAGCTGCTATTGTAACATTCCTTGTTCTGTTTGAGGGTCAGTTGCTATTAAATGTCTTTAAAATAACGTCATCTATAAACTATAGAACTAGGTGCTCCAGAGACCCAGTCAATATAATCTCACCTTCTCCTGTGTTTCTTTACCACTGGGACACTTAATTACATTCAGCTACTGTGTATGAAGCATGGATAGGACTTCTGTTGAGGTGAGAGAGGAGCTGACTCTGAAACCAAGTAAGGCAGTAAAGTTCCGACGATGAGTTATAGTGTGTTGAGGTTCAGAGGAAGGAGGGGGAACTAAGGAGATCAACTAGCTTTCTTCTGCACACACAGTCCAGACTTCAGGGATAGGTAGATTTTGAGATAGGAGATGGGAAAACACCTTTAGTTAAAGGAAAAAGTGTGAAGTAAAGCTTCAAAGTAATGTGTCACTACTTCTAGTACAGCTGATAATGTTAAAATTCTTATAGCAGCAGATTGAAAGCTTGATGTCTTGGATCAACAAACAGGCACCTGTGAGATTCTCATATCTTTAAATTCAAGGCCAAGGTTGATTGCATATGATCTTGAGAGAAGCATGTGTATACTTCTAGGTGGATGAAGTCTTAAATGTGTTTGTCCTTGGGAAGTTGAACTCTATTCTCCTCTATCCAAGTATGTTTCTTGGTAGGAAGAGCCTTACCTTCTTCAAGCCACATAACCATAGTCTAAGAAGCATATGTATTTATCCGGACGATCTTCTTCTGTGACTCACCTGTCCTGAAGCATAAATGTATATATAATTTTGATTTGAGACTTCTATAATAACTATTGTCTAAAACTGAGGTCACATTCTCTTGGATTCCTCGGTTATGTTTCTGTTAAGGTCCTCCTCCTTCCTAATGGCCCTCTGTATGTTGGAAACACCTTAGCACATCTCTGGCCATTATTCCTTTTGTCCTATTTCCCTCACTGTAGTATGTGAAATTAGAAAATGCAGAAAAGTTGTGCTGTCTGTTATCCAGGCCTGTTTATAGATGGCAGGGTTTCTGACAAGCCATCAGCATATAGTTTTCAGCTCATCTTTACATTGAGTGTGCCAGTGTCAGTGTTGTTTTTTCTTGAGCATGTTATTCATATTGAAAATTGATGCTAGAAAATACAGACGAAATTTCTAGTGAAAAATGGGAGGCTTCCAAAATTCTGTTTCAGAACTAGAGTGCATGCCTTTAAGAACCAGTGTAGCATTGCTCAAGGAACATTCTGTGACCCTGAGCTTTCAACCTTGAATCTGTGCAGTGCCAAGGCTAAATTTATAACTCCAGAGGAAGGTGCATGTTCTCTGCAAGTGGCAGAGCCCAACAAAGGGGTCAAACCAAATATGGCCAGCCTCATCTTAACAATTTCCAATAATTTCTAAGTCACTTCTCCTTTCCTGGGTAGGAGTAACTTCATGGATGTGGGAGTATACAGAAATGTAATTTTATGGAAGTTCCTCCATATGCAAGTGCGAGGAAATAGTAAAGAAATTCTCCCACTCTAACACCCAGTATGTAGGAAGAATTTTACAGCATGTCAAGCCCTGGGGGTATCAGCGTCCTCATTCTGCTACTCCAGCCCCACCTTCATGCTTTGCCTGTTTGTCAACATCCCTGGTAGTTAATATTTGAGTTCTTACTATAATACCTATTGATGTGCTGGGAAATGTTTAACAATCAGCTCTCTGGGAAAAAAATATGTGCACATATATACCTACATCTGTTTATAATTAAGTGTACTGTATAAAGGATATGTAACACAATGTACAAATAAGAAAATACACAATATTCTTTTCTTTGCTTTTTGTTTTGTTTTGTTTTGTTTTCTTTCTTTCTTTTTTCTTTTTTTTTTTTTTTTTGAGATGGAGTTTCACTCGTGTCGCCCAGGCTGGAGTGCAATGGCGCAATCTCAACTCACTGCAACCTCCACCTCCCAAATTCAAGCGATTCTCCTGCCTCAGTCTCCTGAGTAGCTGGGATTACAGACACACGCCACCATGCCCAGCTAATTTTTGTATTTTTGTAGAGATGGGGTTTCACCATGTTGGGCAGGCTGGTCTCGAACTCCTGGCCTCAGGTGATCTGCCGGCCTTGGCCTCCCAAAGTGCTGGGATTATGGGCATGAGCCACCATGCCTGGCCTGTTTTGTTTTCTTTTTGAGACAGGGTCTGAGTCTGTTGCCCAGGCTAGAGTGCAGTGGCACAATCATAGCTCACTGCAGCCTTGACCTCCTGGGCTCAAGCAATCCTCCCACCTTAGCCTCCCGAGTAGCTGGGACCACAGGCATAGGCAACCATGCCTGGCTAATTTTTTAATTTTTTGTGGAGATGAGGCCTCACTGTATTGCCCAGTCTGACCTCCACATCCTAAGCTCAAGCAATCGTCCTGCCTCAACCTCCCAAAGTACTGGGTTTACAGGTGTGAGCCACTACACCTGGCCATGATATTTGTTATTACAAATTTCATATAGCTAACTGATTTTCACAGACTGCTTTTTTATCTGGAATTCTTAGATCAGAAGCCAATCTATGGTTACAATTCAAGATTTAACAAAAGCGATGAATAAGTGCTTGATTACTATCTGAGTAGGCAAAGAAGTCAGTGCGTGAGTGTTCTTGACATGAATGTTTTTTGATGATTTTATTTCCATAAACAAGTGAGATGAAAGTGAAGCAATGAAGACTTGTGGGAATTAGTCCATCAGTGACATAAATGACTTCTTTGCTGAACTGGATAATAGATTTCAAATACTATGGCAATATTTCCTCAATTTTTTATGGTATTTAAAATTTAATGGTTATAGACACAATACACATATATTTAGTCTGCCTCATTAATACTTCACCACTTCCTTTAAGTCTAGACTAGGGATTGGCCAACTTTTTCTCCAAAAGGTCAGATAGTAAATATTTTAGGCTTGGTGGATTCTCTGCCATTGTCTCACAGAATTAGCCATTGATAACATGTGAGTGAATGGCCATAGCTTTACTCTGCTAAAACTTTACAAAAACAGGCATTAGGCTGAGTTTGGCTCAAGGGCCATTGTTTGCCATTTCCTGGTCTAGAAATCAAAATGAAAAAAAAAAAAAAATGAAATCCCCGTTTGTAGTGTTTGCCAATTATCAGGGTGTAAATACTCCCACGATGCCAGATTTCAAGCTCCCAATGTAACATTAAACATACAATTGGGAAGGAATGTGCAGTAGCAAACCTTGACATGGCATTTCCACCATATGCACACAAAAGACACAATTAAATGGGACCCATGCTTTCTCCCATCATAGGTGACTTGTTCAGTATTAGTTAATAAGAACTTGACTCTTAGGGTTGCAAAGTCTGAGTCTTCTCTTTTTTTCTTTTTTTTGAGACAGAGTCTCACTCTATCGCCCATGCTGGAGTGCAGTGGCGTGATCTCGGCTCACTGCAACCTCCGCTTCCTGGGTTCAAGTGATTCTCCTGCCTCAGCCTCCTGAGTAGCTGGGACTATAGGCACCCACCACCATGCCCAGCTAATTTTTGTATTTTTAGTAGAGACGGGGTTTCACCATGTTGGCCAGGATGGTCTCAATCTCTTGACTTTGTGATCTGCCCACCTCGGCCTCCCAAAATGTTGAGATTACAGGCGTGAGCCACTGCGCCCAGGTAGTCTGAGTCTTCTAAGAAATAGAAATAAAACACACTCTTTAAACAAATCCTGGAGCAACGGGATTAGAGGAGCCTACGAGTCCTACCTGGTGACTATGGACAAAGCCGCTCTTGTGCTGTGGAACAAGAGGACGCAGCAGCCTTCTCGGTGTTGAAAGAGCCATATATAAAGAAAATGATCATCTTGGCAGACAACCAGGAGGTGGCCAGCTAGCCTTCCTCTGTGGGGTTATTCTTTGAGATCCACTTTACCTGTCTCTTTTCAGTGTGTTTTTCTAGGATAAAATCCTGGGCATCTTTATGTTTGCACTGGCAGTGGTCCCAACCCACAATTCTTCAGGCCTTCTCTCTAAGTTGTCTATGTTCTGGAAATTTCCCAAAGGCTAAAGTTAGTAGGCTGGGAAGGAAAAAACTCCTTGCCCAAATTCACTGTGAGTTGATGATAGGCTAACGTACCACACTTAACCTAAGGATCCAGGCTTTGGGTCAGTTGCACATTTTCTTCCTGTGAGATAGAAAAATGTATGTACGCAGCCATGACGTGATTTTCTGAAGGAGGGGGACAGTAGGGGCACGTGCCCATTGCTGGAACCTACTGGACTGACTTGCTGAAGCAGCTGTTTGCTTTGGATCCCGGGGTTGAAGGAGCAGCCCCAACCACCGCTCCTGCTCCTCCCGCTCCTCCTCCGTCACATGTGCTTTGCATCCATCCTCTGTTCCCTGTGGGAACGGGGAGGAACGTGTTTCTTGGGAGCACCTCCATGATGGCACATGCACCTGTCAGGATGGCTCAGATAAAGAGTGATCCTCCCAGTCCTGCCACAGGCCAGGTCTGCCACCGTCTTCTCTTCTCAGGCTTCTGTCCAGGCACATTGACTCAGCTTTGAGTGCATGGTATGAATTTCCTGAGTGTTTACTATGATCATACTAACTGTCCCTAGACAAATTAATGTGGATGAAAGCCATCGCATGTCAGAATACTGAATCTGTGCGTGTTTGTTTTATCACAATTAAGTGTTTTACCAGGTATAACTTGAGGGGCAAAGAGAACTCACAATGCGGCCCTGAATGAGTCGGAGTTCCCCTCAGTTTTTCTTAAGCCATCCAACATCTGAACTCCTAGGCTTCTAAAACCATCCTTATCCATGAAGAAAGAATCTCCAGTCATTCAGTATCTAGTTGAGTAAAAGGAATTAAATTGAAGAGCAATCTAATTTGGGGAAAACATTTGGGTCCCGTAACTCTGATAATGTATTTGCAAGAAGTTTGCAGAAGACCTTTAAGAAACCTAATAACTCAGTATGCTTTTCAGGGAGGTGGTGGGAATATTCCACAGGTAGTAACAGGTGCTCAAAAGACCATGGAGGATGTGGCCATATTTGTATCCCAGACCCTGAAGGACAGATTCTTAGATGTCCCAGGGAGTCCTACGAGGCTGATGCAAACACATGCACTGGAGCCGTTGTCTGCTTGGCACCGTCACATCCTGTAAGGATGCTCAGACATGCATTTCCATGGGGCAAGTTTATGATGGTCCTGCTGACTGTGTGGATGCATCTGGTAACATGGGCTGGAGTAATTTATTCATCACCACGCATGACTTATTTTTATTAATATCTAATTCTGCAATATTCCTCAAGTTTTCATCCTATAAATTATTACCTTGTTAATACTGTGGGTTCTTTAAACTGAACAAGATGAAATATCTAACTATCGGCAACAGATATAGACTATGAGGACTCCAGAAAATTCATGTGCTCTCTGATTCTATTAAATTAAATTAATTAATTAATTTGTTGAGACAGAGGAGTCTCACTCTTTGGCCCAGGCTGGAGTGCAGTGGTGCAGTCTTTGCTCACCACAACCTCCACCTCCTGAGTTCAAGTGATTCTCCTGCCTCAGCCTCCAGAGCAGCTGGGATTACAGGCATGTGCCATCACACCCGGCTAATTTTTGTATTTTCAGTAGTGACGGGGTTTCACCATGTTGGCCAGGCTGGTCTTGAACTCCTGACCTCAAAAGTGATCTGCCTGCCTTGGCTTCCCAAAGTTCTGGGATTACAGGCATAAGCCACTGTGCCTGGCCTTGATTCTATTTTAGAACAGACAATAGGATAGTGAGCTCCAAAGGGCTAGACTATTTGTATGTTGTCTCAGAGAACATGCTCTTGATGTAGATTTGATTCAGTCAATTTAAATAGATCACATTGTGACGATAGCCAGGGGTGAAGGAGGTTGGACAAACTATTTGACCCGCCTTGGTGTTCCTCCTTTTAAAAGTGGAAACAGCACTTTCTGCCTTGTAGGGTTGTTAAGGAACACAAAGAATGTGGAGAAAGCTGTCCTGTTACAACTTGATACTGTCATGTTCATACTCGAATACTAGCTGCAGATGGTTACAGAAATATCCTGCCAAGGCGAATCTCTTGAACCAGGGAGTCGGAGGTTTCAGTGAGCTGAGATTGCGTCACTGCACTCCAGCCTGCTTGGTGACAGAGCGAGACTCCGTCTCAAAAACAAACAAACAAACGAAAAAGAAATACCTTGCCAAATAGGGTCTTCACGGAAAGGTGTTGTCACGGGCCGTCAGTTGAGCAACTGTAATATCCAATTCTTCTGTAACCACCATCCTCTAATTCTACAGCTCCAGCTCCAATGGTATCTAAGATTTATAAGCTATAGAATAGAAGAGACAGTGAGCTCAGTATTGAATCTGGTCATAACTAGTAAAGAAAAAGATTTGGAACGGGAATCTTATAGTCAATAGTTCTCATTGACTTCACAATTTAAATTCTCTTCTTCCTAAAACTTCACTAGCTAGACGTCCAAGCAGTTATGACCCCTAGTCACATCATCTTAAATAGGAAAAGAAAATGAATTTTGACTCCCAGAGTTGAATCTAGATGCTAGCAAATGAAGATGCTTTTGTGGAAGACCCTGTGTTGCTGTCACCCGATGCGGGGGGTCATTGAGTGGGGGAATTTGTTACCTTCACCACTTGGTTTTAAAACTAAACCAGAAATCTGATGTACTTCCACTTGCTTTTTCATTCCTGATGGCCTAGGCCAAAGAATTGGCTCTGCTCCTTAATAATTAAGTCACCCTGAGTTTTACATAAAGCTTTGAGAGGGTTGAGGGGAAGGGTAGCAGGTGTATAAAGTTAGGCTGGCTTCCTCTGGATATACCCTGCCACAGAGGTCCCCCAGCTGCACAGGAGTGGAAATAGCCCGGTGATACCAGCTTAAGGCAGAGGCAAGATGTAGTTTTATTGCTAATACTGCTGTCTTCCTACCCAGCTGTTTTGCCTGTAGCGTTCACGAGGGGGAGTAATTCTTGTGCCAATAATAATAAGGAATATGGTGAAATCACTTAAACACAACTTTAATTTTTGGATTTCTCTTTTGTTAGAAGCATGCTGTTGGCTACTTCCTGCCTTATGTGTGCACCTTCTACCACTTCCACCAGATCCGTTTCCATATCTGCAACTTATAGATTTGCTGAACCTACAATTTACGTGGATTCACAATATAAAAATAATTCCAGATACACCTACTTACATGGGAAAAATATTTCTAGTCCATTTACTCACCACTTTGATCTACCACATGAATCCTTATAGAATATAACTTTGGTTAAAACTATGCATATGGCCATTTAAAAATAGATTGGTATGATAAATAGACTGCAGTGGTCCTGAAACCAAATATTTTAAGTGTCTTAAGTTATATAGTTTTAAAAATATATATAAACTTTTGATTGTTTTTCTGTTTGACCAAAAGTAATGGCAGTGATATTGATTTCATAAATTCAAACTTATCTAGTTGAGGTTACTAGAATTCTTGTTCTGAAATGGTTCTTTTTTTTTTTTTTTTTTTTGAGACAGTATCTTGCTCTGTTGCCCAGACTGGAGTGCAGTGGGGCGATCTCAGCTCACTGCAACCTCTGCTTCCTGGGTTCAAGCAATTCTCCTGCCTCAGCCTCCTGAGTAGCTGGGATTACAGGCACACACCACCGCGTCTGGCTAATTTTTTTGTATTTTTAGTAGAAATGGGGTTTCACCATGTTGGCCAGGCTGGTCTCGAACTCCTGACCTCAAGTGATCTGCCCGCCTCAGCCACCCAAAGTGCTGGAATTATAGGCATGAGCCACTGCACCTGGCCTAAAATGGTTCTTAACTAACAAATATGTATGCATATATATCCACACCTCACTACTTGTGTTTGTACGTACCTTGTCCATCACTTAAGTCCATCACTCTGTCTCTGTGACTGGTGGACAGAGCAAGCATCATTAAGTTGCCCCAGAGGCTCAGCTGTATCTCAGAGAAACCATGTCAGCTTCACCAAACTCTCAACTTGTCATACACAGAATGAATCTTACTATCTTCTCCCAAGAGCCAAGCTCACTGATAATTTTGCTTTAGGTAAATCTCTCCCTATGCACAAAATGCATAAAATGACATGAAAAAATCAGGCTCAAAAGCATGTACAAATGATGTACTACAGGACGATCACTTTGTCTGGACAGATTTAAGTTAGTGCCTTGGCCTCCTTTGGACCTTAAGCCTTCCACCAGCCTTTCAGGGCTTGTGTTCCAGCTAGCTCAGCTGACTTCCCCAGGCTCTGTGAGAAATGTTACCCTCAGCCTCTCTCTTCTGCTCTGCAGGTCTCATTTCCTACTTGGATCCAAGAAACACCTGCCATTTCCTCTTCCTGGGAAGGTTGCTGACTATATGCAGCCACATCCCTGTATATCAGATATGTACCCTCTTCCCCTTGCTCTGTCCCTGGCTTATTTATACTATACCTTTTTTTTCCTATCTTTGGTCTCCTATGAATGTATGCCTAGGTGTTACCCTACCAGAACCTAGTTTAATATATCCTGTTATTATGCTTTCTCCATTCAAGAATTTACAAAACACATCCAAATGTCTGTTTTATCAGAAATACTTGATCTTGTAGATGGATACTCAAGATTTTATATTTAAAAATTCTTAGCCATCCCTGTCCCCTAAATAGATTTTCATACATCAATTTTCTAACTGTATCTATTTGTAGAAATGTCTTGTTATCAATTTTAAGAGCCTTCTGTTGTGATCATCTCTACATTACATGTTGGTTTCTCACTTAATTTCTCTACGCCCAATAGATGGAGCAGTGAGCCTGTGGCAGATGCAAAATCTGAATTTCATTCTAGAAACTCAACTTCTGTAATATAGTAATAGGTTTGGGTTTTCTTCTGGAAAAACAAGACGCTTTAGAAAAGTTAATTGGTTCGTGCATTAAGCTGAAAGAGCTCCACACAACGCTTGACTTTTTGTGTATCTAGCAATTAAGAGTTAGATTAAGCACTTTATGTTCATTCTCTTTAGGAAGTAAATGGGTGATGGTCATGGATGGTGAGGGGGAAGTACTAAGTTTCTACTGTTTTAACTACCGAGGAATAGCGACGGAATTCAGAGAAACCAGGAACTAGAATATAGAGTTTGTTGGGTTCAGACTAATAATTAGCTTTTGTTTGTTTGTGTTATGTTTTGTTTTTGAGATGGGGTTTCACTTGGTCCAGCTCAGGCTGGAGTGCAGTGGTGCAGTCATGGCTGTCTGCAGCTTTGACCTCCTGGGCTCAGGCAATCCTTGAGTAATTTGCCGTCAAATTGCCCCTCAGCCTCCTGAGTAGTTGGGACTACAGGTGTGAGCCACCACACCCAGCGAATTTAAAGGATATGAACAGACACTTCTCAAAAAAAGGCATATATGTGGTCAACAACACATGAAAAATAGCTCAGCGTCACTGATCATTAGAGAAATGCAAATCAAAACCACAGTGAGATACCGTCTCATGCCAGTCAGAATGGTGATGATTAAAAAGTCAAGAAACAAGGCTGGGTACTGTGGCTCAAGCCTGTAATCCCAGCACTTTGGGAGACTGAGGCGGGTGGATCACCTGAGGTCAAGAGTTCGAGACTGGGCTGGCCAACATGGTGAAACTCCATTTCTAGTTAAAAATACAAAAATTAGCCACGTGTGGTGGCAGGTGCCTATAATCCCAGCTACTCAAGAGGCTGAGGCAGGAGAATTGCTTGAACCTGGGAGGCAGAGGTTGCAGTGAGCTGAGAAGTGGCCACTGCACTACAGCCTGGGTGACAGAGTGAGACTCTGTCTCAAAAAAAAAAGTGCAAGAAACAACAGATGCTGGTGAAGTTGCATAGAAATAGGAACACCTTCACACTGTTGGTGGGAATGTAAATTAGTTCAACCACTGTGGAAGACAGTATGGTGATTCCTTAGAAATTTAGAACTGGAAATACCATTTGACCCAGCAATTCCATTACTGGATATGTACCCAAAGGAATATAAGTCATT
This sequence comes from Homo sapiens, assembly GCF_000001405.40. NCBI lineage: Eukaryota > Metazoa > Chordata > Mammalia > Primates > Hominidae > Homo > Homo sapiens. Next base: position 4,642,860 of record NW_018654717.1, read on the forward strand.
CTATTTTAAAGATACATACACATGTATGTTCATTGCAGCACTATTCACAATAGCAAAGACATGGAATCAACCCAAATGCGCATGATAGACCGGATAAAGAAAATGTGGTACATATACAACACGGAATACTATGCAGGCATAAAAAGGAATGAGATCATGTCCTTTGCAGGGACATGGATGAAGCTGGAAGCCATTATTTTTAGCAAACTAACACAGGAACAGAAAACCAAGCACTGCATATTCTCACTCATAAGTGGGAGCTGAACAACGAGAACACCTGGACACAGGGAGGGAAACAACACTCCCTGGGATGTTTTGGAGGAGGATGGTGGGAGGAGAGCATTAGGGAAAAGAGCTAATGCGTACTGGGCTTAATACCTAGGTGACGAGTTGGTTTGTGCAGCAAAGCACCATGGCACACGTTTGCCTGTGTAACAAACCTGCACATCCTGCACATGTACCCTGGAAGTTAAAAAAAATTATTATTAAAAAAATTTTACACATCATTCAGCTTCCTCAGGCTCCACTGTTCAAATTTTACTTCTCTCCTCTCAGCCTCCTTTAATTCTTAACTGCCACCCTCAGAATAAATTTAGAGAGGCCCTTTGAAAATATCTAATTCATTCTTCCCAGTTTAATGGATGAGGAAACAGAAGCCCAGCAAGGGCAAGGCTTACCCTCTTGGGAGACAGGTATCATCAAAGTTCTAGAAAAATTGCAGTGATCTTGTCTAGCCTCCCTCAGCCCCGTGGTGAGAGCAGCTCTTTGGGAGCCACTGTGAATAGCAAACATGGTGGTGGGGGAGAAGTGTCAGTGGCTTCAGGCTCCATGTCACTTTCTCTATGCAAAACAATGGAGAGTCATTTGGTACCTGTGAAAGGCATCTCCTGGCTTCCCAGGCTCTCAACCCAGCTTATTGGTCACATTGCTTTACAAGAGGGGCTGCTGGCTCACCTTGTCAGCGCCTTGGTATAACTTGGGCCACCAGTAGGACAAGAGTTAAATGGGTTCAATCAAGTCTTAAGCCATTCTCTCCATGTGCCACTGAAGAATCAAGTCCCCTTGTCAGCACTGTCCCCCCTGCTAAGCTCTGTCTATATTTTCCTTGATTTGAACAAATGAAACCTCATTTTCATGTGTTCAGTCCTGCTTAGTGGAGGACTATTCACACATGAAGTTGCTTATTTTTTGCTTACATGGTGGCTCACGCCTGTAATCCCAGCATTTTGGGAGGCTGAGGCAGGTGGATCTCCTGAGCTCAGGAGTTCGAGACCAGTCTGGGCAACATGGAGAAACACACTCTCTACAAAAAATGCAAAAAATTAGCCAGGCGTGGTGGTGTGTGCTTGTGGTCCCAGCTACTTGGGAGGCTGAGGTGGGAGAATCGCTTGAACCTGGGAGATTAAAGCTGCAGTGAGCCAAGATCATGCCACTACACTCCAGCCTGGGTGACAGAGGGAGACCCTGTCAAAAAAAAAAAAAAAAAAAAAAAGAAATTGCTTATTTTTGATTCTGGAAATGTTACCCCCCCAAAATCAGGGTTTGTTGGTCCGATGAATAACAAACCACGCTCCTTGAGAACGCAGGTGTGTGATCAATAGGAGTTTTATTACTTGGCACAAGGAAGAGGGGCACTGGGATTATTCTCCAAAGCAGTGTCTCCCAGAGGGAATGTGACAGGAGGGTTTTAAGGGGTAATGGAGACAGGAGGGACTGCGTCGCATGCCGAGGAGGGGTCCCAGTGGCACCAATGCAGTGAGTCCTCATGCCAGCACATAGGTCGCATGTGGTTGCTGCTGAAGCTGCTCTTCCCCTGGGGTGGAGACTATAGAATGGCCATGAGGAAAGTTCACCGAATTCATCTAAAAGTTGTTGGGGCCTGTCAGGAGCTGCTTTAACCTGCTGGGTGACCACGCAGGGTCTAGGAAGAAACAGACTGCAGGGCACGAGGCTGCAAAACAGGCTGATTGCTCAAGTTGATTAAATTCCTAGAATCCCCAGAGACCCTCCCTGTCTGCTTATGGAAATATTCTAGAAGACAGGGTGAATTTGTTCCAGATGGTATTCCCTCTGAAAGAATCTGTTAGCCTGGCAAAGAGTAGATGACAAGGTTGACTCAGGGTTACTCCGTTGTACCACCAGCTGCTTCTTGGCCTTACCACCCGATTCTAGAAAGAGAAGCAAAACTAGCTGGTAGTAAGACTGAGACGCCCACCTGTTTTCACATTTTCTCTAGTGGAAACTTGAAGTTGTTCCTTCTGCCTAAAAGGCTCCTCTCTCTCTTCTTTCAGTTCTCTGCCCAAGTACCTCCTTCTTCTTGACCACTTTTCCTAAAATATCACCTTTGGCCAGGTGTGGGAGCTTTCACCTCTAATTCCAGCACTTTGGGAGGCCAAGGTGAGAGGATCACTTGAGCTCAGGAGTTCGAGACCAGCCTGGGTGACATAGTGAGATTCTGTCTGTTTAAAAAAAAAAAAAATTAGCTGGGTGATGTGATGCATATCTGTGGTCCCAGCTACTTGGAAGGCTGAGGCTGGAGGATCCACTGAGGTTGGGAGGTTGAGGCTGCAGTGAGCCCTGATCATGTCACTGCACTTTAGCCTGGGTGACAGAGTGAGACCCTGTCTCCCAAAAACAAAACAAAAACAAAAAACACCTTTCTTCCTCCATCCCTTGATTTCTGGCTTAATCTTTTTCATTTTATTTGTACATGATCACAGGAGATTATTTAAGTTCCACACAGAATGGGCCTGGATGGTATTGTTTTTCATGGTGCCCACAAATGTGCTGGCAAAATGTCAGACGCTCAAAAACATACTGGGTGAACGATCTACACAATGAAGGGAAGGATGGTTGCCAAAGCACCCTGACAGCACCTCCCGCAGCCTCCACGGTGGAGAACCAGCTGTGTGCTCAAAGCCACACCCCTCCTTGGTGAGGGCGTGTGTCCAGATAAGAGCCAGATTGGCGAACGGGTAGAGCAGGGATGTGTTAAAGCAGTTTCTGCCTTACCTTCACAGAACTCACCGTCCTCCTGGCATCACTTGAGTAATCTAGAAAAGACTTCATCCATTCAATGGGGACTTATACTTCCTTTGGGGATTGGGAGGATTAAACATGAGTCTGGTAGGTCAGAGGGCTTGATACAAGACAGAAGTGCTTTGAGTGTGTTCTCTGTGGTGCAGTTGCTGGGCTGGTCAGTGGTAAGTTTAGGAAAAGTTTAGGATAAATTCTTGCCCACAGCAGCAACTCCTGAGACTTGCTGTGGCAGAGAATGACCCGCAGGGCAAACGTGGATCCCAGACTGATGCAGGACTCTCTTTCCATGCTCTCCTGAACCTTTTTTTTTTTTTTTTTCTTTGAGACAGAGTCTCGCTCTGTCACCCAGGCTGGAGTGCAGTGGCACCATCTCGGTTCACTGCAAGCTCCGCCTCCCGGGTTCACGCCATTCTCCTGCCTCAGCCTCCCGAGTAGCTGGGACTACAGGCGCACGCCACCATGCCCGGCTAATTTTTTGTATTTTTAGTAGAGACGGGGTTTCACCATGTTAGCCAGGATGGTCTCGATTTCCTGACCTCGTGATGGGCCCACCTCGGCCTCCCAAAGTGCTGGGGTTACAGGCATGAGCCATCATGCCCGTTTTTTTTTTTTTTTTTTTTTTTTTTTTTTTTTTAATTTAAGAGACAGTCTCGCTCTGTTGCCCAGGCTGGAATGCAGTGATGTGCTTTTAGTTCACTACTGCCTTGAACTCCTGGGCTCAAGTGATCCTGCTGCCTCAGCCTCCTAAGTAGCTAGGACTCTAGACATGTTGCCACTATGCCTGACTAACTTTTAAAAATTTTTTTGTAGACATGGGGTCTAGCTATGTTGCCCAGGCTGGTCTCGAACTCCTGGCCTCAAAGCATTCCTTCCACTTGGCCTCCCAAAGCACTGGGATTACAGGCTGTCTTGAATATTTCTATAGCAAAAAGGAGTTTGTATTTTTAAAGGAGGAGTTTTGGCTTCGTTCTCTTGATAGGGGAAAAGTAGAGTTTTAACTCCCAGCAACCGAATCCTAATCCTCAGGCAGGAAATGTTTTGCATATAAGGCAGTGGAGAATCATTGGGATGGGGAGAAAAGCAAAACACACAAAAGTTTTGTGTGTTTTTACCAAAGCTTCCCTGGAGATAGAATTATGATGCAGCCCAGACTCACCATTTGCCAGGAGCCCAGTACCTGTACGGTGTCTGCTAGGTGCTGACTTCTCAGGTCCCTAATTGCTGCCTTCGGAGGTGTTAGTGGAAAAGAGCCCTGTTGCACTTTCTCCCTTTTGGCTCTGTACCCTCGAGCAAGTCCCCAAGCGCATCTCGGTAGCAGGCACTCAAAGGTCTGAATATGAGCCACCAGTTGGGATTGAAATTTGAGTGAGACAGTCCCAGCGAAAGCCTTGCAACTCCAAGTGTGGTCCATGAGCCGGCAGCATTGGCATCTCCTGGAAGCCAGTTAGGAAATCTTTTCAGGGCCTCACTCCAGATCTACTGAATCAGAATCTGCATTTGAAAGAGATTCCAAAGTGATACCGCCTACACGTTAAAGCCTGGCTTCAGAAAGAGAGAAAGAAGTGATTCCAGTACCAAATGGCAAGGGAAGTGAATCTCTGTCATCCCTTCCACTCTAACAGGCAGCATGTGCTATTAAGTTAGCCTCACTATAGCTATTATCAGTGCTTGCTGAACTGAATGAATGTTCCTACCTCTGAACGGCAGGTTTTAAAGAAGAGATTCAGTTCGGTTAAAGGTACCCTTAAATCAACCACTTGGAATTGAAGCCAGCCCTGCTGGAGACCCAGTCCCCTTCATGGAACACATAGCTGCCTTCCTGTGATTCTAAACACCACTGCTACAAAGGAAAAGATTTCCAGTCTCACCTCAAGTGGAAACTGGTGCTTCTCGTTTTCTCAGCAATAGACTTGGCTTTGCACAGAAATGGCATGAACCTAAAACCAAAGCAATCAGGGACTTAAGTGGGGCCCGTTGGCTTTTTTTAGTAACCTTATGCTAAGAGGTGCAAAGATTTGAGTGCTAGATTTCAGACACAAGTGCCGAGGCAGCCAGGAAATTGTTAGTAATGAATGTTTAAACTCCCAAACGTTGTACTGAAGACAAAAGAGCTTTTGTGGCTATACTGAAACTATTGTTTTAAAATTTTATTTATAAATAAAAGATATATACATATGTGCTTTAATATGATTAACAGGTTCCATTTTGTACAAAATGTTAAACCTAGAGTCCTCTGCGTCCTGGATGAGGCGTCCAAAGGGTGGAATAGTACAGCATTAGGACCTTTGTTCTCCTCTTGGCTTCTGGAAGAGAAACTCTTGCATGCCCTCGACTTTCACCGCAAAAATAAGTGAGAAAAAAGATAAATCCCATTTATGCAATGATATGTAGCTATGAGTTAATCACGGTATTTCATTCCATGAAATCCATTAAGCTGCTGGCATTTGCATGGCTCTAAGTTTATTTTAAGAGGCTCATTCAAACATGGCCAGGAATATATTGGCCTCTTGAGAGTTTGCATGGCAAGGAGTTATACAGCAGGAAAAAGAAAAAAAACCCAATAATTATATTGATGCAAGATTCATCAGTATTTTAGAATATTGTCGTTTCAACATGTTAAATTGTTTCTGAGCACTGCTGATTTCAGCACTGTCCCTGGTCCACGTGACGCAAATGCCACCCTTTCCATATATTCTTCAGCAAAAATATATGAAAAGCCCGTCACTCCCTAAGAGGACCCTGATCCCTCTGGAGAGGAAAACTAAACTCTTTAAGAAGAAAACCAAACCCAACCTGAACTAATCGTCCAAGGAGTCCTGTTTGGTCCCACGAAAGGCAGATTTCCATCCACACCAGTGAGGGGCAAGTGTCCGGGTTCCAACTCGAAGCCAGGCGGGCCTGTGCGGGGGTGAGTCCTTTGCCACCCGGCGCCCCCCAGGCTCTACAAGCGTCTAGAGGTCGGAGTCGCAGGGCAGCGAGCTGTCGCAGGGGTGGGTGCTGCACGAGGGAGCGTCCTGGGACTCCCACCCCTCCCCGTCGAGGACGTCCACCGAGTTGGTGTAGGCCTTGGGCCGCGGCCGCGGCATGGGGAAGCCGACCTTGGGCTTGGGCTTGGGCTTGCGGTGCTGGGCAGGCGGCGGTCGGTGCTGGCCGTCGCTGTAGTACTTGATGGCGGGCGCCAGGTCGGGCTCGGGCCACTCCACTTGGATGGTGCTGACGCTGCTGCGGCGAGGCCCGGCGGAGGGTCCCTTGCGGCGGCGGCGACAACGCTCGTCGCACCAGGGCGCGAAGCTGAGCGCCAGCGAGAAGCCGCCCAGCAGCAGGAGGCAGCTGCCCAGGTAGCCCAGGACCAGGCTGTAGCTGACCTGCACCGTGACCGGGCTGGCCGGGGCGGGCAGCACGTCGCGGTCCCCCAAGAAGTGGTTGTACCAGGACACCGGGATGAGGCCGAGGAGGCCAGCGACGAAGAGCACGACGCCCGAGAGCCCTGCCAGCACGAAGTTGGGCTCGTCCTGCCAGCAGCGCACGCCCAGCGACGCCAGCAGAAGCCCCAGGACCGTGGCGGCCAGCGAGGTGACCATGAGTGCCCGCGCCACCAGCACGGGCTGGGCCTCGAAGTAGCCCCACTGGTCCGTCTGGCCGCACTCGCGCTCGCGGCTGCTCTGCTCGCGACACATGTCCCACAGGCCCTGGTACAACTCCACGTCCACTGGCTGGTTCAGGAAGCCCTTCACCAGCCGCCAGCCGGGCGCCAGGGTGCCGGTCAGGTTGAGCAGGAGCCCGCAGGGCGCCAACACCATGCCCAGCGTCATCACCACCGGCGTCCGCATCCCGGCCCGCCGCGCCGACGGCGCCCCTGCAGCCTGCCTTCCTTCTCCGCTGTCGCCTTCTCCGCCGTCGTCTTCTTCCTGCCGTGCCCCAGGCTCCGGGGACCCGAAGTCAGCGCGGACGCCCCGGGCTCCGGGTCGGGCTCCTGAGCCCTGATCGCTCCAGGGACGCTCTTTGTCTCCTGCACGGGGACCGTCCCCACTTAGGCTAGTTCCCTCCTGGCGTCCCGGCCGCTCCGCCCTCCTACTGGCCCTAATCGAAACCAGCCCGCGGGCGGGTCTGACCGAAACCGCGGGTCCGGGCGCGGGCGCCCAGGGGCGGCTGCCGCGGCCAAACCTGGCCCGGGAGGGAGGGACCCGAGGTGAGCGCAGGAAGCGGCGGGGCCACCTCGCCCGCGGCAGGTGAGATGGGGATCCGAGCGGCGGGGACACCCCACCTTGCAGCCGGGCGGCTGGGCCACGCCTGGCCTGGACTGCTCACGGCCGGAGCAAAGGTCGCCCCGCCCCTGGGTCCTCGCGCCGCCCCGCCGGGCCAGGCGGGCGAGGGAGGGAAAGAGGCGGCGCTGGCGGGACGCGGTGGCTGCGCAGCTTCCCTGCTGCTCAGCGGATCTCGGTTCCTAGAATTTGTTTCCGGTCCCTGCCCGTCGACCCTGCGCTTATAGCTTAGCCCTTTACTCCCAGAGGGTTCCAGATCGCCCCCTGGTTTGCTCTGCAACTTGCAGCCACTCGCAGAGAAGTGGGCGGTGCCGAGCGCTCCCGGGGATTGGAGGTGCGCTGGGTGAGTGTGCAGAAGCCCACCCAGTCCAGGAGCGTGTCCCAGAACGTTGCACCGGATTATTTCCTTAATAAAGGCTCCACACTCTGGATTAAATTCGTCTCTAAAGAATCTGTGCCAGTGTACTTCTGGGCAGAAGGGTTACACAAGGATTTTACTTTCCTTTTTCAGCCTTGTGAGACTTTCAAGGGGACTAGAAAGAGGGACCAGTGTTCCCGGATGTCCTGCTTAGCGTTTTTTGCAGGTTTATTTAATTTTACAGTGTACTGTGGCCTTTCTCGTCTGTAGGTTATTTTACAACTCTATAAATTATAGAAAGCCTGTAGTATTGCAAATGACTTTTGCCAACATCAAGGCTAATGAGTTCGTCCCAGTGGAATGATTATTGTCCAATGGATACTGACCAGTATGGCATTGATTTGTAAATTCATTTTAGCATTCCTGTTTGTCTGTATATGTGTGTCCTTTTGTTCTTTGCTTTTTTTTTTTCCTTTTTCTTTTATTTATTTATTTATTTATTTTAAACAGGGTTGGGGAGTTTCGCTGTGTTGCCCAGGCTGGTTGCAAACTCCTGGGCTCAGGTGAGTCTCCCGCCTCAGCCTCTGGAGTAGCTAGGACTGCAGGCAAGTGGCCAGCTTCTTTGGTTTTAACATCATACTGGTTTCCTTATTCAATAATGAGTTAAATAACCTCTTTCACACATATTCATTTTATATTTGTGTGAAAGTCACGATGTTTACATTTTTTCTAAAAATTATCCTTTAATAACACTTTTTTGTATTTTCTAGATTTTTACAATGAAAACGTATTGCCTTTATAATTGTTTAAAATTAAAACTATTTTTAAAATTCAAGTTAATTTAGCATTGGTTTGAAATAATTTTGAATATTCCAGAGTGGACAACACTAGGAATGACAGTGACTGCTTTTTTTAAAAGAATATTTTTAAATTAAAAAAAAAAACCTGTGGTAACATATATGTAACATACAGTTGACCGTTGTAACCATCTTTAAGTGTACAGCTCATTGGTATGACATACATTCACATTGTTGTGATACCCTCACCACCATCCACTCCTGGGATTTTTTCCTCTTCCCAAACTGACACTGTACCCACTAAACACTAACTCTCCTTTCCTCCCTCCCTCACAGGCCCTGGTGATCACCATTCTACTTTTTTCTCTCTATAAATTTAACTACTTTAGGTACCTCATAGAACTGGAATCGGACCGTATTTGTCCTTTCGTGACTGGCATATTTCACTGAGCTTAATGTCCTCCAGGTTCATCCATATTGTAGCATGTGTCAGAATGTCCTTCCTTTTGAAGGTTGAATGATATTCTATTGTACATAAATACCACATTTTGTTTATCCAGTCTTCCATCCATAGACACTTAGATTGCTTTTACCTTTTGGCTATTGTGAATAATGCTGTTGCATCATTTATGTAATAGTGATATATACATCACTTTTAATTTTTTTTAATTAAAAAAATTTTTTTTGAGATGGAGTCTTGCTCTGCTGCCCAGCCTAGAGTGTGACGGCAAAATCTCGGCCCACTGCAACCTCTGGTTCCTGGGTTCAAGCAAGCAGTTCTCCTGCCTCAGCCTACCTAGTAGCTGGGATTATAGGCACCCACCACCATGCCCAGATAATTTTTGTATTTTTAGTAGAGACGGGATTTTACCTTGTTGCTCAGGCTGGTCTCGAACTCCTGACCTCAACTCATCTGCCAACCTTGGCTTCCCAAAGTGCTGGGATTACAGGTGTGAGCCACTGTGCCTGGCCTATGCATCATTTAAAATTTGTCTTGTTTCATTAACTGTGTGGTGATTAACTATCTAAAGCAGGAATCAGTCTGCCATCCCTCTCATACATGTCAGAAGGTATCATGTGCGACACTGCCACTTCATAAATGCTTCATGTGATTTGAATCCTCTTCCAACATAGTTTCGTTTTTGCTTAGATCTCTGTGGAATGAGTGAAGCCCAGGTGTTATTTACCTGTGGGGAGGAAGGGCATCCTGGGTGTTCTACCTCCTAAATCTGTCTTTCGTCCTTCCATGTCTCTTTCTTCTCTACTGCCTCTTCCCAGTACAGGCCATTCTCCCATCTTTCTCCTTAAGCTGCTAACTGGTCTCCTACACCGGGCTTTGTGGCTCCCTTTTTATTAGCCACACGAACCTCACAGCTGGCCTGCATCAACCCTTTACAAGACCATTCCCAGTCCCACCCAGCCCTGCATTCCAGCCGTGTCTCTCCCTCCCTGCCGCCTCATCTCCTCACATTATAACCCAAAGAAACTGGATTTCCCCCCACATTTTCCCCGAACATTGTGTGCCCTTTTGCTTCCAGACCTTTGCAAATGCCCTTCTCTTTTCCTAGTGCCCTGCCTATCACTTCCCCACTCCAGTGCATCCTTAGATCTTTGCTTAAGTGCCATTTTCTCTGGGAGGGTTTCCTCATCCCCTAGATGAAGTTAATTAATTTTTCCTTTCATATACTTCCGTGACACCCCTTCTGTCACACCACTTACCACAGTTCCTTAGTCCTTGAATCATTTTGTTTTCTAGCTGGTCTGGGAGTTCTCTGAGGGCAGGGACCACATAGATCTTGTTCTGTTCTGTCCTCCAAACACATCTTGGTGCCTGGGCCACCGCAGCCACTCAACAAATCAATATTATGTCTTTCTGCCCTGAGTTCTTCCACATAGTACCTACTGAATTTTCCAACAAATGACCGTCTGGCCAAAACAGATTGTGACATACATCTCAGTAAGCAGGTTGATTTGTTTGAATGTTTCTTTTTCCTTAGCATAGAAAACAATCTATCCCATACGGGTATGGGATAGCTCCAGATATTTACGACAAATAAGCGTAGGCCTGTGGGGCTCACTTTCTGCGACAATAGAGAAAGAAGTGACTGTGTTAAGCATAGCATCTGGGGATAGAGCTGACCTCTGTTCCCTGGCCTTCTGAGTTCATCTGAAGTCTGAGGGAGAAATAAAGCATGAGTCACTCTGTGGTAGGAATGAATGAATGATTGCTGACATTAGGACCTGGCTGTGTAAGTGGATACCCAGGTTCTACCACAGATTTCTTTTCTGAAGAAGGGCCCGGTAGTAATGCAAGAATCTGTTCACTATGCTGCAGCTTTTGAAATGAATAGTGAGCCCCCAGCAGTGAATTCTGAAGGGACTCATGCTGAGTCCCCTGTTTGCCTGCACTCTAGGCCTCTGCTACCACCTCGCACAAAGGTGCAACCTGCAACAGCTTCATCTTGGAAAGTCACATTACCAACTTTGGCTAGGACAGAGGGTCCACTAGATCATCAGTCCTCAAACTCTTTGGCACCAGGGACAGGTTTCATGGAAGGTAATTTTTCCATGGGGTTGTGGGGGTAAAGATGGTTTCGGGATGAAACTGTTCCATCTTGGATGATCAGGCAACCTAGATCCCTCGCATGTGCGGGTTACAATGGGGTTCACACTCCCATGAGAATCTAAAGCCACCACTGATCTGACAGGAGGTGGAGCTCAGGCAGTAATGCTTGCTCGCCCATGGCTCATCTCCTACTGTGTGGCCCAGTTCCTGACAGGCCACAGACTGGTACTGGTTGGTGGCCCAGGGGTTGGGGACCCCTGCACTAGATCACTTTGCCATAATAAGATGTCCTCAGATTCCCTCTGCCAGGTCTTTATTTTACTTTCTCCAAAGGCTATTTTCTCTTTTTCTTCCTGGAACTCTGAACACCCTTTCCTGTGTTTGCTAAGCGATAAGACAATTTTGTTCACAATGTTATACTATGAGAATTCTGAATAGGAGTGAGAAATGAACTCCACTGATAATCATCCTATGGTAAATCTACTTCAGTGAGTTATAGAATAAAAATTAGACTATGAAAAAACTTAAACTATGATCTTTATTTTTAAATAGCATTAAAACAGCCTGAATTGAACAAAGCCCCTTCAATATTGTATTAGTTTTTCTTTTTGGCCAGTAGTCCAACAGCTGTTTTACCAACTGTGAGTGCCTAATATTGTAGAAAATAAATCAATAACTTTTCACATCGAGTGTGAAATAGCCCTCTTGTTAGCTCAGTATCACTTCCCTCTAATTTGTTCTGTTTATAGAATTTATCACTGCCACGTGTTTTCTAATATGTGTGTACTGACTTATCTATATTGTTTCCTACACCGCATTGTAAGTTTCAAAGACTAGAGATGTTGCTTGTGGCTATATCTCAGCTGCTGGAATAGTGCCTAGCTCTTAGTGGTACTCAGTACAAATCTATTAAATAAATGAAAGAATTTTTGTAAAGTTCCTGCATAGTAACACAATAGAAGAATGTAGCATACATCGCTTTTTAAAAAATTATAGTAACATCCACATAAAGTTTACCATCTTAAACATGTTACATGTACAGGTCACCTAGGTAAAGGTCAGTAGTCTTAGGTTCATTCACCTTGTTGTGCAACCAACTGGCAGAACTCTTTCCATTTTGCACGACTGGAATTCTATCCCCATTCATCAATTCTCCATCCTTGCTATCCCCCAAGCCCCTAGCAATCACCCCTCTATTTCCTGTCACTCTGAATTTGACTACTCTAGATAGCTTATGTAAATGGATTCATACAATATTTGTTATCTTGTGACTGGCTTATTTCACTTAGCATAATGCGCTCGAGATTCATCTATGTTGTAGCATATGTCAGAATTTCCTTCTTATTATGGCAAAAAATAATATCCTATTGTCGATAAATTCCAGATTTTGTTTATCCAGTCATCCATCAGTGAACCCTTGGGTTGCTTCTACCTTTTTTGGTTATTGTGAATGCTGCTGTGATGTATACATTTTTTTTTTTTTTTTTTTTGAGATGGAATCTCACTCACTGTAGTGATCTTGGCTCACTACAACTTCTGCCTCTCGGGTTCAAGCGATTCTCCTGCCTCAGCCTCCTGAGTAGCTGGGATTATAGGTGCACACCACCATGCCTGGCTAATTTTTGTATTTTTGGTAGAGACAGGGTTTTGCCGTGTTGGCCAGGCTGGGTTCAAACTCCTGAGCTCAAGTGATCTGCCTGCCTCGGCCTCCCAAAGTGCTGGGATTACACACGTGAGAGTATACAACATTTTGAATTTGTCTTATTTCATTTCTTGTGTGGCGACTTTAGATGGCCACTAAAACAGGAATCAACTTGCCACCCTCTCACACAAATCAGAAGGCATCCTGTGATACTGTGCCACTATTTCAAAAAATATGCTTAAGTTTTATCTTCTAGTGGCTTCAAACCCTTCTTGGCGTACAGTCACAGTGGCCTCCCTTGACAAGAGGGAAATGCTGGGTGGGAGTTGGGGTGGGAGTTGCTGTTCTAGGAATCAGCAGCTGCCTCTGTCTTGCCATGCTTGCTTCTCTTCAACCCTGGCCCTTCCTGTCTACTGCAGGGCAAACATATTTACCATGCCATGGACAAAATTCATTGAGGTCTTTGAGATAATTTTCAGTTTCTGTTGTTATTTATTTATTTATTTTTATTCACAAGGGGTTTGTTTCATTTTTGGCAAAATTTATCTTTTGAGAAAACCACATGGCCACTGGGCAAAGTCCTAAATGTAAAAACCGAGTACTACACTGATGGTAACCCTTTCCACGTTAATGTACAGACCCAATCCAATCCCAATAAAGTGTCAGACAGGAACTGGACAGGTGATTTCAAAGTTCATTCAAAAAAAAAATAAATGAATGAAACACATCAAGAAACTTTTAAATAGAGCAGTTATGAAAGGGTCTGCACACTCCAGCTGTTAAATGTAGTTTAAAGCTATAATAACTTAAATTCTATGTTAGCACTAGAATATGAAGGTAGATCAATAAAAATATCATCAATTGAAGCAAAAAAGTAGACCTTAGTTATAAATTTATAATATGAGAAAAGTGGGATTTCAAATCATAGAGAAAGGCATGAAAACTCAATAGTATTGTGGCAATTGTTTAGCTTTGGAAGAAGAAAAAAACCTAAGTTCATACATATACATTACAAAATATGTAAAAACAAAGTCTAGGTGGACTACCTAGTTACACGTAAAAACTAATACTGGCCGGGCGCGATGGCTCATGCCTGTAATTTAGCACTCTGGGAGGCCGAGGCAGGTGGATCGCTTGAGGTCAGGAGTTCAAGACCAGCCTGGCCAACATGGTGAAACCCCATCTCTACTAAAAATACAAAAATTAGCCAGGCTTGGTTGCGAGTGCCTATAATCCCAGCTACTCAGAAGGATGAAGCAGGAGAATTGCTTGAACATGGGGGTTGGAGGTTGCGGTGAGCCGAGATCGTGCCACTTCACTCCAGCCTGGGCAAAAGAGCGAAACTCCGTCTCAAAAAACAAAAACAAAACAAAAACAAAAACAAAACAAAACAAAAAACCACGAACAAAACACAACGAGACAAAAAACTAATAATAAAAGAATTAGAAGGAAGTGGAGGTGGAGATAAAGCTACAGGAGTGAAAAGGTTTTCTAAGCAAAACATCCAAGATGGCAATGATGGAGAAAAAGGTTGATAGATTTAGCTACGTAAGAGTTTAAAATATTTTGATTTCAACATGCCTCACACAAAATTAAGACAAATCTTTATTAGTTTACGTGGCGGAAAAGAAGTTGATGTTTCATCTGTCTGGCAAATCAACAGGAAATCTTAGTATTGCGGTGAAAATTGGGTGAAGAATATGCACAGAGAAAAAGAAAATAGACATCAACTAGTCAAGTTCCAGGGTGATGAATTAAATGACCCTTTTATTCACAAAAATGCCAAATAGAACAAAGAGAAACCATTTTTTTTCTTCTTAGATTGAAATCATGTAGGGGGAAAAATACTACCCAAATTTGGCCAGAGTTGTGGAAAAAAATCACTACTAGAGGTAAAGTAAATAAACATTTATTTCAGACATGATGTTGAAATTTGTTTTTAAAAATCTTAAATATGAACCTTTATTTTGGTTTCTGAATTAACTTTCTAGGTGTTTGCTTCAAGGAAATAAACAGAGTATGTAGAAAGATTTAGTATAAAGATATCCACTAGAGTACCTTTGTTGTTGTTGTTGAGACGGAGTCTCGCTCTTTTGCCAGGCTGGAGTACAGTGGCGTGATCTCTCCTCACTGAAACCTCCACCTCCAGGGTTCCAGCGATTCTCCTGCCTCAGCCTCCCCAGCAGCTGGGACTAGAGGTGTGCCCCACCACACCCAGCTAATTTTTTTGTATTTTTAGTAGAGACAGGTTTTCACAGTGTTGACCAGGATGGTCTCGATCTCTTGACCTCGTGATCCACCCACCTCAGCCTCCCAAAGTGCTGGGATTACAGGTGTGAGCCGCCACGCCCAGCCTAGAGTACCCTTTATAATAAGCTGATTATAAAGTAGTGGGGCAGTATGAAACCAATTAAATCTTAAAAAGAATATCTGTGTATACAAAAATACTAGAAGGAACAATGGGATGTATAATTGATTTTTGTTTTGTTTGAGATTTTACACATTTTATTTCTCTAGAATTTTAAACATATGAAAAAGATTATTTTAAAAAATCATGATCAGTTAAGTGTCTCCGTTTTTCTAATTTTGAAGTAAAATCTCACATTCCTATGACACACATTTTTTCTCCCATAATTGTGAATGTGCCATAACTAGCTCTAGTCTTTTATGGCCATAACTAGCTCTAGTCTTATGTGAACAGAGCTAAATTCTATTTTGATACAATAACAGTCAGGCCATTCACAGAAATACATGCAGAATAAATGATGTGCACATATTCCAGGAAAAAATGGAGTGGTATATTTCCACATTTGTAAGTATTTTTTATGTTTAAACATGATATAGAAACAGTCTTTACATGGAAACAAATAGCAATGATGAAATTCAACATACAAATCAGTCATAACAAAATTCATATATGGCATTGACTTTGAACTTCAAGAATATGTTCAGCAAATACGCTGTATACTGGTAAAGAAAAAAACCAGACAGCCTGATTTTTCATCTTTATATTATTTCTTCTTTCCAAAGGTCATTTTAAATATTATCATATTAATACTGGTGAGCATAGCATCCTTAGAAGTATTAACAAACATATTTTCTTATTTTTTTCCTGGAACTCTGAATACCCTTTTTTTCCTGTGGTCGCTAAGCAAATAAGGCAACTCTATGAATGGTCTAATTTTATGTGTACAATATTATGCTATTGGTATTCTGAACTTATGTCCAAAATATGTTGAACCTAGTAACGCAGGGAAACATTGTATATTTCTAGTTCATAAACTTCAGTTACAATGTTTAGGCCAGGCACGGTGGCTCACGCCTGTAATCCCAGCACTTTGGGGTGCTGAGGCAGGTGGGTCACCTGAGGTCAGGAGTTTGAGACTAGTCTGGCCAACATGGCAAAACCATGTCTCTACTAAAAATACAAAAAAATTAGCCGGGCATGGTTGGTGCATCCCTGTAGTCCCAGCTACATGGGAGGCTGAGGCACCAGAATCATTTGAACCTGGGAGGCAGAGGTTGCAGTGAGCCGAGATCGCACCACTGCACTCCAGCCTGGGTGACAAGAGCGAAACTCTGTCTCCAAAATAACAATAGTAGTAATAATGACAATAAATAATTAAAAGAAAGTTTAAATTATATAAAAGGGAAAATTTTAGCCGACAGATGTCAAATAAAACTGTGGTGGTTCGTAAGAGAAGTATTGCCCCATCCCATAGGACTTACTGTTTTGGAGAAAGTAAAAACTAATTAATTTAACAAGCCATTTTGACTGATGAATGCCCTGGACTTGGGAAAGAAAAAGGAGTATAAAAGCAAGTGTCTCCTTCCATATTTTCAGGGCATAATAGCCTCCCCTTCCCTGAACAGTAATACATTGTCATAATCTGAGTAGCAGGACGGACATGTGATTTTTCACCAGTCATTGCTAAGAGTGGAACGCACTGTAAACCTGCACTGGAAAGTTCTTTATCCTGTCTCACTGCTGCTCTCAGTTATGTTTTACCCAGACAGAAATGGGATAAATTCCACTGAAACAGCTACAATATGAGAAATAGAGGAGTTAATCATTATTAACATTGATTAATACATACTGATTTCAAAAGTACACCATATAGACACATGCAGAAATGCATATTGCTTGCTTTATGGTTGATGTGAGAATTGTTTAAAGTCTAGTAAAGTGAATGTCGTAAAATAGAGACTTTCTAAGCATACGCTTTTGAGAAAGACCATTTTGTCATCAGCTTAGCTTTCTCTGCCACCTCTACCTTGCAGATGCCTTTCAAAACGGAACCTGTTAAACTTACCAAACTTGTCATTTGTTTGCAAAGCTTGATGCCATGGGTTAGGCATTTTATCGGTTTTCAGTTCATTTGGATCAATAACAACATATAATGTTAACAATTGGGCAGGTATACTTTCATTCCTGACCCTGTTACGTGTCACAGAGACCTGGGAAAAATGCCCAGCGATAGGGAACTGGGCACACCTACTATAGTATGTGCAAATAAGCCAACGTTGAGGCTGGAAGGACATTAGAGAGCATGTACTCTAACGTCTTACTTTCTTAATGTAGGTACCATGGTGCAGGCAGAAGTGACTTTCGAACTGATGATGGGAAGGTAATTAGCACCAACTCTGGGAGCCTTTTTTCTTTAATAGTAAGATGAAAGCCAGGTGTGGTAGCTCACACCTGTAATCCCAGCACTTTGGGAAGCCAAGATGGGAGGATCCCTTCAGCCTAAGAGTTGGAGACCAGCCTAGGCAAAGAAGTGAGAAGCTGTATCTATCAAAAATAAAAAAAAAATAGCTGGGTCTGATGTTGGGCGCCTGTAGTCTCAGCTACTTGTGAGGCTGAGAAAGGAGGATTGCTTGAGCCCAAAAGGCCAAGGCTGCAGTGAGCTGAGGTGGCGCCACTGTGTGCCAGCCTGGGTAACAGAGCAAGACCGTGTCTCAAAAAAAAAAAAAAAAAAAAAGTAAAATGAAATGGTTTCTACTCAGTAGGATTTCCATAAGGATGGGTGAGAAAACCTTTATAAAATACATAACATATAAAAATCATTTTTTTTGTGTGAGGTGGAGTCTTGCTCTGTCACCCAGGCTGGAGTGCAGTGGCGTGATCTCGGATCACTGCAACCTCCGCCTCCCGGGTTCAAGTGATTCTCCTGCCTCAGCCTCCTGAGTAGCTGGAACTATAGTCATACGCCACCACACCCGATTAATTTTTTGTATTTTATTAGAGATGGGGTTTCACCATGTTGGCCAGGATGGTCTTGATCTCCTGACCTTGTGATCTGCTCGCCTTGGCCTCCCAAAATGTTGGGACTACAGATGTGAGCCACTACACCCGGCCAAAAATGATATTTTTTGTTAATACTAACAGAGCTGGATTAATCTATATTTGGGTAATATTGAGTTTCAACCTCCTTATACTCATCATCTAGTGTTTCCGAAATTTATAATAAAAATGGGAACCTACAAGAGTATAGCAGAGAGCAGTACATTTGTATTGATGACATTGTTAGTGATGTGAGAAGGCAATATTTAGGTATATCTAGCTTTCTGTACCTATGGAATATAAGCTAAAGAGTCAACATACATTGCAACATTTTTATTTGAGGCAGAGTCTCGCTCTGTCGCCTAGGTTGGAATGCAATGGCGCCATCTCAGCTCACTGCAACCTTCTCCCAAGTTCAAGTGGTTCTCATGCCTCAGCCTCCTGAGTAGCTGGGATGAGAGGCGTGCGCCACCACACCTGGCTAATTATTGTATTTTTAGTAGAGATAGGGTTTCACCATCTTGGCCAGGTTGGTCTTGAACTCCTGGCCTCAAGTCATCTCCCACCTCGGCCTCCCAAAGTGCTGGGATTATAGGCATAAGCCACTGTGCCAAGCCAAAAATATTTCTCTCATTGACATTATAATTGAATATTTCTGAAAGTAGAATTTTTTCATTTTAATTTCACTTAGGTATTTTAGAGATGGGATCTTGCTATGTTGCCCTGGCTAGCCTCAAACTCCTGGGCTCAAGGGATTTTTCCACCTCCACTTCCTGAGTAGCTAGGACTGCAGGTGCATGCTACTGCACCCAGAAGAATATTTATATGTAACTGGACGATTTGAATGTGAAATTTCAAACTGGAATGATAAAATGAAGCTGTGAAAAGGATACAAATTGCAGTGGGTAGAATGGGGAAGATAGAAAATCAAAAGAAAGCAAACACATTAGGAATTGGCAGCCTTCTTTAAGAAACCTACAGTGGCCAGTCAACGCCCTGTCCTGTTATCAGCCCCCAGCCACATGTTATTTGTGTTTTGATTTAAATAGGTTTTAAATCTCTTAGAAAATTGATTCTATTAGAGAGTAATTCATGAACAGTAAATTCTAGTGATGATGTTGCTTGGTTGCCAACTCTGCTCTAAATACCAGATTTAATGAATTTGAAGACATGTGCTCCCTCTCTTGCCTGGGGAATACCCGCTGATCCCATTGGGAGGAGGTGGGCTGGATTTAGAGGATGTGTCAGCTGAAAGATACGTGGGAGAGGTAATGACCTGTGTCACCTGTTAGTCACATTACCTGTGAAAAGTTACTTATTGTGCAGGCAATAAAAGTTACCTCATGGAGGCAAGAGTGCCTATCTGTCACTGGTTGGCAAAGAAGGAAGTTGCTTGAGAGAAACCCATAAAGTATGTGAATTTTGAACTGCATGATAAGGAAGATAGAAAGTAAGGGAGAAGACATTGGTAAGAAATGACATACCAGTGACAGGTTTGGCTAGTTTAAAATAAAATTGCAAGAGACTCTAGAGAAGTTGGCAATCAGTTTCACTAATTAAATTGAGGATGGCCAGTGCTCACCATACACATAGCATGATTTCCATCTTAAAGACATAGAGCATTGAGTTGGTTGGCCTGTGCTGCATAAAAATTATATCCAAATTTTTGTGACAAAGCAACAACGGTTTCTTATTTCTTTCGATTCTCTGGCTGGGCTGGGTAACACTTCTGCTGGTCTTGCCTGGGGTTAGTCATGGGGCTGATGTCAGCTGGGATCTGGGCTTGGCTGGAAGAAATGTGTGAGACAGCATGGCCTGTCTTTCTTTATGGTCTCTCATCCTCTAAAAGGCTGGCCTGGCTGCTTCGCTTGGCGGTTCAGGGTCCCAGCAGCAAGAGAGGGCAACCCTAATACACAAACACTTTTTAACCCTCTGATTGCATTTGCTAAGTCACGTGGTCAAATCCAGAGAAGAGGGGATTATCTAGGGCATGTATAGAGAGAGGTGAGAACAAAGCCAGGTCACAACTCTGACTATGGATCACAAGTACGTTCAACTATCTCCATTTTATTTTATTTTATTTGAGACAGTCTTGCTTGGTTGCCCAGACCGGGTACCATGGCACAGCTCACTGCAACCTCTGCCTCTGGGGTTCAAGCAATTCTTGTGCCTCAGTCTCCCGTGTAGCTGGGGCTACAGGCATATGCCACCACGCCACCATGCTCAGCTAATTTTTTGCATTTTTAGTAGAGAAGGGGTTTCACCATGTTGGCCAGGCTGGTGTTGAAGTCCTGGCCTCAAGCGATCCACCCGTCTTGGCCTCCCAAAGTGTTGGGATTACAGGCGTTAGCCAACGTCCCTGGTCAACTATCTTTAAACAGGAATATCAAAATATCTTAGGAATATGTACAACCAAAGAGTAGAATTCCTCTAGATCAGTGATGTCCAATAGAGATACATGTAGTTATATATGTAATATAATTTAAAATTTTCTAGTAGTGAGATTAAAAAAGGTAAAAAAAGAAATTAATTTTCATATGATATTTTATTTAATCCAATATATCTAAAATGGCTTCATTTCAACATGTACTCAATATTAAAATTATTGGTGAGAGATCTACATTCTTTTTTTGGTGCTAAGCCTTCAAAGTCTGTGTGTTCTACACTGTGTCACACTTCAATTCAAGCTCACCATATTCAGAGTGTTCAGTAGCATCAGGTGGCATATTGTGATTGGGTTGGACAGCACAGAACTAGATGCTAACAGCTGGGGAAGAGGAAGAAGTGGAACTGGAAGGCTGAAATCCATTGACAGTCTGTATGCAGAATAGTCATCTCTTGACAGCTGAGGGTGGGAGGCCGGAGAGGGAGGATCTGTATAAAAAACAGAATGAATGCTCGGTAGTGAGAAATCTATTCATATAACCCGTTGTATTAATTAAAAAATACTAACAGATTCTTTTTGTAAAATTTAAAATCAATTTTTAAACTTTTATTTAGGTTCAGGGATACACTTGGAGGTTTTTATGTGTGTAAATTGCATGTCACGGGGGTTTGGTGTACAGGTTATTTAATCACCCGGTTAATAAGCATAGTACCTGATAGACAGTTTTTCGATCCTCTAAGATTCTATTTTGTTAACATTCAACATGAACGACTAATTAAAACAACAACAACAACAACAACAAAAACCCGTGGTGAAATAAAATAGAGGGATATTTCCCTCAGTGGTAAAGAATATTTACTTAAATCAATGATCAACTTTATAAGTGGTTTAATAGCAGAAGCATTCCCAGCAAGTTCAGAACTATTTTTTAAGCATTGAGCTGGAAGGGCTAACCAATTAAATTAGATAAGGGCCTACATTTAAGGGTAAAAATATTGACAGGAAGAGGCAAAATAGAAAAAAGATCCCATTTACAATGGTGGTGACAAGAAAATTAATAGGATTTCAATGAAGTCGTAGTAGATTAAAAATGACTACAAATTATTTGCCACTTTGCTTAGAAAGAGGCTGAATCTAATTCACCCCTCAATGACTAGGCTTGGCCACGTGACTTGCTTCGGTCAATGGGACACTGGCAAGTATGGCGTAGCAGAGGCTTGATAGTTGCTCACGCATTGGAGCTTGTCCAAGTAAAAAAGCTAGTCTAGTGCGTGGAGGATGAAAGGAGGCTTGGAAGAGGACCAAGGTACCCAGCTGCCAGCTCGATCCAAGGCTCCTGACAAGTCCATCTTGGTCCCTGCACTGCAGCCAGCTGAATGTAGTCTCATGAATGAGCCCAGACAAGAACATCAAATGATAGAGAAATGATATATAGTCAATCATTAACTTTGGGGATAGACTGTCATGCAGCAATAATTAACTGATACAGAAGAAAACTGCTTTAGAATCCCGGAGTTGTAGTTATTTTGGAAATCATCTGATGGCCTTGCCTTATAACAAAGGGATACTGGAAACTGGGAGTAGACAGTTTAAGAGAGGGGATGACATGGGCAGGTTTGAGGCCAGCAATTTCATCTCCATTTATGCATTAATTTAGTAATTCTTTCATCAAGCATTCTTTGAATGCTCACTGAGCTTGGTGCTCAGAAAAATGGAACAGGCTGAGTTCAGAGGGAGAGACAGGCATAGGAGGAAACAGCCATGATATCAAGAGATAAACAGTATAATAAAAGTATATGCAGAGGGCTGTTTCCAGGGACATGGGGCCAAAGTGGGAGGGTCACTGAAGTGACATTTGGACTGGGTCATAAAGGATCAATAAGATTTTATGAGTCAGAGAAGGTTGGGGAAGGACATTTCAGGCAGAGACAGGAGTAGCAAAGGCCCAGAAATGTCTTAGTGTAAACCAAATCAAGGAAATGGTAGGGGGTATGGACCAGTCTCTAGCCAGGTGATAAAAGGACATGATTTAATTTGACTTTTGTCCTTGCAGACCTCATTCTGCAAATCCATTGTGGATTGCCTTCCAAGGAATCTTGATTTCAGCTAACTCTTCACCACCCTTTTTGCAACAGGTTTCAGCTAGGACCTACAAAGTGAAAAGGACACCTCCTATAATATTTAGCTAGACGGTTCAGAATTTATACCTTGTCTCGTCTTTGCTGTTCTGTCTTTAACATAATGTAAGTTTCACTGCTGATTCATTTTATCTTAATAGACAGGTAAGCATAATTTTGCACATGACATTTGGAGATGATCTGCACTTGGAAAATGAACTGATTTGTTTTCTTCCCTGCAGAACATGGGAAAGGAGAACTCTAATAGGTTACAACCAGTTTACTTCACCAGCTCCCCCTTTGGCATTGAAATAAGCGTTTTGACTTCTTTGTAATATACCTGAATATCATTTATTAGAATTTGACACAAAGACAAGTGTTCTTCATTGTTTGTATCTGTAACTAGGGAAATATGTTTTCTGAGAGTTTTAACATTCCAATCCATCATCTAGCTAATCCTTTTAATTCCTGTAGATAAGTAAATAGAAAAAAATGTATCAATCATTATTTTTATTTTTACTAGCCCACATCCTCATTCAGAGGTTGCACTGTTGATGATATTAAGGCAATCATGTTCTTTTTTAAACACCTGACTCATTGCTTGTTTCTAGTTAATATGGAAATAAATGGCGCTCTCTCTCTCTCTCTTTTTAATAAAAGGCTGGCTTGTGCTGTTCCAGTGCTTACAGTGAAACTGAATGTCAAGTGAAGCCATCTGAAAATAAAAAGGGACCAGAAATCATCTTGTCTCTTTATTTTGTGACATGTTTCATTCTTCTCTTTCCAGCAACTTTAAAAAATTCATTCAGTTTGCTTCCATTTCTGTTATTTTAAAAATATGTCCTCTTGTTTCTTTGATTTTCTTAAGTAGCATAAGCCACTCCTGCCTGTAGACACACACACTCATTCTGCCTTGTTGTGCTGGGCCGTCAGCAGGAACCACTCTTAACTCTAGCTCCATGTGAGCTCTCTTCCAGGAAGTAATGGAGCTGGGGAGCTGGTACTTGAAGGATGAGACTTCACCAGGCAGTTAAAGGAGAAAAGCGATCCAGGCAGAGGAAACAGTGGGAGCTAAAACCTGGAAGAGTAACTCCTGAGGGTCATGAAGTTTGTCCTACTATAAATGTACAAATGTGTGTGTGTGATCTCACCATCGCCATCACTGTGACGCTGCTGAGGCAGGTTCAGAAAAAACTTGAATGTCACGCTGGAGGGTGTGGTCTTTATTCTGCAGGTGAGAGAACTATGAGTGGTTTTAAAGCCAGGTAATGCCATGCCCTGATTTGGTTTTGAGCCATCACTCTGTAGCAGAACAGAGAGAAAGGGGGGCTGGTTAGGAGGCTATTTAATTGCGGTGTATCACGTGACAGATGTTAGACTTGGAAGTCAGTATTCCAGAAGAGAAGAGCAAAAGTAATGTGGTACTGGGGGTGGTGGTTAGCCTGGGGACTGGGTGCATGGCGAAAGCCAAGTTTCACAGCAAGACAGGGAAAAGAAGGTGTGTGTGAATGGCGAGGCCAGGGACAGGGACGTGGGAGGGGAGGAATTTGGCTTTGGATATTTAGAAAGTTCAGGGAGGAAGATTGCATAGATGACTCTGAGATCTGATAATGGATCAAGGTGAAGTCTGATGCCTTTTGTTTGCTTGCTCGGTTGCCAGCATTTTTAGACACTTGTTTATCTGTTTGGGTGTTGTCTCTTTCCACCTGCAGCTCCCTAGATGTTTACGGTCACTTTTCATACATATATATATATATATATATTTTTTTTTTTTTTTTTTTTTGCGACGGAGTCTTGCTTTGTTGCCCAGGCCGGAGTGCAGTGGCATGATCTCGATTCACTGCAACCTCTGCCTCCAAGGTTCAAATGATTCTCCTGCCTCAGCCTCCTGAGTAGCTGAGATTATAGGCACATGCCACCACACCCAGCCAATTTCTGTAGTAAAGACGGAGTTTCACCATGTTGGCCAGGCTGGTCTTGAACTCCTGACCTCAGGTGATCCTCCTACCTCAGCCTCCCAAAATTCTCAAATTACAGGCATGAGCCACCATGCCTGGCCAACTTTTCATTTATAACAATGAAAGTTTCCCATTGCCTTTTTTTTTTCTTTTTGCTGAAATGTACTCTTCTAGCATTTAAAGTCAAAGTGAATACAATGTCAGGTTAACCCACTTGAAAATAAAAGCAACCGACTGCCATAACAAGACTTAAAAAATAATATAGAGCTGCTGCTTTTCCTCTCTCTCATGTTTTATTTTTACCCTTATGATTTTCTCATAATCACTTTGATTTTTTTCTTCCAATATTCTTTTCCCATCTTCCCACTTAGAAGGAAGCAGTAGATATTGGGGCATTTTTCCTGGTCATTTTCAGAGCATTGGTTCTGCACTGCAGGGTTAGTTACCTACCACCTACCTAGGAGATGGGGGAAGTTACCTCCCCCTCTCTCAAGCTGTCTCGGGGAAATAATTAGAAACTCAGATTAAAATTTTCATTCCCATAGCTTGAGCTGTGAAACAACAAGATACATGACAATATTCTTGGAATATCCTTACTCATAAATGTCAGAAAATGCCTTCCTTAAAAAATAGAAATGTAAAAATTTCTTCTTTTTATTGCAACACTTACCTATGGGCATGTAATAGCCCTCACTGAATAGTTGTTGAATGAATTAAAATATAAATTATTCACTTTTTTAAATTATTATTATTTTTGAGATGTAGTCTCACTCTGTCACCCAGGCTGGAGTGCAGCGGTACAATCTCAGCTCACTGCAACCTCCCAGGCTGGAGTGCAGTGGCGTGATATCGGCTCACTGCAACCTCCGCCTCCCGGGTTCAAGCGATTCTCCTGCTTCAGCCTCCCGAGTAGCTGGGACTACAGGCACATGCCACCATGCCCAGCAAATTTTTTACTTTTAGTAGACACGGGGTTTCACCATGTTGGTCAGGCTGGTCTCAAACTCCTGACCTCAGGTGGTCCGCCTGCCTTGGCCTCCCAAAGTGCTGGGATTACAGGAGTGAGCCACTGTGCCCGGCCTAAAATCTAAATTATTAAAAAAAGGTTTATGAACTCTACGAATGACTTCTCCTTTTTATTACACAGCACCACTGTTGTAACAAAATGATGTTAGTTTTAATCTCCAAACCAGTTCCGTAAAATGCTAAAAACTCATGATGATTCAGAGACATGTTGACTGTCATCTGCCACCAAATCACCATTTAAAAAGATAAAGAGTCCTATATTAGATAGAAAGAGGCCTCATATAGAGTATTTCATCCCCCAAAGCAGGTGCTCATCAAAATAGATTCTAATAATTATGGACTCTAATTCAGTGGATGATAGGCTTATGTTACAGCAATCAAAGTGCCTTTTTTCAATTAGTGCATGTCAAATAGAATAGGAAGGTTTGGGCTTCTCTGTAATGACATGGTTATTACCGATTTCTTAGAGTGTTGCAGTAATGGGCCGAGCGTGGTGGTTCACGCCTGTAATCCCAGAACTTTGGGAGGCCGTGGCTGGTGGATCACGTGAGGTCAGGAGTTTGAGACCAGCCTGGCCAACATGGTGAAACCCCATCTCTACTAAAAATACAAAAATTAGCCAGGCGTAGTGGTGCACACCTGTAATCTCAGCTGCTTGGGAGGCTGAAGTGGGATAAGTGCTTGAACCCAGGAGGCAGAAGTTGTAGTGAGCCAAGATTGCGCCACTGCACTCCAACCTGGGCAACAGGGCAAGACTCTCTCTCAAAAATAAAAAAATAAGTAAATAAATAAATAAATAAAAAGGACGTTGCAGTAATGTAATGTTTTCCAACATTATTTTAACGAGGTTCAGCTGAATCAAGTTACCTATCCATGGTTTGGCGTCAAATCAACACACCTGGGGCAGGTTCTAAATTTGTCTACATTATTTTTCTTTACGGAACTTTCCAAACTCTTGCTAGGCCACAACATGAACCTGACAATTGTTTCTTTCTGAGCGAAGATCCTGTCAGACAAGTGAGCCATTGAGACTGGAACCCGCTGTGGGTTTGTGTGTTGTATGTTGCAAAAGGCAGGGTCCTTTTTGCATAACGGATCCTCCTGAGACTGAGGCTGGACTTGAGTTTGTTAGTCACAATTTTCATTTCCGTAATGAAAAACCACTTTCTTAAAGACAACTTTATTAATCAGAGAGTGGAATTTCAGATTATAGAGACAACTAAAGATTTGGATGAATTTTAGCATCCATTCTGTCTATAGTAAAATGAAGATGCTGTACCTTCCATATACCATTTCCTGGGTGCCAGGCATTGTGCATAGTACTTAGCTCACATCAACTCATCCTATTCTTTTGCAACGGGGTGTGAAATGTGACTTTTCCTGTGCCCTCCTTGTGTTTGGCAGAGGCTTCAAAGCTCAACCACAGCAGGTGCCAGACCATCTCTGCAGAACCAGTTTGGCCACCATCACTCATCATGCTCCTCCAGGCTCCATAAGAAAAAGTGCAAAAATTCCCTAGGAAGATCAGGGCAGAGACATCCCTCTAGAAAGAGTCTTCTGCCATGGTGTGGCCTCCCCATTTTCCCGGTATCTCCCAGGGCTCTTTGTACAAGGCGGGCTCTGCAGAGAGACAGTAAAAACCAACCTGATTCTTCCTCAATATCATGGCATGTATTTTTCCAATAATTGCTCTTCTCTGTCCTTGGATGAATTTCTGAGTTCATTGATTTACCTATCACCTTCAGATATTAAAAAATCTGATACATAGTTGAAATGCCAACACACATTTATTTTTTATTTTTATTTTAAAAAATATTTTTAAAGTAAATACATAAAGACATAGGCTTGCTGTGTTGGCCATACTGGTCTCAAATTCTCAGCCCTGAGCGATCCTCTCGCTTTGGCCTCCTGAATTATTGGGATTATGGACACGAGACACCGCACCCAGCCCCAACCCACATCCAATTCACCACAGTGTTTCCTCTCCTTAGACGCATCCTGCCTCCAGCTAGGAGGTCTACAGTGTGGCCAGGCCACAGTTAACTTCCTTCCTATCCCCTCATCTGTCTTCCACTAGTCCTTTCCCCGAACTTACTGTGCTCCTTTGGGGTTCAAGGGAAGAGAGGAGAAGTGTTGAGGGGCTGAAAAGGCTGTCTTTGACTGGGGCAGTGCTAATCTGCCCACACAAGTGTGGCACATGGCCACATATGGATTGTGTGTCTCCTGGGTCCCTCTTGTGGGGATCTTGGACAGCCCCATTGGGCACAACCAATGATCATTCCTGGGTTGGCCTCTTCAACTTCTATCCACTCTGACTCCCTGTAGGTGGGGATTACTGCTGCCACCTCCCCTCCTCCCAAGATGGTCTTCTCAGATGGAGTCTCCTTCTTTCTTTCTTTGGCCCAGATCAAGGCCATCTGGCCCATGGAAGTCATAGCCGCTGTGATGCCCCTGGTGTGGTGCTTCTAGCTCCTCCTAGAGCCCACTCCTCCCTCTGCCTCCAGGGAAGTTCAGCCACAGCTTCTCGCTTTCAGCCTTTTTATAAAACACAAGTGAGGCTGGGCATGGTGGCTTACACCTATAATCCCAGCATTTTGGGAGGATGAGGTGGGAGGATCGCTTGAGGCCGGGAGTTTGAGACCAGCCTGGGCAACATGGCAAGATCCCCTCTCTAAAAACTTTTTTTTAATTAGTCAGGCATGGTGGTGCACACCTGTGGTCCTTGTTCCTCAGGAAACTGAGGTAGGAGGATTGACTGAGCCCAGAAGTTCAAGGCTGCGGTGAGCTATGATCATGCCACTGCACTCCAGCCTGGGTGACACAGTGACACCCTGTCTCTAAAAAACAAAGCAAAACAAAAACCATGAATGAGACACCAGTCCATGCATACTCTCCACACTTCAAGTTTTCCAACATTTTCTAATATTTTCTGGTTTCTCTCTGATCTGAAGCAGGTGGGTTGCAGAAGGGCACCCCTTTCCTTACCTGCCTCCTCCCATTTGGGTGAACTGCATGGCACCCCAGCAGCCCTCCACAAGGACACTCTCCCTGGCAGCCTCTCTAGCACATCTTATTAATATTCTCTTTTATATCTTGAGAGGAGTAATTGGCTCATTCGGCAATGGCGGCAAATGGGTTTGGGGATAATTCTGCAAGTCTTGTGGAAATGGCCAAAAGCCTGCCTGAAAACGTGGTGGTGCTTGACACTTCTTGTTTTCAGTTTTCGGTCCTTGGTCCAAACTCTGCTAACACTTAATCTGTGGATTAGGAGTTTACAAATGTCCTTTTTACAAATGTTGAAACTAAGACTCAGAAAGGTTAAATAAGTTGCCCAAGTTTGCATGACTAATAAATGGTAAAATGGAATTCTGCTTACTGCTGTCTCGTGATTTCCCAGAATCCAGTGAGTGTTTACAAAACCCGGGATAGAGGTTAGGAGAGGTTGCTTGAGTTTCTGACTCAGCAGTTTTGTTGCTATTCATGTAATGGAAAACCATATTCTAAAACACAACTTTTCAAGCACAACCGATCTGTTGTATGGTCCTGAGTTTAGCTAAAATTTTATTTCTTGTAAAAACTGAGGCTATGTGGACTGTAGGTGAGTCCTTTTTGGTTCCCAGAGTTTAGAACAAAGAGTCAGGAGGCTGACCCCACAATCTCCAAAGTCCATTTTTCCATCTGAACAGATAAATAGGGTCCTTTAAGGTGGTGGAAAATAAGTACCTTTTTAACATCTCTCTAGAATAAGAAACACAAGGATATTGTATAACAGCTTAGGACTTTTGTTTCCCTTTGACTTCTCACATTGCTTTTGTGTAATGTTGGCATTCAAAGTTTCTTTATTTTTTTGATTAACATCCGTGTTTTTTCCTAGGGCTGCTGTTGCAGAGAAACACAGAGTGGCTTAGAACAACAGAAATGCATTACCCTGCAGTTCTGCAGGCTATGGTCTGAAATCAAGGTGTCAGCAGGGCCGCGCTTCCTCTGAGCCTCTAACGGAGGAACCTTCCTTGTGTCTTCCAGCTTCTTTTGGCCTTAGGCAATTTTTGGTTTGCAGCGGCGTTAACTCCAATCTCTGCCTCCTTCATTACGTGGCCTTTTCCTTAAGTGTCTGGGTCCACATTTCCCTGTTCTTAGAAGAACACCAGTGATATCTGACTAAGGACCCACCACTCCAGTCTGACTTCATCTTCACTTAGCTAATTGCATCTGCAAGGACACTATTTCCAAGTCAAGTCACATTCAGTGGTACTGGGAGTTGGAACTTCAGCATACCTTTCTAGGGGGCCACAATTCAACCCATCACAACTCTCAGTTACATATTTCCATCCCCATGGAAACAGGAGCTGCAAAGGGCATTTTTGTGAAGAAGCTAAGGTTGTCTTTGAAGCCTGCCTTCTTTTCCCAAGGGCAGAGGAAAACTTCTGCCACTCAGCATCCTACATTCTCAAAGCCCTCCATTTGGGACACAAGGAATTTTATACATTCACACATCCAATGTACATTGGTTTGGCTGTGTCCCCACTCAAATCTCATCTTGAATTGTAGCTCCCATAATTCCCATGTGTTGTGGGAAGAACCCAGTGGGAGATAATTGAATCATGGGAGTGGTTTCTCCTATACTGTTCTTGTGGTAGTGAGTAAGTCTATCAATATCTTTTGGTTTTTTAAGGAAACCCCTTTCACTTGGTCCTCTTTCTCTCTTGTTTGCCTCTATGTAAGACGAGCCTTTCCCTTTCCGCCATGATTGTGAGGCCTCCCCAGCTGCATGAAATTGTGAGTCCATTAAACCTCTTTTTCTTTATAAATTGTTCATTCTCGGGTATGTCTTTATCAGCAGTGTGAAAGCAGACTAATACATACATTGCTAGCCCTAAATTATTTTATGGTTATTCCTCCTAGAATCTTTCCCTTTTAAATGTTGGTAATTTGAGCTGAAGGAAAAGAATTTCTGGTTAAAGCAGAGACAGAGAAGGGGAGAAGGAAGCTGGCCTCGAGGAAGCTTCTTTGGATATGAATATGCCATAAGAACAAATCAGAAACACGGAGCCAATGACTTCAGCTCTCTGTACACTCCTTCTTACAGAACCAGGAAAGCAGACCCTGGGCCCAACCACTCTGCAACACAGGGAGTGTAAAACGCCTCCTGGGTGTCATACTCTACCTCTGTTGACTACTTGTGAGTGCACACCAGCAAGTTGTGCAGAGCCATTAAGAACTGCCCTTCTCAGCCGGGCACCTGTAATCCCAGCACTTTGGGAGACGGAGGCAGGTGGATCACTTGAGGTCAGGAGTTTGAGACCAGCCTGGCCAACACGGTGAAACCCCATCTCTATTAAAAAAAAATTACAAAAATTAGTCAGGCGTGGTGACGGGTGCCTGTAATCCCAGCTACTCAAGAGGCTGAGGCAGGAGAATCGCTTGAGCCTGGGAGGTGGAGGTTGCAGTGAGCCAAGATTGTGCCACTGCACTCCAGCATGGGCAAACAGAGCGAGACTCCATCCCAAAAAAAGAACTGCCCTCCTCAGCCAGATACCACCTGAGCGGGACCTGAATTTGGCAGTTGTGGTCAGCCGCAGTTCTAGCACGAACAGTTTTTGGCATAGTGTATTTTTCTAAGAATAACAGATTAGGTTTATTATCTAAAATGAAAACTTTAATATAAATAGAATACTACATGTAGTATGATTATGTATGCTGTTGTGTTATATAATTTACATAATAATATAATTTTATCTAGACTTAAAACAATTTACTATAACTAGTTCTATTCATAGCATGTGTGTGTATTTTATTCTAAATAGCTGTATATTATTTAATATAAAAAAGTTATAAGAACTTTCAACACGCTTTTTAAAAACTAATTCTAGGACGATTGCAAATAAATAAAAATGCTGTTGCCTTCAGTGCATATAATGATATAATGAATCGATTGTTTTGCATATAAATTCAAATATAGAGTTTTCTCAGCTCACACCAAATAGGTTACTATTCACCCCTAGGCAGATTTCTCCGGGCTGGTTTTCCCAGGGTCTCCCGTGGTTGCTCTGTCACACAACTGCAAGGGCACTGGCAACTTTGTGTTTTCTTTTCTTTTCTTTTTTCTTTTTTTTTTGAGACGGAGTCTTGGGCTGTCATCCAGGCTGGAGTGCAGTGGCGCGATCTCAGGTCACTGCAACCTCTCCCTCCCGGGTTCGAGTGATTCTCCTGCTTCAGCCTCCTGAGTAGCTGGGACTACAGGTGTGCACCACCACGCCTGGCTAATTTTTGTATTTTTAGTAGAGATGGGGTTTCGCCATGTTGGCCACGCTGGTCTCAAACTTCCGACCTCAGGTGATCCACCTGCCTTAGCCTCCCAAAGTGCTGGGATTACAGGCATGAGCCACCGTGCCCAGCCTATTTTGTGTTTTCTACCAGCCTCCCTCTAACACCATTCCTGGCATAGAGCAGACACTTAGTAAATATATGTCTTTTAATCTCAGTAAAATAAATGCTTGAGTTTATTCCTTTTAAGGGTAATCTGTCATGGTTTAAGACAAAATTGGACTTTCTATAGACTGTGTCAGCCTTGATAAGTCTTGAAATCTTGGGTACTACTAAGGTTACCAATTTTAAGAGTTAAAGCAACAATAACAGCAAAATACCTTTTGATGACCTAAAAACTTGTTGCATCATTTCATGTGAAAGATTTGAGAGGCATAGCTAGAAGAAAGACTGCCAGCTTGGAAACCAAATTCAGGCTTGATCAAGGCAGATACTGACCAGTGACTCAAAAGTGACAGAAAGCTTCCTGTATTTAATCAAAGATTCGAAGTCAACAAGTAACAGAAAGATACAAATAAGGCCGCTTAGGCTGCTTGGCATACGACTGCGTCATTCTGTTGAACAGGAAAACAAAAGTACTTGACCTTTGCTGTTGTATTTTATCGGGAGACATGAGGGTCCTGTGGAAACAGTTCAGGTCTCACGTAATAATAGCATTTGCTGTTCTTTAGGTTTTAAAAATTTTGATGCGTGAGGAATTCACTTTTCTGTTTCAGGTTTCTCATGCATAAAATGAGGACAATAATACCTGTAGCATGGTGCGATTGTAAAAATTGAGATAATACAGTATCCTGCGTGGTGCCATCTTTAAAATTTCTTCTGTGGATCGCACATCTCCTTTCCGCTACTGCTCTAGGGCTCTGCTTCTGAACAAAGCGTGTCCTCTCAAAAGACTTGATATTAGGCCTCCATTCTCACAGACTCTTGTCATCATCCTGCTCCAATTAGTTCTTTGGCTCTAGCCCATCAAGTTCCACAATGACCTCCATATCTGTTAAATCTCATGGTCAATTCCTGTCAATTTCCTGTCCTCAGAGCAGCATTTGACACAGCTGAACACTCTGCTTTTCTGGAAATGTAGTTTTCTCCAGGCTTCCAGGATTGCACTGTTGCCTGGAATTCCTCCACTGACACGACTCTTTTACTTATCTCCTTAGTTCCCTTCTCCTTGGTGGATTTCTAAATGTGGGGGTGCTCCAGGATTTTGATCTGGGATATCTTCTCCTCTGTCTCTCCCTGCTGCTAAGGCCATCAAGTCATCTTATGCATATGTTGAAGACCCTTAGCCTCTCATCTGAGCTCCAGAATTGCATATGGAATTGTCCACTTGGATTTCTAAGAGGCACCTCAAACTTAACATGATCCAAAGCAAACTGTCCATGTGAACTTCTCCCCTGTCTTCATCCCACCCACTTCTTGCCTAGTCTTCCTTTTCTTCCTGCATGGACCTCTCTTTAATTTAGCTGCTCAGACAAAAAACTAGAAGTCATCCCTTGTTTTTTTTTTTTTTTTTTTTTGTGATGGAGTTTCACTCTTGTTGCCCAGGCTGGAGTGCAATGGTGTGATCTCGGCTCACTGCAAGCTTCATCTCCTGGGTTCAAGTGATTCTCCTGCCTCAGCTTCCCGAGTAGCTGAGATTACAGGCGCCCACCATCACACCTGGCTAATTTTTGTATTTTTAGTAGAGATGGAGTTTTGTCATGTTGACCAGGCTGGTCTTAAACTCCTGACCTCAGGTAATCCGCCCGCCTTGGCCTCCCAAAGTGCTGGAATTACAGGCGTGAGCCACCGCACCTGGCCTAGAAGTCACCCTTGACCGCTTTCTTTTTCTTTTCATGTCCAGTGCATCAACAGGTTCTATCTGGGCAGCTTCCAAAATGTATCTTGAACCCAACCACTCTTTATCATCTCCCTGACTAAAGCTGTAATCCAAGCCACCATCACCGTTCATCTGGGTTCCTGCCAGTATCTTGTACCTTGATGGCCCAGTAGCCATACAGAAGCTATAGTTATCTCTTGAAAGCATAAGTCAGATCAGGCTTGAAAAGCCCGAAAGCTCTTACTACCCTTAGAATGGAATACCAACTCTTTGGCCTGGCCTGCGGTCCAACATGACCTGGTCCCCCGACTTGTTCTGCACATACCTCTTTCTCATTTTCCTCCTCACCCACTGTGATCTGGCCTCGGTGACGGTTTTTCTGTCTCTCTCACATGCTGTGCTTCTTCTTCCCTTAGAGCCTTTGCAGAGGCTCATCCCTCTTCTAGGAATTTGCTCCCTGAGGTTGTCACACCGTGGTCCTCTCTCATCATTTAGAGCTCAGATGTTATTTTCTCAGAGACTTTCCCTGTTGTGCTTTGCAAAAGGAGTCCCTCACACCATTCAAGCACTTCCCCATGGCCCTCCAGAACCTGGGGTTATATTTACTTTTTTTTCTTTTTTCATTTGTGATAGGGTGTTGCTCTGTCACCTAGGCTGGAGTGCAGTTCACTGCAACTTCCACTTCCCAAGTTCAAGCGATCCTCCCACCACAGCCTCCTGAGTAGTTGGGACCACTGGCACAAACTACCAAGCCTGGCTACTTTTTTGTTGTATTTTTAATAGAGACTGGGTTTTGCCATGTTGCCTAGGCTGGTCTTGAACGCCTGAGCTCAAGCCATCTGCCTGTCTCAGCCTTCCAAAGTGCTGGTGTAACAGCCCAATGGGTTCACCTTGCTTGCTGCCTAGACAGAGCCGATTTATCGAGACGGGGGCGCTGGGCATGGTGGTTCATGCCTGTCATCTCCGCACTTTGGGAGGCCAAGGCAGGTGATTTACCTGAGGTCAGGAGTTTGAGACCAGCCTGGCCAACATGGTAAAACCCTGTCTCTACTACAAATACAAAATTAGCCGGGTGCGGTGGTGTGTGCCTGTAATCCCAGCTACTTGGGAGGTTGAGGCAGGAGAATCACTTGAACCTGGGACGTGGAGGTTGCAGTGAGTCGAGATGGTGCCACTGCACTCCAGCCTGGGCAACAAGAGAGAAACTCTGTCTGAAAGAAAAAAAAAAAAGACGTAGGAATTGCAGTGGAGAAAGTAATTCACGCAGAGATGGCTATGCAGGAGATAGCAGTTTTATTATTACTCAAAGATCAGCATTTTTAAAGATAATTTGGCGGGTAAGGGCTTGGGAAGTGGGGAGTGCTGACTTGGCAGGTTGGAGATGGAATCACAGGGGGTCGAAGTGAGTTTTTCTTGCTGTCTTCTGTTCCTGGGTGGGACGGCAGGACTGGTTGGGCTAGATTATCAGTCTGGGTGATATCAGCTGATCCATCTCTAGTGCAAGGTCTGCGAAATACCTCCAGCACTGATCTTAGGTTTTATAATAGTGATGTTATCTCTAGGAGCAATTTGTGGAGGTTCCGACTCTTGAAGCTAGACACTGCATGGTCCGTAAACCGTAATTTCTAATCTTGTCACTAATTTGTTAGTGCTGCGAAGGCAGACTGGTTCCCAGGCAAGAAGGGAGTCTTTTCGGGAAAGGACTGTTATCGATTTTGTTTCAGTCATCCCACCAACTGAATTCCTTCCCAGAGTTAGTTCAACCTACGTCCAGGAATGAACAAGCACGGCTTAAAAGTTAGAAGCAAGATGGAGTCGGCTGGGTCTGATCTCTTTCACTGTCATAATTTCCTCAGTTATAATTTTTGCAGAGGCAGTTTCGCTGGGATTACAGGCAGGAGCCACCGTGCCTGGCCTATATTTATGATTTATGTCATTTAGCATGTTTCTGTACGGCGTGTGCTCTGTACGGACAGAAGCTTTGTCTTCTTCAGTGATATATCCCAGAGCCTGGCAGAGTGGGCATGCTCATTATACATGTGTGGAGTGAATGAAATTTTAAAAATGCAGATAGTAAGACATCCGATAGATTGGGTCTCTCCAGTTCTTGTTTGCGTGTACATATGCATGTGTTTATAAGGAATTTTAAATCGACGATTTCTGTCTGTGTATTTTTATATTTTTAATTTGATGTCATTTATTTATTTATTTTCTTGAGACGGTGTTTCACTCTTGTTGCCCGGGCTGGAGTGCAATGGCACGATCTCGCCTCACTGCAGCCTCTGCCTCCCGGGTTCAAGCGATTCTCCTGCCTCAGTCTCCCAAGTAGCTGGGATTACAGGCACCTGCCACCATGCCTGGCTAATTTTTGTATTTTTAGTAGAGATGGGGTTTCAGCATGTTGGCCAGGCTGGTCTCGAACTGCTGACCTCAGGTGATCTGCCTGCCTCTGCCTCCCAAAGTGCTGGGATTACGGGCATGAGTCACCACGCCCGGCCGATGTCATTTATTTTAGTTCCTGTGTGTTAGGTTCTGTGTTTGAAGTTGAGGATACAAAAATGAATGAGATCTGATGCTTTGGTAAATTACAATCCAGTGAGGAAGTTAGGTACATAAATAGTTTTTTTAAAATTGTAGTATTATAAAATGTATATACTATAAAATTTATCATTTTAGCCATTTGTAAGTATACTATTTATTAGTACCTCATATAAGTGGAATCATACAGTTCCTTCTGTCCTTGTGTATCTGGCTTATTTCACTAAGCATAATGTTCTCAAGGGTCATCCCTGTGGCATATATAAAATTTCATCCATTTTTGTGGCTGTATAATATTCCATTGTGAGTGTACACCACATTTTGTTTATTCATTTATGTGTTGATGGGCACTTGAGTTGCTTCTATCTTTTAGCTATTGTAAATAAGCTGCTGTGAATATTGTTATACAGGTATCTGTTTAGACCCTGCTTCTAGTTCTTTTGGATATGTATCAAGGATTGGAATTGCTAGGTCATATGGCAATTCTATGTTTAACTTTTTGAGGAACCAAACTATTTTCCACAGCAGTAACACCATTTTAGATTTCTACCAGCCATGTTCAAAGGTTCCAATTTTTCCACTTCCTCACCAACACTTGTTTCCCATTTAAAAAAATAATAGCCATTCTAGTTGGTGTACAGTGGATAAGTAGATGTTTACAATTCATTTTGTGCTGTAGATGAACTAATAGAGGAGTGAATTGGATGCTATGGAAGTTCTGAAAACTAGAATGTAAAGAGATGCTGCTGAGCCATCATAATAAGGTACAAATTTTCAGCTACTTTTATAGTAGTAAAGATGAGTTGTTTTACTCTATCTGTATACTGTCACATAATTCCCTTTGTAACTGATAGTATACATTTCTGAGATGGCTCAGTAGAATAGGAATACATGTAAATTGCTCCAGGAACGAATGAAATTGATTGGTCTACATGGGACCAAATCCTTGGTCTCATAAGCACCACATCTTAACTCACTCTATTTATTGCCCAGATTCTCAGCCATCCATTCATCCATCCACCCATCTATCCATCATCCATCCATTCACCTGTCCATCCATCCATCCATCCATCCATCCACCCATCTCTCCATCCATCCATCCTTGCATCCATCCATCCACCCACCCATCTATCCATTCATCCACCTGTCTATCCATCCATCCACCCATCCATTCACATAACCATCCATTTACGTTCTAACAGAAAATAATTGCAAAATCTGTTGACTCTGGGATGCGAATATTCAAAGTACATGCAATTTAATAATCTAAAATATTGCAAGACGTTTACTTGGAGCCTCAATGGCATTCCTGTAAAAATAGTTTATTAGTGAAGATCGATCAATTCCCAGTGTATTTGAAAAATCCTATTTAACCTATTAAGTAGTTGAATAATGATATTAGGGCTATAGCAAAAAAACAACAAAAACAAAACAAAACAAAATAAAACAAAAAACCAAAACTATTGTTTCTATGGGAAAAGTTTTAGGTTATTTTGGTAAGGAGGAGGGAGATAAGGTGATGCAGGTCAAGGGTCTCATCTAGATAGGGTCTAGAACAGGGTACCCTGAGCATATCTCCCCTTCATAGTGGAAGGAGCGCCAGTCCTCTTCCCTTTCTCCTCTTCCCCAACAACTGGCCTCCCCCTCTTGCCCCTGTGTTCCCAGAGAAAGAGCCCTGGTGTAAGTGAGAGACTATACAACAACAGAAGTAGGGGCGAGATGCTCATGAAATGTAAATTAATCCTGATGTGCCTTCCAACATGCGCTATCCTGTGCTTACCAAGCTCTCTGAATTTCAGTTTCCAGAACTGTGAAGTGGGTATGATAATGCCATTTTACAGTCATCCTAAGAGAATTAAATGAGATAATATATAAAAGTACTTAGCATGGCACTTGGCTTATAGTAAATGTCCCAAAACAGCAGCTATTACGATGATTGCCAT
Source organism: Homo sapiens (assembly GCF_000001405.40). Classification (NCBI taxonomy): domain Eukaryota; kingdom Metazoa; phylum Chordata; class Mammalia; order Primates; family Hominidae; genus Homo; species Homo sapiens. The sequence goes on from NW_018654717.1 coordinate 4,680,919, forward strand.
TATTATTGGGATCAAGTGACATGTGGAAATGCCTGAAATATAGTCTATTCTCTACGGACATTAGTTTCTTTCCTTTTTCATAAGCAAGGTTGAGAGACAAGTAGCATCTGTGAGGGGGAACATTTTGGCATTTGGATACCCTGATTTGACGATTTTAGGCCTGAGATTGGGGAAAGATTGGAGAGGTGATGGCTACAGGGAGAAAGGCCAGGCATTGCAGGTGGTAGGTCTCATTTATTCATAATGTGGTGGTCGTGGTGGGAGAGTACGTTATGAATAAAAGGACTGCTAATGTGGGGGACATATGAATGGGGTGGATGAATACAAGCTCTTTATAACCTTCTTCACTGATCCCCCGACAATGTAAAGGTTATTAAGAGCTAGAAAATGCTGGTACCCCGCCCTGCCGCCTGGGAGGGCTGAACTGAAATGCGCTTCAGGTGTGATCTTTTGGCTCCACCTACCGGAAAGAGTTGGTACTTCATTCTCTTAAAAGCCCAGACCTCATAGTCGACTTCAGGCCCAATTGTTATCAGAGATTTTGGTTTTGTGTATGGGTTTATGGTTTTTAAAAAATTAATATAAATATACATTATATCAATAAGAATTTAGTTAGGCTGACTCCTAACTAAAGGAGTTGCTCAGGGTTACCCAGTGAGTGGCTAAGGTAGTTTTACTATTTGCATTGTTAGAAATAATCACTGATTACACGTTGCCCAGAATAAAGAACACCTGAGGCCTCTCATCAGACCACGCCTCAGGGCAATAAGGTGCAACGGGAGTCCGTGCACCTGACCGCATGGCCTGGACCAGAGGGGCTGCTCGGATCTCTGCAGACCTACTCCTAGTGCTCTCTGTCCTGGTCTGCATCATCTTCTCCAGAGATGATACGGCCTTTCCTGGGTCTGGGGTTTCCTGCAAGCAGCTCTGATACTTTTTTTTTTTTTCAGACAGAGTCTCAGCTGTGTTGTTGCCCAAGCTGGAGTGCAGTGGTGCAATCTTGGTTCACTGCAACCTCCACCTCCCAGGTTCAAGCAATTCTCCTGCCTCAGCCTCCTAAGTAGCTGGGACTACAGGCGCGCGCCACCACGCCTGGCTAATTTTTGTATTGTTAGTAGAGACGGGGTTTCACCATGTTGGCCAGGCTGGTCTCAAACTCCTGAGCTCAAGTGATCCACTCACCTTGGCCTCCCAAAGTGCTGGGATTACAGGCGTGAGCCACGGCGCTTGGCCTCTAATACCTTTTAATGCAAACTCAGTGCAATCCTCTCATTTGTCTGCAGGTGTCAGCAAATCTCAGGGAGTGACATGCAGTGTACCAAGACATGGTCTTTTGTCACTGCATTGTGGCAGAGATGGGCAGGAGAGGGGAATAAAGAAAATTGACAGTGATTTACGAGCAATGCCTCCAGCAGGGTTTGCCTAGGTTTCCTTCAGGAAGGCAGTGGCATCTTTGAGAAATCCCTTAAGATGTGGTCTAAATACCCGGGCACATCTTTCAGGGACTCTGCCATTTTTGCTGTTTAAATGCCCTAAGCTCTCCAAGCCACAATGTCCTCATCTGCAAAACTGAGAACCATAGTGCACGCACCTCCTAGGATGAAGCGTGATAAAAGATACTGACTTACATTTTATAGATAGCGACTGTACTCTGGAAGTCAGAATACGAAGAAATCCTTTTTGGTGAGAGTCGCCTTTGAGTGCCTCCCCTCATTCCTTCTTCTTGAGCTGACATCTGCCCAACTTATATTAAAAACTGGATAGGCAGCTTCTGCATAGATAGAATTGGTCACATCGGGGTAAACAAGGTGCCTGGAGGGAAGTCTTGGTTTGCAGGAAGGTTCCTGGGGCCTCTGAGAAGGGTCTTTTAGAACATCCGGAGACATTCACTTTGTTGCAGTTACAAGAGACCCAACTCATCCCTCAGACAGTCTCTTTTCCCAGGTCACAGACAGCAGGACAATTGAGTAGAGATTTGTTTTTTCTGACTTGCGTCTTGTGTGGGATGAGGGAGTTCTATGAAGGTGTCTGCTCTATTGGTGTCAAAATGAACAGAGGGTTGGTGGTTAATTTCTTAGTAATTTTACACAAATTCAGAGGCTTAAAAACAACAGAAACGTATTTCGCAGCTCTAGAGGTAGAAAGTTTGAAATCTGGTAGAGCTGTTCTTCCTCTTCTGTGTGTTGAATCTCTCTCTTTTCAAAAAACAAAAAACAAAACAAAAACCACACAACTTGGCAGGGCACAGTGGTTCACGTCTGTAATCCTAGTACTTTGGGAGGCTGAAGTGGGTGGATCACCTGAGGTCAGGAGTTCGAGACCAGCCTGGCCAATGTGGCAAACCCCCATCTCTACCAAAAAATACAAAAATTAGCTAGGTGTGGTGGCGGGCACCTGTAATCCCAGCTACTTGGGAGGCTGAGATAGGAGAATTGCTTAAACCCTGGAGGTGGAGGTTGCCGGGAGCCGAGATAGCACCACTGCACTCCAGCCTGGGTGACAGAGCGAGACTGCATCTCAAAAACAACAACAACAACAACAGCAACAACAAAAACCACCATGATGGCATTTAGGACACACTCAGATAATCCAAGATAATCTCCACATTTTAAGATCCTTCACGCACTCATATCTGCAAAGACTTTTCTTTGTAAGGTATCATTTACAGGTTTCACAGACCTGATATCTTTGGGCAACCATTTTCTACCCACCGCAGAGGAGCTTAGAGAGTCTGCCATTTGTTGCTAAGGGTGGAATCCAGTGGTCAGGAAACGAGGTTACTTAAGCAGAGATTCTGCTGTAATCTCTCCTGTGCTCCAAGACAGGATATGCTGAAGGAGCTGCGAGAAACTTTCTGGCTCAGCAGATGTGAAATTACCAGAAGTGTTAGAAGTATGGAGAATTGCTGTAATGCAATAGCTTTACATAGAGGCAACCAAAATCTGCAATTTGTAAAGAAGTAGGCTGTGGAGGAGGACTCAACACAGATTTCCTTCAGTTGCTCACCTCTGCGTTGCAGCAGGGAAACAGCTGCAGATAACATGTAAAGAAAGGGCCAAGGCTCTGCTCCAGTTAAACTTCTTTTGCGAAAGCAGGATTTCTGCTTCTGGGCAGATGGAGTAGACACACTGTTTTCTATACCTCCCACTAAATACAACTGGACATCATGGGCATTGCATGTCAAAGACAGTAAAACTCTGAGAGGTAAAGAAAAGAAGGCAGACCAGCTTGAAACCCCGGGATCCGAGGAACAACACAGTGGTGAATGCCCTGGTTTCTCTCTTTTTTTTTTTTTTTTTTGAGATGGAGTCTCTCTCTGTTGCCCAGGCTGGAGTGCACTGGCATGATCTCGGCTCACTGCAACCTCCGCCTCCTGGGTTCATGCCATTCTCCTCCCTCAGCCTCCCGAGTAGCTGGGAGTACAGGCGCCCGCCACCACGCCCGGCTAATTTTTTATATTTTTTAGTAGAGACAGGGTTTCACGGTGTTAGCCAGGATGTCCTGGTTTCTCTCTTGTCTTTCTTTCTCTCCCTCTCTCACTGCCTCATATATCTCAGATTTGGAGCTGATGAGGCCAGTAACCCAGAAGTCCCAAGTGGTAGAGGCAAGAAAGCACCAACAAAACCCTGCTCTCTCTAGCTAAAGGACAAGGAAAGACACAAGCTAGTAAGATGGAAAATTTGGGAAATCACTGCTCTTTTCTAGACAAACCCCACCAAAAACTCCCTCCTTGCAAGGCTGAATGGGGAGGCTGGGCTTCTATCCTCATGACACTGGAATAAGGCATCCTGACCTCCCAGCCAGGATAGGGTCACAGAAGTTTAAGTAGCGAACAGGGACATTCTCTCCCCTCCTGTGATGAGCTCCATCCTTGCAATGTCAGCAGAGGCCACATGGGGAGCCCAGATTCCTGCCTCCAAGGGAAGAAATGACATGTCCCTCTACTTCCCCACTAGGATGGTATCAGAGGAGGTCCAAGGAAGAGTCAGGGCTTCTGCCATTACCTGGGGTGATCAAGTTGCTCCAGATGTCTTCCTAGTTAGAACTTCAAAAGTATAGTCAGAGCCCGGGCGCGGTGGCTCACGCCTATAATCCTAGGACTTTGGGAAGCCAAGGCAGGCTGATCACCTGAGATCAGGAGTTCAAGACCAGCCTGGCCAACATGGCGAAAACCTGTCTCTACTAAAAATACAAAAATTAGCCTGAAGTGATGGTGCACTCCTGTGGTGCCAGCTACTCAGGAGGGTGAGGAGGAGAATCCCTTGAAACCGGGAGGCAGGAAGCCGAGATCGCACCACTGCATGCCCGCCTGGGTGACAGATTGAGACTCCATCTCAAAAAGTTAATTAATTAATAAAATAAAAAATGAAAGCGTTGTCAGAATTCTGGGATTCTAATCCCAATTCCACCATTTACCAACAGGATAATCCCAGACATATTTCCCCATCTCCACAGGGAAAACGACAGCACTGCCCACACTTCAGACTTCAGTTCACGCTGCTTCTCCCTAGGGTTTGTTTTGGGGCTCAGTGAGATGATGAGGTGTTAAAACACTAAGAGTTATTGAAGAAAGAAGTACAAAATAATGGCTATAAAAATTATTTGAGGGTGGGCACAGTGGCTCATGCTAGTAATCCCCGCACTTTGGGAGGCCGAGGCAGGCAGATCACTTGAGGTCAGGAGTTTGAGACCAGCCTGTCCAGCATGGTGAAACCCCGTCTCTACTAACAATGCAAAAATTAGTTGAGTGTGGTGGCACAGGCCCGTATTTCCAGCTCCCCGGGAGGCTGAGGCATGAGAATTATTGAACGGGAGGTGGAGGTTGCAGTGAGCTGAGATAGTGCCACTGCACTCCAGCCTGGGCGATGGAGTGAGACTGTGCCTCAAAATAATAATAATAATTTTAACAATTATTTGAAAAGAATAAGGAATTGAGTATTATTATTATTATTTTTAGTTGGAGGTCTGAAGTAGCTGTAGAACCTGCAGTATGCAGGCAGGATGGTTCACGACCAGCAATGTTACAGGGACCTCAGCCCCCATGTGTCCCTCCCTTGCCCTGGCCAGGTCTTGGGTGACTCATGAACTTTCCTAGTGTCCTTGCTTCTCCCGCTTGGACTGCAGTGGCACTGTCCCTCTTCTGCTGCCTCCCAGCTCCGCCTCACTGATGGAGATGCCTTTATTTTAATCTCTTACAGTGCCCTGGAGAAATACCACTTGCCGTATTTAATTGAATCTAAAATGTCCTTCATTTTAAGCTCCATCATTAGCTGATGTACCACAAAGAGAGGAAAAATCATTGTCAATGAGACTATGACATGGTGTCTTAATGACAGGCCTGCCTGATGAGTGAATTGGCCACACCAACCTCTTTGTTGCGTTGGAATTTCTTTCATGGATTCTAAAGGGCTTGACAATTTCCCCTGCCTTCAGCTGCACTGCTTGGCTTCTGCTGGGCATTCCCTTTTTATAGCTCGATAATTCGGTATGAATTAGCTTCACTTTATGTTCACTAAAGCAGGGCACTCAGACTTTAATATGCCTGCAAATCAATGGGACTTTGTTAAAATGCAGATCCTGATTCAGTAGGTTTGGGGCAGAGCCTGAAATTCAGAATTTCGATCCATCTCCCAGGCGATGCTGCTGGTCTGTGGACCACACTTTGAGCAGCAAGGTTGTAAAGCACTTGGTTTGTTCTGCAAGAGAATATGGAATTGCAAGCATTCCTCCCGTCATGAATATTCACTTCACAAATAACAAATGTATGTACCCCCCCGCCCCACCCGCTCTGTCTCCTCACCTTTCTGAATACACCGTAAGTTTTCCTTTCAATGCTGAATCATAGTATAATCTTTCTGAAGGCATTTTACATGGCAATTAAACCCGGCACATGAAGTGCCAACAGTGCACATAATCCCGCTGAAGTGATGACAACAGCCACAGCTGTGAACAAGTTTGCACATGCCGCAAAGACAACGAGGTCACGTGGGCGCCTGGCGGGCGGCGATTGTAGGATGCTTTCGATCTATTCCAATGTCAGAGAATTCAGAGCTGTTAAAAGGTGAAAAAAGTCTACATCTTAGAATCATTGCAAAGTGGAAAGTAATTTATTCTTTCAGTTTCTTCCATTTCTCCCTTTCCTACTTCCTGCTCTGCTGTCAACTTGAAGACATTTTTTTTCAGTGGCTGATGCCTGTCACAAATTTCCTTTGCTTTTACGGAGTGAGTTTGCTATCCCATCCATCCGGGCCCATCCAGAGCCCTGCCTGGGAGATGGCAGCTCTTACCCCATGACCTTGTTGAAGGGTTTTTGTGCTGGGACTGTCTGTTACCTTCCAGGCTGGCTGCTCATCCTCTTCCCCAGAAGCCCATGAATTATAATCCCTCCTGGACACTTACTTGGCATGACCACACTTTCTGCGAGCTTGCAAAATGAGTGCCCTGCCTGGGATGCTTGCTGGTAATGCACTGAGCCTAGCGCAAGATAGGTGCTTGGAGAATGTCTGTTGAATGCTTTGGGGAGACAGTACGCAACTGATCAGAATGCCTGGAATTCTTGAGTCACTGAGGATGCATTTTTATCTGCAGAGACCACGGACTGCATGAGTGCTTGACATCAGCTGGGGGTGAGGTTGGGGTGGCAATTTCCATTAGCTATGCTTGGAATTTTTCTCACCACTTGACATATTATCAACCCTTGACCTAGAGTGGAGTATCACCCGAAAGAGGGGACAGGATAAACAAACATGGAAAGAATTTAAATCTCTAGCTCCACATTTCCCAAAATATTTTCTAGGAAGAAACATTTGAGTTTCCAGGGATTTTGATAGGTTTGCTTCCAAAATGACTCTGCCTACTGTGTGAAGTAAGCACACATCTCCACTTGTCTTCCATTGAACTCAACTCTAAAACCTGAACAGAATATGTATCAAATAAGATTGGGAAATTCTGGAATGAAATTGAAATTCAAGTGAAACAGTTTTCTTTCCTGCACACACCTGGGTCATCTTTATTAAGTGTGCATCTCTAAGAAGGGGTTTATTTGTAATTAATAGTTCTCAAACAATTTGATTACATTACAGATTGCTTTTCCCCCCAAGAAGCATCACAAGAGATATGCTGCTTTGTGGCCGGGCGCGGTGGCTCACGCCTGTAATCCCAGCACTTTGGGAGGCTGAGGCTGGTAGATCACCTGAGGTCGGGAGTTCAAGACTACCCTGGCCAACATGGTGAAACCCCATCTGTACAGAAATACAAAACTTGGCCGGGCATGATGGCAGGTGCCTGTAATCCCTCCTACTTGGGAGGCTGAGGCAGAAGAATCACTTGAACCTCGGAGGCAGATGTTGCAGCGAGCTGAGATTGTGCCCCTGCACTCCAGCCTGGGCGACAAAGCAAGACTCCAGCTAAAAAAAAAAAAAAAAGCTACAGTGTTTCAATGTTGTCTGTGTCCCCACACGCAGATTGAATAGATATGACACCTTGCATATATATATATATGTATATACAAAATCTCACTTTGTTGCCCAGGCTGGAGTGCAGTGTTGTGATCACAGCTCACTGCAGTCTCAACTTCCCTGGCTCAGGTGATTCTCCCACCTCAGCATCCCGAGTAACTAGGACCACAGGCATGTGCCACCATGCCTGGCTAATTTTTGTATTTTTTGTAGAGACAAGGGTCTCACTATGTTGCCGAGGCTGGCCTTGAACTGCTAGGCTCAAGTGATCCTCCTGCCTTGGTCTCCAGAAGTGCTAGGATTATAGGCAGGAGCCACCACGCCTGGCCACCTTGCATATCTTAAATGAAAGTTATACTTTCTTTTGATAGCTGTCATGTTTTGGAGAAAACAACCTATCATTTCATGGTAACTTTGACTTGGCCTATCCTATGAGTGGCTATAAATGGTTACTTCTTCTAGTTTACTCATTATACCAGGCTTGCTATTTGTCCCTGCTGAGTGGCTCATGTGGCAATAATTAATGCAATTATATAGCAAGATTAGCTTTTCTTTCATAAAACTCAGTGAGCTTGATGAACCAAGAGGGCAAAGGAAAAGAAGTAATGAAGCAGCTTGTAATTGCACAAAGATGAGCTGCTAGAGTCTACACTGCTGGAAATTTGATGTTGAGGAGATCTGAATCTTTAAGTTATTTCCCTAATTCTATATTGGGAATACGGAGGAAGGAAAATCAACAAAGAGCTTTGTTAGAAAGCATATTGAGTATTAATCAATACTTAAAGGATAACGTTTGCTCAAACATAGAGTACCTAGAATTTCTTTTTTAAGACACAGTTTCACGTAGGATAAAGTCTATTAAATTTTGCAGTGTAATAAACTGCTATAAAAATAGAAGATTGGCCAGGCAAGGTGGCTTACACCTGTAATCCCAGCACTTTGAGAGGCCAAGGCAGGTGGATCACTTGAGGTCAGTAGTTCGAGACCAGCCTAGCTAAAAGAGTGAAACCCTGCATCTACCAAAAAATACAAAAAATGGCTGGTTGGGGTGGGGTCCCAGCTACTCCAGGTGGAAGAATCGCTTGAACTTGGGAGGTTGCAGTGAGCTGAGATTGCACCACTGCACTTCAGGCTGGGTGAAACAGAGAGAGATCCTGTCTTTTAAAAAAAAAAGAAGAAGAAGAAGAAGTTTAATGCAACATCATTGCTTGAGCCACAGTTTCTGTACGTCAGAAGTCCTGGCAGGCTTTTCTGCCTTAGTTCTCTTTTATTGCTTTTTTTTTGAGATAGAGTCTTGGTCTGTCACCCAGGCTGGAGTGCAGTGGTGCGATCCCAGCTTACTGCAACCTCCACCTCCCAGGTTCGAGCAATTCTCCTGCCTCAGCCTCCCAAGTAACTGGGATTACAGGCATGCAGCACCACGCCTGGCTAATTTTTGTTTTTAGTAGAGATGGGGTTTTGCCATGTTGGCTAGGCTGGTCTAGAACTCCTGACCTCAAGTGATCCACCTGCCTCGGCCTTCCAAAGTGCTGGAATTATAGGTGTGAGCCACCACAGCTGGCTTGATTTTCTGCCCCAGTTCTTACAAGTCTGCAATCAGGTGTCAATTGGGGTCACATTTGAGGCTCAGGGTTCTCTTCCAAGCTCATGTGGCTGTTGGCAGAATCCATTTCCTTGCAACTGGAGAACTCACAGAGGCTGCATCTTCAAGGCTGACATCTATCTGGCTTTGAAATTCTCTGACTCCTTTTAAAGGCTCATCCGATTAGATTAGGTTCATCTAGAATAATCTTTTTTTTATTAATTCAAAGTCAACTGATTAGGGATCTTAATTACATCTGCAAGATCTCTTCTGCCATATAAAGCAAAATAATTATGGGAGTGGTATTCCATTGTACCCACAAATCCTGCTCACATTCAAGGGAAGGGGCTCATAATGAACATGTAACCAGGGGGTAGGACTCTTGGGACCCAGCTTAGAATTCTGCCTACCTCCCACTAAGCCCAACTCTGAAACCTGGACAGGGTACAATGACAGCTATTTGAAAACTCTGCAAAATAAATAACAGTAGGAAATCAGGGAACAACACCAGAATTCTAAGAGCCATAGAACTGGCAGATAGAAACAAGACCCAGCATAATACTGAAAATGTTCAGGATACAAACCAAAATTACTTGTGATATTAAAAAACCTCTAATTGTGAAGTGGCATCGTTGTCTGGGGTAAATACCTGAGGTTCGTTGTCTGACAGCCACAGAAAACTAGGACATTAAGACATAAAGAGTGAGCTTAAGAGCAGAAGTTTAATAGGTGAAAGAAAGAGAAGAGCTCTCTCCTGCAGAGATAGGGGTCCTGAACGGGTCACCAGTCTACGGTGAAATGCAGAGCTTGAGGAGGTAGTGTCTGATGTATACAGGTCCCAAAACATTGGTCGGACCAGGTGTGCCATTTGCATAAGGCACAAAAAAGCTGGTTAGGACTAGGTGTGCCATTTGCATAGGGTGTGAAAAACTGGCTTCTCCCACCCTAATCTTGTATTATGGATGGGTTCTCTACCTGGCTGCAGCCATGTCGCCTGTTTCTTTACTGTACACTTGGTAATAAAGAGAAGGGAAGATGGAGCCTCCATGTTGGATGTGCCTGGCCCCCGGGTAGCCCTTTTCTGTTGGTACACTGCTGGCATTCACACATGCAAGCTTCCAGCTTGATTATCTATCTTTGCAGCTTAAGTTTTCAGGCTGCTCCTTGATAGAAAAAATAATTTCTTGGGCTACTTTTTGTTAGAAGGGAAGCCTTGCTGAAGACTCTTTACCCTCACTATTTGCCTAAATAATTTATTTCTAGCTCCTGTATCATTTGCATGGGAAAAGAAAATCAACAGACACCAATGATTAGATGACACAGATAATAGAATATTCTAGAAGGACATTAAAGAAGCTATTATTAACGAGCAAGTCCAAACACTCTTGTAACTTTGGATTTAATTTGGTCTTACTTTTTCTAGTTTCTTAAGGTTGAAGATGAGGTAATTGATTTCAGAACGTTCTTCTTTCTAGTGTAGGCATATAGTGTTACACATTTACCCTAAGAACTGCTTTAACAGCATCCTGAAAATTTCTATATGTTCATTTTCATTTAACTGAAAATACTTTCTAATTTCTCTTTTGATTTCTTCTTTAATCCATTTAGTATTTACAAGTATATAATTGTGTATTATTTAGTTTCCATCATCCAAATAATTGGGATTTTCCAGAGATCTTTTCATAATCGATTTGAATTTACTTCCATTGTGGTCAGAGAACATACTTAGTATGACATGAACACTTCCAAATTTATTGTAACTTGTTTTATAGCCCAGAATATTGTCTATCTTGGCAAATGCTCTGTGTGTCTTTGAATACACTGTGTGTTTTGCTGTTGCTAGGTGGAGTGTTTTATAAACGTCAATTATGTCAAGTTGCTTAACAGTGACTTTCAAATCTTTGATAAGCTTGATGACTTTCTTTTTACTTCTGTCAATCAGAGAGCTAATTATTGAAATCTCCAAGTATAATTTTGGATTTATTTTGTTCTCTTTGTAGTTCTAACAATTTTTGCTTTATGTAGTTTGAAGCTCTGTTATTGTGTGCCACTGTTACTAATTTGCCACTCCAATTTTCTTTTGATTAGTATTAGTATGGTATATCATTAAAAATAATTTTTAAATTATTTTACTTTACCCGTGTTTTAATATATAAAGAACATTTCCTTCTCCTCTTCTTCTTCTTCTTTTGACTTAACAACAGAAATTTATTTTTTCACAGTTCTGGAGGCTGAAAGTCTGAGATCAGGGTGCCAGCATGTTTGGGTTCTGGTGAGGGCTCTCTTCCTGGCTTGCCAACAGCCACCTTCTCACTATGTGCTTACATGGCCTTTCCCTGGTGCCAGTGTGGGTGGGGGCCAGGAGAGCAAGAAGAGCATGTCTTATAGACAGTATTTATTTCGGTCTAGATTTTCAATCCAGTCTGACCATTTCTGCAGTTAATCAAGATTGTTTAGCTCATTTACATTTAATGTGATTATTGATATGATTAGGTTTAAATCTGCCATCTTGCTGTTTGTTTTCTAGATGTCCTATCTGTTCTTTACTCACTTTTTTCTATTTTTGCCATCTTTTGAATTAACTGATCCTTGAAATAATTTTTTTTTTATTATTGGCTTACTAACTATAAATCTTTTTGTCATTTTAGTAGTAAAATATAGTGTATATAGTTTATAGTGGAGAGCATATAATTCTAATTTTTCACTGTCTTCTTTTGTCTGACCTACCACTTTATGTGTAAGAATCATACAATAGAGGCTGGGTGTGGTGGCTCATGCTTGTAATCCCTGCACTTTAGGAGGTCAAGGTGGGTGGATCACGAGGTCAGGAGTTTGAGACCAGTCCGGGCAACACAGTGAAACCCCATCTCTGCTAAAAATACAAAAAAAAATTAGCTGGGCATGGTGGGGGGCACCTGTTATCCCTGCTACTTGGGAGGCTGAGGCAGGAGAATTACTTGAACCCAGGAGGTGGAAGTTGCAGATCCGAGATCGTGCTACTGCACTGCAGCCTGGGTGACAGAGCTGAGGTCAGCAGATCGAGACCATCCTGGCTAACATGGTGAAACCCTGTCTCTACTAAAAATACAAAAATTTAGCCAGGCATGGTGGCAGGTGCCTGTAGTCCCAGCTACCCAGGAGGCTGAGGCAGGATAATGGCGTGAACCCAGGAGGCGGAGCTTGCAGTGAGCCGAGATCGCACCACTGCACTCCAGCCTGGGTGACAGAGCGAGACTCCATCTCAAAAAAATAAAATAAAATAAAATAAAAAGAATCACAGAATAGAATATTTCTATTTCCCCCTCCTGGTTGCTCTGCTAGCACTGTAATATATTTTACTTACACGTATGAAGTTTAACTACATTGTTCTTATTTTTGTTTAAATATTCAGTTATCTTGTAAATAGATTTAATAAGAAAAATCACATATAGTTACAATTTTTGGTGTTCCTTTTTTGTGAAGCTCCTTACTTCCTTCTGCCTAAAAGACTCTAAAATGTCTTGCAGTGTGGATTTGCTAGTGAATTCTTTCAGTTTTTCTATGTTTGAAAACATCTTCATTTCATCTTTGTTTCTGAGAGATATTCTTGCTTGGTGTAAAATTCTAGCTTGATAGTTTTTATCTTTCAATGTTTTGAAGATGTCTGTTGGCTTACATTGTTTTCTATTAAAAAAATCTATTCTCATCTTTATTTTTGTTTCCTCTTTATGTAACATCTTATTATTTTCCTCTGGCTGCTCTAATATTTTGTGTCTATTATTGATTTCTTTAACAATTTGATTATGATATGTCTTAGTGTTTTGTTTCATGCTTCTTTTGCTTGGGGGTTTGTTGAACTTCTTGGATCTGTGAGTTTTTAGTTTCAATTAAGTTTGCAATGTTTTCAACTGTCATTTCTTCAAATATTTGTTCAGTTGCCTCTCCTCTCCTCTGGCAACTCCACTGCACGTGTATTAGGCCAGTTGAAGTTGTCTCAGAATTCACTGATCCTCTTTTAATTAAAAATTTTTTTTCCAGACAAGCGTGGTGGCTCACACATGTAATCCCAGATTTTGGGAGGCCGAGGCAGGTGGATCACATGAGCTCAGGAGTTCAAGACCAGCCTGGTCAACATGGCAAAACGCCATCTCTACTAAAAAAACACACAAAAAAATTAGCCAGGTGTGATGGCACACACCTGTAATCTCAGCTACTCAGGAGGCTGTGGCAGGATAATTGCTTGAACCTGGGAGCCGGAGGTTGCAGTGAGCCAAGATTGCACCACTCTACTCCAGCCTGAGCAACAGAGTGAGATTCTATCTCAAAAAAAGAAAAAAAAAATTGTTTTTCCTCTCAGTGTTTTTATTTTGGATAGTTTCCATTGCCATGGTTTCAAATTTACAGATCTATTTTTTTGCTATGTCTAATCTACTATTAATCCCATCAATTTTTTAAATTTTTGATATTGTAGTTTTTTATTCACAGAAGTTCAATTAGAGTATTTTTGTTAAATCATTTTTCTCTACTTAACTTTTTGAATATCTGGAATATGGTTATAATTGCTCAATGTACTCGTCTACTAATGATAACATCTGTGTCAGTTTCGAGTCAGTTTTGAATTATTTCCCCCATCATGTGTTATATTTTCCTTATACTTTCTATGTTTGATAATCCTTATCAGATACCACCCGTTGTGGTTACTACCATTTTTGGATACGTGATACTTTGCTTTCCTATAGCTGTTCTTAAGCTTTTCTCTGGGATGCAATTAAGTTGCTTGGGTATAGTTTGAGCCCTTCAGATTTAGATTTCATAATTTGTGAGGTGGATCTGGAGCAGTGTTTGGTCTGCGGCTAATTATTTCCCACCGCTAAGACAGAATGTTCATGAGTATTCTGCCCAGTGTTCAAAAATGTGTTTTCTCCCTGGCTGGCTGGTGGGAGGGAACAGCTAATAGTCTTGACACTTGGTGAACACTGTGTGCTTTTCTCTGATCCTTTCAGATGTTTTCGCCCCTCTGGCATTGAGTAGTATCTTCACATGCTGTCACGATCAATACTGTGTGAATATTGACAGAACCCCGTCCAGATCCCAGGATTCTCTCTCTGTACAACTATCTCTGCTGGTTCTCTGTCCTGTAAACTCCAGCTGCCTTGCTATCCCTGGACTCTCATTTCCATCTTCTTGCCTAAAGGAGTCCACCAGCTTCTACCTGGGTTCTCCCTTCCTGTGCCACAGTCTGGAAACTGTCTCAAGACAGTGAGCTGGGGCAAAAATAGGGCTCCACTAATTTGTTTCCCATCTCTTGGAGGTCACTGTGCTTCATTGCCTGATAACCAACGTCTTGCAAACTGTCATTTAATACATTTTGCTGTTCTTGTTTGTGTGTGTTCATACTGGTTTCAGGCAGGTGGCAAAATGTGTCCACCTTAAGTCAAAATCTGACTCCATCTTAAGCAGAAACAGTTTTCTTCCAGCAGTGTATCCTTGCCACGTATATTGAATAATCACAAAATGTTTTGCTGATGCAAAAGTGAGATGCTGGGAGGTTAAAGGCCTCACCACAGAGCCATCTCCCCGTGATGCTACCTCCTGGAGGAAGGGCATGCACTTTTCGTGTCTTTGCGAGAGAAGTTTTAGTAGAATCTTTCCATCCTGGCACGTTACTTGGCTATAATTACATTACAAATGCTAATGGGAGTTATAATCACAATTATGCTAATCTCTGTGTTTAGTGCCTACTGTTGCAAGCAATTATGGCCAATGAGCTCAATTTGTAAGTTAGCATTTATTAAAGTTAGCCACTGAAATATTCTGTCTTAGGCAGACTGCCTCTAACATTTTTGACTAAAGTGATTTACTTAAACAATTTCCTAATAGGGAATAAGTACTTACAAAAAGGCTTTTCATCTTCATTTTCCTTTGATGAAACAGAAAGGAAAACATGCCTGGAGTCAATGTTTTGGCCTGTCTATTAGATAACAAGGGCTCTGTGAAGTTCTTTAAAAATATTTCAGAGAAAGTTTTCTGAACAAACTGCCCAGCTCTGGCTCAGAGCTCTTACAGGAACTGTAGAGGAATTGATGAGGAGAAACCTCACATCCCAAATGGCAGCAAATAAGAGACTTGGCAGCCTGTGTAGGCAGTGGAAGACAATTAGGACAGGAAATTAAACACACACACGATCTCTTTATATTTACGTTTCATGCATTTATCTGGGAGTCCATCAAAAGCAGATATGTTAAATGGATGTAGAACTAGACAGGCAAGATTCTAAAGCATACATTTTTCTCATTGCTAAAAGGAGAACTGTAACTGAGATGGTCTTGAGGGCGTTTGCTTTTTCCAGGAGTTGATAATTTTCTGATCATCAACTCCAGGGTCCAGGACCTCATGCTGGCCTGAGCTTCTCAGGGCCCACCTTGGGGTACCCAGCAGGACTTATTACAGTGGAGCCTGGCATCTACCAACATGTGACCTTCTCTCCCAGTTTCTGTGCTCCATGTCTTTAAGGCCTGATGGTTCTTCTTGGTTTATCTGATCAACGAATACAAGGAAGGCACTGCTTGTATTGTGGGTGCGCTGTGGGGCACAGGCAGGAAATGCACAAGATAACCCCTGAGCACTTCCAGCCTGTGTCCTGCCCAGCGCACCTGCAAGGGGAGGGAAGAAAATCATAGAGCTGTTATTTATATTTATTTTTATTTCATTATTTTCTTATTTATATTTCATAATGTTTATAATATATTAGGTATAGTAATATGAACGTGTGATTCAAACATATATACGTACAATAATACACCCATCTAATTTATACACAGTTAACCCTAAACTTGCCCTAATTGTGTAAATCTCCTTTCTAGGTATTCTATCAATTTGTCGTCTTTTTTTTTTTTTTTTTTTGAGACAGAGTCTCACTCTGTTGTCCAGGCTGGAGTGCAATGGTGCCCCCTTGGCTCACTGCAACCCCTGCCTCCTGAGTTCAAGCAATTCTCCTGCCTCAGCCTCCCAAGTAGCTGGGATTACAGGTGCATGCCACCATGCCCAGCTAATTTTTGTATTTTTAGTAGAGATGGGATTTCACCATGTTGGCCAGCCTGGTCTTGAACTCCTGACCTCAGGTGATCCGCCCGCCTCGGCCTCCCAAAGTGCTGGGATTACAGGTGTGAGCCGCCACGCCTGGCCAATTTGTCTTCTTGAAGACAACTCTGTCAGAGCCTCCGAACCTGTGCCAATCTGGGTTTCTGGCTCTCTGGGTTTGCCGTATACCTGTCGCCTTATGCTGTCTCTTGGCCAACATTTGGGAATGATCGTTGCTTCTTTCTCTCTTTAGTTGCATGGATCTCGTATCTTCCTTTCTCTGGGTATATTTCTGGCATATCTAGCTTCCTGAGAAAAGAGTAAAAGGAAGGTGTGGTGTTATGATATATATCGGTTTTTGTCCCCAGTTCCTGGCTCATAAGTCCCATAGCCCTTGTTAGTCATTTGTTATAATTCTGGTTTGTGTTAGGCCTCAGGAAACAGAATCTCTCCAACCTTCTCCTGCCCTCCTTTCATCTGCCCCAAGGCAGGACTCTAATCTTCCCCACCTTTCTGATGTGGGTCTTTAGATTCTCCTCAGAAAGGGTCCCACCCAATACCCCGGGGGAAGGCCTGCTGACATGAAGTTTGACGAAAAATCCAAGAAGACAGGGTTCAGTGAGCTTCTGGGTGGCTGAACACAGGGAATTTTCTGGAGGGTGGCACCCAGGGAGGGCATGGAAGCTCTGCACCCCTTCTGTCCTACCTCACCCTATGCATCTCTTCATCTGTATCCTTTGTAATACCTTTTATAATAAACCAGTAAATGTAAGTAAGTGTTTCTTTCAGTCCTGCGATTTGCTCCCACAAATTAATCCAACCCATAGAGGAGGTGGTGGGAACCCCAACTTGAAGCCCATTGATCAGAAATTCCAGAGGCCAGGCATGGTGGCTCACATTTGTAATCTCAGCACTTTGGGAGGCCGAGGTGGGTAGATCACATGAGGTCAGGAGTTTGAGACCAGCCTGGCCAACATGGTGAAACCTGGTCTCTACTAAAAATACAAAAATTAGCTGGGTGTGGTGGTGGGCACCTGTAGTCCCAGCTACTTGGGAGTCTGAATCAGGAGAATCACTCAAACCTGGGAGATGGAGGTTGCAGTGAGCTGAGATCATGCCACTGCACTGCAGCCTGGGTGACAGAGGGAGACTCCATCTCAAAAAATAAAAAAATAAAATAAAAAGAAGTTGCAGAGACCTGGATTTGCAACTGGAGGAGGGGCAGTCTTGTGGACTGAGCCCCCAACCTGTGGGATCTGACATTATCTCTGGGTAGACAGTGTGGGAACTGAATTGGAGGACACCCAGCTGGTGTCCACATATTTGTTACAGAAGTCTTCTGTGTTGATGATTGTTGTGGTGGTGTGAGTAGAGGGGAAATGTGGTATGAGTTTTTCTCTACACAGAAGGAATCCTTAAAGACTTTGTACATTTGAAAAAAAAAACTTTGGTGTTTTTTCACATTTAATCAATAATTTGGCTGGATATGGAAATCACTTTCCCTTAGAAATTTGAAGGCATTGCTCCCTTCTCCTCTAGCTTCTAGTTGTTGTTGAGGAAATTGAGGCCATTCTGATTCTTGATCTTTTGGATAAAACCTTTTTTATTTCTCTTTTCGTGTTGGAAATTTGTCAGATGTTTTCCACAGCTTCCCTCTAAAGAGTAACCACCATGATGACTTCTTGCACCTCCAGCCCTTGGTGAATGTTTTATGGTGGAATCACAGGGTATGTGCCCTTTTGTGCCTGGCTTCCTTCACTTATCATCCTGTTTGTGAGGTGCATCGCAGTGTACAGCAGTGACTACTCAGTCTCATTGTGGTATGAAAATCTATTGTAGGCTGGGCACGGTGGCTCATGCCTGTAATCCCAGTACTTTGGGAGGCTGAGATGGATGGACCACAAGGTCAAGAGTTCGAGACCAGCCTGGCCAACATAGTGAAACCCCATCTTTACCAAATACAAAAATTAGCCGGGCATGGTGGCAGGTGCCTGTAATCCCAGCTACTCAGGATGGTGAGGCAGGAAAATCCCTTGAGCCTGGGAGGCGGAGTTTGCAGTGGGCTGAGATTAAGCCGTTGTACTCCAGCCTGGGCAACAGACAGAGCAAGACTACATCTCAAAAAAAAAAAAAAAAAAAAAGCAATTGTAGAATAAAGCACAATGTATATATTCCAAATGTCCATTGTGTGTATCATCTTATATTTGTTTTATGGATTCAATATATTGTCTTGTCTTTCTGAGAATATTATTAATTAAGCCCAGCATGGTAGCTCATGCCTATAATCCCAACACTTTGGGAGGCCGAGGCAGCAGGATAGTTTGGAGCCAGGAGTTCGAGACCAGCCTGGGCAACAAAGTAAGACTCCATCTCTACAAAAATGAAAATAAATTAGCCAGGCGTAGTGATACCTAAATGTAGTCCCAGCTACTCAGAGGGCCTGAGGTGGGAGGATCGCTTGAGCCAAGGGGTTCGAGCCTGCAGTGAGCTATGGTAACGCCACTGCTTTCCAGCCTGGGTGACGGAGTGAGACCCTGTCTTGAACAACAATAAAAAAATTAGGTGATTTTTTTCTTAGCTCCTGTGTAGTCTTTATTTCCTAAGTTACTTCTAAAAACTGGTTCAAGTCTTTCCTGTGCTTTCCTCAAATGTCTGGTAATCCTTGGCTTTCTGCTTTTATTTATGCTTGAGGCTCTAAAAAGTTGATTGCTAGAGCTCTGTGCTCATGAGTGGGTCTCTAACTGTGGCGTTTGTTTGTAGGGTGATCTGACTACATTATTTTCTTGGAAGACATCCTTAGTGTTGGTATCTTTAATTTTTTCTCCTTCTCTTGAGCTAATTGTATTACTCAGGAAATAAACATTTAAGCTAAGGTATAATCTTGACTCCCAACAGTTTGAGAGCCAACTGGGAGAGGAAGACTGGGGAAACTCAACTTTGGTACTGCAACTGCCTTTGCAAAATTATGACTGAGACAGTGAAAGAGATTTAACTTCATGACTCCATCTTGCTTCTAACGTCCAAGCTGTCCTTGTTCATTCCTGGGTGTAGGCTGAGCTAACTTTGGGAGAAACTTAGTTTATAGTTTATAGTTTAGACTGGGCGTGGTGGCTCATGCCTGTAATCCCAGCTACTCGGGAGACTGAGGCAGGAGAATCGCTTGAAGTGGGGAGGTGGAAGTTGCAGTGAGCCCAGATCATGCCATTGCACTCCAGTCTGGGAAACAAGAGTGAAACTCCATCTCAAAAAAAAAAAAAAAAAAAGCAGGCTAACAGATGAGCTGTTTTATGTTTTAAAAAGATTTAAAAAGATAAGAATGTTTTGTCATTGTGGTGAAATGTATTCTGTCTCTCTCTCTCTCTCTTGCCCACATGATCATTAATTTCTTTCTGCAGAGTTCACCTTGAATGCAAATTTGAACACATCTCTCTGATCCTGCCATATGTTTTCTTGGTTGTTGCCATGATTTCATTAGCTATTGTAGAGTTTAGAACCAGCTGATGCTCTAAAAGTGATTTCTGATGCTGGAACTTATAAGATACAACTACCTTTAACTTTATTTAAAAATTAGAATCTATGTAGAGAAGGTAGGCATGCAGGTGTTAACTCTTTCCTATCCTATAATACTGGGAATGGCAAATGGAATGAGTTGATTTTTTTCCCCCAATTCCAGTGGCCAAAACTGAGCACGACTGAACAACTAAAAAATGAGCCGGGAGTACTGTAGAATTGCATAATCAAGGCAAGCAATTAATATTAATAGTGTGATCTTTACAGTTTTGACAATGTGAAATAAACTTAGTAATTTTTTTTTGTTTTGTGTTGGTTTTTGAGACGTAGTCTCGTTCTCTGGCCAGGCTGGAGTGCAGTGGCACAATCTCAGTTCACTGCAACCTCCACCTCCTGAGTTCAAGTGATTCTCCTGCCTCAGCCTCCTGAGTAGCTGGGATTACAGGCACATGCCACCAGGCCAAGCTAATATTTCTATTTTCAGCAGAGATTGGGTTTCACCATCTTGGCTAGGCTGGTCTTGAACTTCTGGCCTCAAGTGCTTCACCCACCTCGGCCTCCCAAAGTGCTGGGATTACAGGCACGAGCCACTGTGTCTGGCCGGCAAGCCGACTTTAAAGACAGGGAAAGTATACTGATAATATAGGACAGGATTTCTTGCTTCAGGACCAGTTATTGTATTGCGGATTCTTGACGCATTTCTGCACCATGCATAAATAATCCACCTATCGGTCATAAATTGACTCTATTAAGAATAGTATAATAAATCAATGAAATAAAAACAAAGAAATCCACAGTCATACACTTTTCATGAGACTATCGTAAGGAAATGAGAGGGTTGTGATCTGGCCAGGTGAAGTTAGAGCTATCATGAGATGCCTCGAATGCATTGTGAGATGCACTAACAAATGCAGCAATTCAGAATTATTGCAGCGACTGGGAACTAGCCACTTTTGCCAGAAATGCTGTCACATCAGGTGGGGAATACTTTGCTCTTTTTTTTTTTTTTTTTGAGACAGAGTCTGGCTCTGTTGCCCAGGCTGGAGTGCAGTAGTGTGATCTGTGCTCACTGCAACCTCTGCTTCCTGGGTTCAAACAATTCTCCTGTCTCAGCCTCCCGAGTAGGTGGGATTACAGATGCTCACCACCACGCCCGGCTAATTTTTGTATTTTTAATAGAGACGGGGTTTCACCATGTTGGCCAGGCTGGTCTCGAACTCCTGACCTCAGGTCATCCACCCGCCTCGGCCTCCCAAAGTGCTGGGATTACAGGTGTGAGCCACTGCACCTTGTCATCACTTTGCTCTTTTCTACAGATCAAGTGACCTTTCAGGACGTGAAAGGTCCTCATGCTTTTTAGGGTCAACTGGGCACCCCTGGCTGAGGCACATTCCAGCAGACTAAAGTCAAGTTGTCTTTCACCTCAGCACACAACCAAGAGAACAAGTCCTGGCATCATGAATGTGACACAGCTCTCCTTGTGTTTGGGGAAAAAAAAAAAAAAGAATTGAATCTGGGCCTGTTAATAATGCAGTCCACCGGTTTGTGCCCAAGACGTTGAATCTGAGAGTAGTGGCCATTTCCGAAAGATGATCTGAGCCTAAAGGAACTACATAACCTTTCCCCCTGCTTGTCTTTGAAGACCCAGTTACCTTGAAGTCACCTCTTTATACCAGCAGCAACACCCCAGTCTCCATTCACAAATTATCTCCGATGCAGCCTCCCTGGGAAAACTTAAAAGCCTATTTAACAAGAGGAGCCTGCTGCCAAGAAGTTGGCTTGGGAGAATGGCGGTAATTAAATGATGTTAATATTTAGGCTCTTGCCGGTATAACAAAGCCTCCTTTCTTTGTCTCAGGTGGGGACATGTTAGCACATTGCCTCTGTCTGGGAAAGGAGGCGAGCAAGGGAGGAAAGAGACTATTGTGGGGGTGTGAGAAAGGGGAAGAGGGGAGCAGCGAGGCAGGGAGGGGAGGCTGACTTCTGAGATCTGAAAGAAGAGATTGATGCTGGGAGAGAGAGAAGCTTAATGTTGATATTCATCAGAGATGAGCCCCTTGGCATTGCAGCCTGAGACTTATCAGAAAAGGTGAGAAGGAACAAAGCTACCTTCTTTGTTAAATGGTTTATTGTCTGTGAGAGGAGGGGCAGGGAGCAGTGCAGGGTTTCGGGGAGAGGCCAAGGGAAAGAAGAATAAAGAGAACTGTCCTAGGAATTTCGCACTTTGTACTTGGCTAGAGCCAGGAGGCTGCTAAATTCTCATCAGTAGCCTCAGTTCCAGTCTTGCAGTGGTGAGAAGAAAGGACTGGGAAGATGGAAATTGGAGTTCCAATAACCAGCATTTCCTCTTTCTAGTTCTGTGATCCCTTGTGAGTTGTGAAACAATCAATCACATCTCTAGGAATGGGGAGTTGCCCCTCGCTGGCCAGACTCCCCCGCTGCCATGTGCACTAACAGAGGGCGACCCTACCATCCTGTTGGTCTGGGTGCATGAACACGTCTGTGCTGTTTTGTCTGCTCCAGCGTGTGCTTGTCTCATGATTTGAGTTGATCCAGAGGTCGGTGTGATGGATGTATCCTGCACATCTAATAAATAAGTAAATTCGTGCCACTTCCTTTAGCTAAAGCAATTTCATCTGTTCAGCCCACAAAGAGGATAAATGGAATGCACAGCTCAGGGCTCAGGGCCAGGATTCCAAACATGTGGGAAAGAGCCTGTATTCCTCGTTCACTGCTGCCTGAGTTGGATAGACTGCATCTAGGAAGCCTGAATCCAGATCAATCTCTCTCTCTCTCTCTCGTTCTCTCTCTCTCTCTCTCTCTCTGTTAGAATTTAACTCTGGTTGAGACGATCTGAACCTTAGAGGATTATTGTGCAGTCAAAGACCAGGTTGCTGTTTGCAGCTTCTTTCAAGATTCTCTGTGTTGGAGTTAAGAATGAGTAGGGTGGTGGGGCAAGAAAAGAGGAGAGACATTTAGCTAGAGCATCTTCTTTTACTGAAGAAAAATACATTTGGCCTGGCCTTGGTTTCGGATCCAGGATTGCTTACTTTTTGTTTAAGCGTGGGGAAAAGAAGTTGGAAAATTCCACCACTGGAGGACTAGGGTAGGGATGAGGAGGTATAAAGAAAAGAGGAAGCAGTGGGTCCTTCCTTATGCTTCAATTATTGTATTTTTTTCTGATTATAAATGTAGAGAATATTATAGAGAAATTATAAAATATAGAAGAGTCCAAGGAAGGAATTTAAGATGCTCGTAATAGCAACATTAAAGGATAAACACTGATATATTTTGGATATTTGTCCCTGCCCAAATCTCGTGTTGAATTGAAATCCCCAATTCTGGAAGGAGGGCCTAGTGGGAGGTGTTTGGGTTGTGAAGGCGAATTTCTCATGGTTTTGTGCTGTCTTTGAGAGAGTGAGTGAATTCTCATGAGATCTGGTTGTTGTCTTTGAGATAGTGAGTGAGTTATTGTGAGATCTGGTTGTTTAAGAGTGTGAGGCACCTCCTCTTGCTCTCTCTCTTGCTCTTGCTCTAACCATGTGATGTACCTGTTCCCACTTCACATTCTACCATGAGTAAAACCTCCCTGAGGCCTCCCCAGAAGCCGACCAGATGCTGGCACCATACTCGTACAGCCTACAGAACTGTGAGCCAATTGAACCTCTTTTCCTTATGAATTACTTGGTATTCATTGGTATTTCTTTATAGCAATGCAATAATGGCCTAATAAAAAGAGTATTAACCTTTTGGAGAATCTCATCATTTTATTACAGTTTTATATGCTGCTTTTTTTTTTCCTCCTAGTAAGTATTTTGTGGGAATCTTCCAAGGACATTGCAAAATCTGCAAAATCATGTTTTTTTAAAAAGCAGTTGATTAGTACTTCACTGACGGGTAAAATATAATTTATTTAAGCATTTCCGCATGCTGGGCACTAAGGCTGCTTTCTTTCCCGTTACACAAGAAAAGCTCCAATGTACACCTTTGTACACACATTGTGTTTGTGCAAATACATAATTATTTTTTGAAAATGTGTTCTTAGAAGAATTATTAAACTAATTCTTGATTCTCTTCCAAATCCTAGCAGGCAGAAGTGTTTTGGAGAACAGCCTTAGCATTACCCAGAGGGGCTCTAACAGCTCAGCTTTGGAACAGAGGGCATCTCATGTGCTTCTCAGGCTCACTTGAGTGTAGGTGTGTGTGTGTGCTGTGTGTTTGTGTGTGCTGTGTGTTTTGTGTGTGTGCTGTGTGTTTGTGGTATGTATGTATGATGTAGTGTGTGATGTGTGGTGTATGTGTGTGCATGGTGCATGGTGTGTTTGGTGTGTGTGGTTTGTGTGTGTGGTGTGTTTTTGGTGTGTCTGTGTGGTGTGCAAGGTGTGTTTTTGTGGTGTGTGTATAGTGTGTGTAGTATGTAGTGTATGTGGTATGTGTGTTTATGTGTGTGTGTGATGTGTGTATATCATATGTGTGGTATGTGGTGTGTGTACTGTGTGTGGTGTGTATGTGTGTGTGGTGTGTGTATATGGTGTGTGTGGTGTGTGGCATGTGTGGTATGTGTGCATTTGTGTTGCTACGTGTTGTGTGTGTGGTATATGTGTATTTGTGTGTGGTTTGTGTGGTGTGTGTGGTTTGTGTGTGGTGCGTGTGATATGTGTGTTTGATGTGTGTGTATGTGGTGCATATGTGTGTTTTTTGTGTGTGTGCTAGTGTGTGTTTGGGTAGGAAAGAAGAAGGTGCTGTAGCCTTGCATCAGGTGGTCCCTTGAATTTCTGTGACCTCTGACTTGCCTGGATTCTGGAACAAATCTCCCACAGCTGTGCACCTCCTCAGAGTGAGTGGATGATCCCCTGAGGTGTGACCCCCACCCCCGAGATGTGACCCTCCCTGAAATGTGGACCCCTCTGGTGTGATCCCCTGAGGTGTGAACTCCTGCAGTGTGATCCTGTGAGGTGTGATCCCCTGAGGTGTGAACCCCTGCAGTGTGATCCTCTGAGGTGTGATCCCTTGAGGTGTGAACCCCTTAGGTGTGATCCCCTGAGATGTGAACCCCTGTGGTGTGATCCTCTGAGGTGTGAACCCCTGTGGTGTGATCCCCTGAGGTATGATCCCCTGAGGTGTGAACCTCTGTGGTGTGATTCCCCTGAGGTGTGAATCCCTGAGTTGTGAATCCTTGCGGTGTTATCACCTGAGGTATGAACCCTGAAGTGTGATCTCCTGGGGTGCTAACCCCTGTGGTGTGATTCCCTTGGGGTGTGAACCCCTGAGGTGTGATCCCCTGAGTTATGAACCCCTGTGGTGTGATTCCCTGAGGTGTTAACCCCTGCGGTGTGATCCCCTGAGGTATGATCCCCTGAGGTGTGAACCACTGTGGTGTGATTCCCCTGAGGTATGAATTCCTGAGTTGTGAATCCTTGCGGTGTTATCACCTGAGGTATGAACCCTGAAGTGTGATCTCCTGGGGTGTTAAACCCTGTGCTGTGATTCCCCTGGGGTTTGAACCCCTGCAGTGTGATCTCCTGAGGTGTGAACCCGTGTGGTGTGAACCCCTGAGGTGTGACCCAAGGGGTGGATTTGGGGTATGGCCTGGGATTGCTGGGCGATATGGAAGAGGGGAAGGTTCAGGGTTTCTTAATTTTCTCAGGTAGATGGGAAGCATCTTCTCAGTTCCCTGGGGACTATCAGAGACCACCAATCCCCCATTCTTCCCTGGCTCCCTTGGCACATTTGAATCAGACCTTTGAGATCTCACTATGGCCTTTGTGGGAAAGGCTGTATGAACATAAATGGGTGTCCAGCCTGGGGGCCAGGTGAGGGAAGGCAGAGGCAGAGGGTGGCAGTGCCCCACCAATGTCCAGGGGAGAGCAACACCCTCATGTGGACCACCCAGTGAGAAGGCTTGACCACAGTGGGGTAAGTGAGGCCACTGTGTCGTGCTGCATCTGGCTTCACTCCATGCTCATGACGCATCCTTCTGATTAATGTCAGGAGGCAGTGGCTCTGGGCCCTTGGTAGGCAATGGGGTATTTTTGTTGCTGGAAAGAAACATCCCTTGGTAGAAATGAATACATTGGCACTTGGCTTTCCATACTGGAGCGTGAGTGAGTCAGCCTCCCTGCGTCTGTGTCCACCGAGGGCACTGCAGGGCTAGGGGCAGCTTTGATTGTGGTAGAGGCACTGGGGCCCCTGTGGGAGCCTGGAGGTGCTTCTGCCACCCTCTCATGGGGACTCTGTAAACCTCTTGGTGTTACAGCTTGTGCTTCTCTCATGCTGGCTGCCAGCCCACAGAGATGTGTTTTCCAGGCCACACAGGCATTGGCTCGCCTCTTTTTGGTGATTTGGAACTGACATCACAGTCCTCTGACTCCAGCTCTAACACTGGCTGGTCCACATATACGCATCATCTATATGCACATGAAAGCTGTCATTATTCCTTCTGCTATGGAACCTGAATTACTGACAGCTGTAGTGTTGCTTCTGTCCTCAGATGGGTGCAAACAGTTCCTGACTTACAATACTTTTGACTTAAAATTTTTTGATTTACAATGGTGTGAAAATGACATGCATTTAGTTCACCCCCCAACTTATGATTGGGTTGTATCTGGATAAACCTATCAAAAGTTGAAAATACTGTGAGTCAAACACACATTTTCTGTTTCTTTCTTTCTTTCTTTTTTTTTTCTGTTGCCCAGGCTGGAGTGCAGTGGCACAATGATAGCTCAATGTAACCTCAACTCCTGGGCCCAAGCAATCCTCTCACCTTAGCCTCTCATGTAGCTGGGACTGAAGATGTGTGCCACTACACCTGGGTAATTTTTTAAAATTTTTTTTAATTTTGTAGAGGTGGTAAGGGGTCTTACAATGTTGCCCAGGCTGGTCTTGAACTCTTGGCCTCAAGCTATCCTCTTGCCTTGACCTTCCAAAGTGCCGGGATTGCAGGTGTCAGATGCTCAGCCCATGCTTTCAATTTTTAATATTTTCCATTTACAGTGGGTTTATCCAGACATAACCCCAGAGTAAGTCCAGGAGCATCTGTATATGTAAATATAGAACTGTTGAATTCTATCCCCTTTAAAATTTACATATCAAAGTCTTGGCCATTTATGGTGGTTCACGCCTGTAATCCCAACACTTTGGGAGGCCGAGGCACATGGATCACTCGAGGTCAGGAGTTTGAGACCAGCCTTGCCAACATGGCAAAACCCTGTCTCTACTAAAAATACAAAAATTAGCTGGGCGTGGTGGTGTGCGCCTGTAGCTCCAGCTACTTGGGAGGCTGAGGCGCAAGAATCGCTTGAGTCCTGAAGGTGGAGGTTGCAGTGATCTGAGATTGTGCCACTGCACTCCAGCTGGGTGAAAAAGAGAGACTCGGTCTCAAAAAAAATAAAAAATAAAAAATAAAAAAAAAAACTCCTAACCCCCAATATGTCAGGACGTGACCTTATTTGGAAACAGGGTCACCACAGATATGGTTAGTTAAGATGAGTTCACACTGAAGTAGGGTGGGCCCCTAATTCATTGTGACTGGTGTCCTTATAAAAGGAATGGCAAGTAAGGGGGCATAGTACCCAGGGACAACTCCATGTGAAGACCGGAGTTAGGGTGCCTCAAGTCAAGGAACGACCAGAAGTGAGGAGAGAGACGGGGAACAGATCTTTCCCTAGTGCCTTTGCAGGGAGCACGGTTCTGCCAATACCTTGATCTCAGATGTCTAGCCTCTAGGACTGTGAGAGAATAAATTCCTGTTGTTTGCAATATCTTGTGATGGCAGCCCTAGGACCGTCATACACCAATAGCTCAGAAACTTGGTGGATCTTTGAATACCTCTGTTTTATACAGAAAGGCAGGCCAGAGTCATACCCATTTTATAGATGGGGAAACTGCATCCCAGATAAATGAAATGATTTATTTGAAATTACTTTCTTACAAAATGCTTTAAAAGAAAAAAAACAGAGAAATGTTAACTAGGGCAACATACAAATTGTCTGCCAACTGTTAAGCTCATATCGAATGCTCCTGACCACTTTAAGATTAGGCCTTTGGGATCCCTGTTTTTAGAGATGGAGTGGCCACAGATGAGTAGCCCATCATGGGGTGTTCAACAGTGCACCAAGCCAGGACTCACTAGAATGCTGAAGAATCCATGAATAATCCATTTATTTAAAACCTGCCAAAAGGGAAGGGTGTGTACACCTAAAGTATTTATTTTTGTGCCACGAAATGCCAAAGAATGCTTTGATTTTTTTTTCTTACGTAGTTTTCACCCTGAAGAAGGAACTCTCTGGGCTCTTAAATTCACATGTAAATACCTGGATCAGAATCACATTTTTAGAGCCCAGTCAAGAGGTGTTAAACTTTCAAGACTCTAAAAAAACAAGCTGCAAAGAACAGAGGACAGAGCAGGGCTTTGGAGTCAAGAGATGCCTTTGGGGTTCCAGCTCTGCTCTCCCTAAGGGCATGGCCCTGGGCAAGGTGCATTAATGTCTCTAGGTCTTATCTCAAAAATGGGATGACCAATCACGCCTAGTTGCAGAAGGTTCCAATGGAATAATCTCTATGGAAGTGCTGTATAAAGGGCAAAGTCACTAAGCAGCACAGGTGTTTGGGTTTTAGGATGAAAAGAGGATAGCTCAGAATTTCGAGGCAGTGTGGCACCAGGGAGCACCCAGTGTCAACCCTTGAGTTCAAAAGGAAGAGGGGCTGGCCAGAGTTCAAAAGGTAGGTTGGCCAGAAGCTCTGAGATGGATTTCTGACTTGGCGAAGAGGATAATGAAAATGGAAAGCCTTTATGGGGGGGCCAACACTGAATTTTTTTTTTTTTTTTTTTGCAAAATATGTCATGTATGTTTATTTTAATGGCGATAGGGGTCTATGACCAATCCATTCTCCCTCCAAAGAGTTAGGTGCCTTTTCTTTAGAAAAGGTGCAGAGGGGGGGCTCACATACAATGGTAAGGGGGCAGTGAGCTGGAGTACCTTGAAAGACGTGCACATGATACACTTTGAGATCTCCATTCATCAAATCTAATCAATAATCCCCTCTTCCCACTTTCTTTTTTTTGAGATGGAGTCTCACTCTGTCACCTAGTCTGGAGTGCAGTGGCGCCATCTTGACTCACAGCAACCTCTGCCTCCCAGGCTCAAGCGATTCTCTTGCCTCAGCCTCCCCAGTAGCTGGAATTACAGCTACATGCTACCATGCCCAGGTAATTTTTTTTTTTTTTTTTTTTTGAGACCGAGTCTCGCTCTGTTGCTCAGGCTGGAGTGCAGTGGTGTGATCTCGGCTCACTGCAACCTCCGCCTCCCAGGTTCAAGTGATTCTCCTGCCTCAGCCTCCCTAGTAGCTGGGATTACAGGCGTGTTACACCAAATTCAGCTAATTTTTTTTTTTTTTTTTTTTTTTTTTTTTTTTTGTGATAGGGTCTTACTCTGTCGCCCAGGCTGGAGTGCAGTAACTCTCTCTTGGCTTACCACAACCTCTGCCTCCTGGGTTCAAGAGATTCTCCTGCCTCAGGCTCCCAAATAGCTGGGATTACAGGCACCTGCCACCATGCCTGGCTAATTTTTGTATTTTTAGTAGCAACGAGGTTTCACCGTGATGGCCAGGCTGGTCTCAAACTCCTGACCTCAGGTGATCCACGTGCCTTGATCTCCCAAAGTGCTGGGATTACAGGCATGAGCCACCGCACCCAGCCCTAATTTTTGTACTTTTAGTAAAGACGGGGTTTTGCCATATTGGCCAGGATGGTCTTGAACTCCTGACCTCTAGTGATCATCCCACCTCAGCCTCCCAAAGTGCTGAGATTACAGGCATGAGCCACCGTGCCCAGCCCCTTCTTCTCACTTTCTCCACTTTACTCAGCACCCACAATGCCTCTCCTGCCCGCTTTCTATGACTAATTTTCCCCCTCAAGACTTCACCTGTGTTGTCTGGGGAGGAGTAGGAGGTGATACTAGAATAGGAAGTGTCATCTGCGTCATGTGTACCCCCTGGCCCCCTTACTTGGAGTTGGTTGTCCTCTGTACACCGATAAGAGACTCGGAAGGAGTGACCAATGTCAGAGTGGTACTGTGAGGCAGTCAGACTGCCGCTCCCATCCTCCCAGGAAGATGTGAGGGAAGGAACCTGAACACAGATGTTTGTGCATTTGTCTGGGAGTTAGGAGGATGAAGGCTGGAGGCAGAGTGTGTAGGAGGAGGGAGGAGAAGAAGGGAAGTGAGAAGCTGTGACTGACTTTGAAAGAACTGGGTTGTTGGACCTCATACATTCTCAAGGGCTGGGAAAGCAGACGTGAATGTCCTCGAATTTAGCTAATAGAGAACATCGATTTCCTTTATGCAGCTCAGCCAAATGCATTTAACTTCTACTTAAATATTGCCAGCAAGTATTTTTCAGTTCTTACAATAAAATCCTCTTTTTAGGTCACCTTTCAAATTTCCTGGCTGTCCCTTAGAGGGGCTGCATTCAGAGATAATGTCTTAATTCAGCAAGACATCTGACTTAATTACACTGCTAATATGCATTTCTTCCTTCCTCTTTTAGAGAAATAGAGAGGAAGACAAACCCTCATTTTCTAGAACTATTTTCTCGTCCTGTGTTTTAGCACTACTGTATATATATGATGCCCTCTCTGAAAGCTTGCCTCTAGGTTTACCTGTCCACCAACCATTTAGCCAGGCCCAATGTCAATAGCAGAAAAGCAGTGGATTAATAACAAGAGAAACAACAAGAGCAAGAAGAAAGCGTATTCTTCTTTGTTAGTTCTCCTGGCTGCACTACATCATAATTATGGTTTCATACAGCCTCTGTGTTTTAAAAATTGTGACTTTAGGTGACAGTACAGAAAGCCAGTGATGCTTTCACTCTCATATGCCTCAATGGTAAGATGTATACAGAGTGTGTGAACTGAAAATGGTCAGGAACTAAAGAATATTTTATGATCTAAACTAGTCGTCATTGTTACAGTGCATCTAACAAGAGAACATCTTCAACAGCCCTCCTCCTCCGTGGAAGCTGTCTAGGAAACACATCTCAACAATTCAAGAAATTCTCATACCATGGGTGTTCCTGGCTTCCTGCTATTTTCTCACTCCTGCTCCCCTCAGCCTTCACCCCCACCCTAATGAATATTCAGTCTGCATCCTTCAACCAGGATTTTGAATAGGATGCTTCCTGTTTTTCCTATTAAAGATTAACTGTTGTGCTGGGTAAGAGACTGTTTAGTGAAAGCTGGCAGCTGGGAATTCCTGTTTATTTTTTATTATGACCCTGGTTCTGGGGACAACATATATCTCAAAGTTACAAATAAGGCCTTGTATATTCCAATGGCTCTGTTAGTCCTGACTCTGTATTGCATTCTTTTTTTAAAAATCTACATGCCTGTCCCATCTCACTGTGAGCAATTCAAAGGCAGGAATTAAGTCTTATTAATTTCTCTCTTCCGTTGCCCAGCATAGTGACCAGAACAGAGCTCAATAAAATGTGTTGAATAGATAAATGGGCTGTTAAGAGAAAAACTTTAGCAGAATTAAATTTAAAGGAGTTTAATTGAGCAATGAATGATTCACGGATCAGGCAGCCCCCAGAATTACTGCAGATTCAGAGAGGCTCCAGGGGTACCTCATGGTCAGAACAAAAAAAGGGAAGTGACGTACAGAAATCAGAGGTGAGGTGCAGAAACAGCTGGATTGGTTACAGCTTGGCATTTGTGTTATTTGAACACAGTCTGAACACTCAGCACTGTATGAATGGTTGAAGTGTGGCTGCTGAGATTGGCTGAGACTCAGCTATTGTTACAGGCTGTAATCCTAAATTAGGGTTTCAATCTTGTCTGCACACTAAGGTAGGTTGCAGTTCGTCCACAAGGACTTAAATACAGAAGTATGGAGTCCTTCTCAGGCCATATTTAGTTTGCTTTAACAAGGCATAGCAGTGATAAGTTCCAGAGAGAGGTGGTCAGCACGATTCATCACTGTCCTCAGACAAGAAGAGGATGAGGAGGGATGAGAGCCATTTGTGCCTATTTTGTACCTTTTTGGCAAAGTCATGATTACTTAGTCATGTAACATGTAACTTAGCATGACCCATTGGGTACAGAAACTAGGTTTAATTTTTTTATCCAACAGTGAAGTTTTCCATACTTCACTCAAGTACTTAGTAATTGCTGTAGCTTTGCTTCATTGCAGCGGCTTCATAGATCATGGCTGTTGTTCATCGCTTGTGGCGTGCCTGGGAAATCAATAGCTAAAAATGTTTTGTGAACCCTTAGTAGTTGTTACCTGGGTAGGTTTGGAATGTTCCAGGAGAATTAATGAACAATCAGGTGATAGTTTTGTCATTTTACAGGGAATAATAAGCAAATGCGTGTTTGGAAGTGTGATTCTATCAAATCTGTTTATAAATAAGTGCATATTTGCCATTTAAAGTAATTTTTTTATCTGTGACTTGGGCTTCATGGGATTAGCTATAATGACACGTCTGGGAGTCTCCTCACAATTAGAATGAAATCCTCGAGTTTTTTTCCTAAAAACCTTATGGATGGTGTTTTGCATTTGTCATCTGCAAGAAAACATGTAAACACCCTGGTATTTCTTTAGTATTCGTTTTTAAGGGCTGAAAATGGGTTTTACAAACATGATTTCATGAATCCTTAAATAAAGCCTGGGAAACAGTAGATACACTTAACATTTAGCAAAACTCTTCAATAGCTTCTTGCCACCATAGGCATAAATTCCTCCACAGCTCGCCCTTTCTCAGACACTAACCTCCAGTTACACCAAACGATTGCAGGTTTCACCTCATGTGCACTCTCTTGCCTTCAGCCTTTTGTGTATACACTTCTTTCCCCCAGACCCTCCCTCCCCAACTCCTAATCCTCCTTCAAGATGAGAAACTTGAATATCACCTCCTCAGCACAGCTTCCTGATTTCTACACCCAGTTAGGTCCCTTGCTAGTTGCTTCCTCACAGAGGGAATTACACAGAGAAATTAAGGTCCACAATGCAAACATTTCCAGAGTAATCATCACTTTTTAAGTTATTTTCAATGTCAATAGAAAATATTTGAGTTCTGGGCTGTCCTCTTTGTGATAATCCATGTCCTTTTATTTATGTATTTGAATTGATGTTCTGTCCAAAGTTGCTGCCAAAATTACATTTTGGAGGAGCCAGGAAGAGCTTGTCAAACATGTTGATGTGTGGTTTGTATGGTTTCATTTGGTCTGACGATCTTATCTATCCAGAGAAAAAGCAAGTCACACCTCTATCTTTGCCTTCTTTCTCTGGATAGTTTAATATATTATTAATAGTTTGACCATAATTCACATTCCATTTTTAGGAGCATCGGAAGATTATATGACATTTCTGATTTTATTAGAACATTCTTTCATTTAATATTGCTTAAAAAAAACAGCCAGTATGTGGAGGCTGAGAAGCCTTTGGTTATATAAGCTGCTTTATGATGGTTTTATTTTAGTTGTATAACATATTTGTGTTTCTTAATGATATTCAGGACAGCAGAAGGGTCAAGAGAGCAGATTTTGAAGGAAGCCATGCCACGTTCGTTACATAAAGTACTATATCTGAGGCTCAGTTGTGTCATTTATATACTGGAAATGACAATAATATCTATCTCATAGGATTACTATAGGGGTTAAATGTAATAATGAGTTATTACATTAATAAAATGTAATAAAATGTAATATGTAATAAAGAGTTTGATATACAGCTCAAGGTTAGTACTCAGTCAGTGCTAGCTATTTTATTACTCTCTCTCTCTCTCTCTCTATATATATATATACACTAACGATGAAGTGGCGTTATTGGGGTAATAATCTGGAGTAAATACCCGAGATTCATTGTCTCACGGCCATGGAAAACTAGGACGCAGGCACACAAAGAGTGAGGTTCAGAATGGAAGTTTAATAGGCAAAAGAAAGAGAGGAGATCTCTGCAGCAGAGAGGCATGCTGGAGAAGTGAGTTGCTGGTTCCACAGTGGAATGCAAGGTTTTTTATAGATGAGCTTGAGGAGGTGGTGTCTGATTTACAGAGGGCATGAAAGATTGGTCAGACCAGGTGTTTCATTTGCATAAGGCGCGAAAAACTGGTTAGGACTCGGTGTGCCATTGCAGGTGGTTCTCTACCTGGCCGGTGCCATGTTGCCTGTTCCTTTACTGTACATGTGGTGACAAAAAAAAGAGAAGATGGAGACTCTATGTTGGACATACCTGGCCTCCAGGTAGCCCTTTTATATTGGCACAGCTGCTGGCATTCACCCATGCAAGTTTCCAGCTTGCTTATTTGTCTGCAGCTCAATTTTTCAGGCTGCTGTTTGTTAGAAAGGAAGTGATTTGGGGCCTGCTTTTTGTTAAAAGGGACATTTTACTGGGGACTCTGCTGCACCTACTATCTGTCTAATAATTTCTTTCTACCTCCTGCATTAGCAAGCAGCTCTTTTTCCTTCCTGATGAAGCAATTTCCTTTTTCAAGTTGACCTCCTGTAGGTGCCACAAAAGTTACAGCAGTCCTAGGGACAGTGAGTTTCATCTCGTTTTCTGTTCCTGTGATGCTAACAAGCTGACCTAAATTCTCTCCGGTCACATGGTCCCATAAGCTCTCTGAGGGTAAGAAGTGTAGCATCCTCATCTTTGGGCTCCCTGTAGCCCATTGTTCAGTGGTACGAGACTGGTCTTTACCATTTGCCTCCGTGCTGGTGTCTTCGTTCTGTTCTTTCAGCATGGTTGGGATGGCCATCTCTCTCCTGCATGGAGCCACCAGCGGACTCATCCTGATCCTAAGGCCCACTGTGTCTTGCCCATAGGTGCTCAATGAATGTTTGTTATTAGGAGCATGCAGATGACAAACATTCCTTTTCAATGAGAGCAGATGAGAAAATAACTGCCTTGTTTTAATCCCAATTTACTTTTCTTCCATTTTATGATCTTGGTAAAAAATGTGAGGAAGGATTTGATCACAATTTTCTTCACTAATTCTTCACCTACCTACCTAACCAATCAACAAAGCCCTCAGGATTCCACACAGGCATCCAGCTCCTACTTTAAGGGACAGCTTAAGTCTTTGTGGTCATTATAACTATTAATGAGTTATTGATTAGCAAACACATCAGTCTGGTATTCAAGCAAGGGCTGCTGATGGAATCGTAAAAGGAAAGATGTTTTAAAAGTTCTATTATGACTGCTGAAACAGATTACATTGGACATCTTTGGTTCTCATTAATTACAGCCATGGTGGACACAATTCTAGAGAATCTCCTGCCTACAGAAGTAATGGAGGAAAAGCCCTCATGGATACATATAGATTTTGTTAATTTCCACCCCTTCTTCAAGAACTCATCACCTGTAAGAGCCAATGAAAACAAATCTATCCATTTATCTATCTATCTTTCTGTTTTTTTTTTTTTTGTTTTTTTTTTGCCACTTGCCAGTCAACAATGACTCCTGCTCCTGATTGCGTAATTGTTTTGAAACTTTTCTCAGGCCTAAGATAGAAGCCTCCACACGCCTTCCCATCTTCTCTGTCTCTCACCATTTATTATATGACATCACAGAGGGACACTCCTCTTAGAGTAACAGATTCTGATTTTTATTTGTCATTTACTATTGTGTGAAAAGAATTCAGAAGGAAGTCAAACTAGCCACTTTTTCAGTCCATAGGGGTCTGAGTGCTATAATCCTGGTTCTCAATTTCCCGTCTGTTGAAGAACTTGCAGGTCACTGGGTGAGACTTAAGCATCCCTAGAGCTGTGACATTTTTTCGTCTGCGTGTAGGAAAAACTGGAAGAGGCCCCCAAAGTTTATAATACCTGAAAGACAAAGTTCCTTAAAACTTTCATTCTGCTAGGACAATGAAAAACCCTCCCATGGAAATACTTGACTTGGATATCATTATCTATTTAGATGGTAAAGTTGTGGGTGCTATGATTTATAACATGAGAGCTGCTTCCTGTGCCAAACTTTGAGTTTGTTTATTAATCCTGGAAACCATTATAACCAAGTTAATAGGAAAAAGGAGATCCCTGAACTCCGTGTACTTGGAAGTTCCTGAAAGCAGCTCAGAGTTAGTAACTGGCTGCCCCCAGGTAAAAATCCATGCAAATAGCAGTGATGAGAAACCTCTCTGGAATGCCCTCCCCCTCCTTCTTTACTTAGTTATTTATGTTCAGTGACTTCCTTAGAATCACGTCCTTTCAAGAAGGATCATTCTAAGAGTATTTTTATTACAGGAAATTTAGAGGCAGAATGCTAAATTTCACTAATATATAAAGATGCAATAAATTTGTCCCTAGCCTAAGGTATGTTCTATTTGCCATGGAATGGGGCTTAACTAAAAGTTAGTCAATTCTGATAACTTGAGGAGAATTCATAATGTTTAAACAGAGGATCTGAGCCAACTTGCAACTAAATCACTTCTTAAAAATTGTTTCAGGCCAGGTGTGGTGGCTTATGCCTGTTTGTCCTAGCACTTTGGAAGTCCAAGGTGGAATAATCACCTGAGGTCAGGAGTTCAGAGACCAGCCTGGCCAACATGGTGAAACCCCATTTCTACTAACAATACAAAAATTAGCTGGGCATGGTGGAGGACACCTGTAATCCCAGCTACTCAGAAGGCGGAGGCAGGAAAATCGCCTGAACCCCGGAGCTAAAGTTTGTAGTGAGCCAAGATCGTGCCACTGCACTCCAGCCTGGGTGACAGAGTGAGACTCTGTCTCAAAAAAAGAGAACAAACCAAAAAAGTTTCTTCATCCACCACAAAATGTCTGATTTCATTTGCTGGATTTTCAAATGACTAGTGAAAATGGCCAACATGAATGGAGTTTTCACAGTTAGCCACTGGTAAAGTGAGAATGAGATTTTTCTGCCTTGCCGGCCATGAGGTTGGCATCGTGGTTAATGGGGGTAATCTGTGCAAAGAATTTTGAGGAGTGCCTGGCATACAGATGGTTCTCAAAAATGTTAGGTAGTTTTATCATCATCGTTAATAAATAAATAAGTTCGAATCTATGATCAGTGCTAGAGAAATCTGGTGGTCAATATAAACTCACATCTCAGGAAGGTACAACTGTTCATTTTCCTCTAAAATTCTGATAAATTTGCAGAAACTCCTGTCCTCCACACTTTCTCTCCGAGCCTACTAATTGATGGAAACAATTTGGTTTAAATTTCTAACTGGGATCTGTCAGCAAGACGGAAAGTCAAGATTTCTATCATTATGGAAACAGGTTTCTACAGATCATTTTTATTTTTAAAAAAGTCATGTTTTTAACCATTCAAGAATACACATCAAAATTTAAGGATTACTAGAATAGAATTAAACATTGTAAAAAAAAAAACCCCATATTTTTAGTAAAATGGGCATGTGAAAATATATGTTTGTGTATCTTCACATACCCATTTCATATATATGTGTATAGATGATATTATATATGATATATGATATATATTCATATATACATATATGTATACTTGAAATATATATTTCATATATGTATACCCATTTCATATATATGTGTATATATGATATATATGATACATGATATATATTCATATATACATATATGTGTACATGAAATATATATTTCATATATGTATATATATATGAAATGGGTATGTGAAAATACACAAACATATATTTTCACATGCCCATTTTAAATATTTGTTTGTGTGTGTATGTATATATATATATATAAAATCAGAAAATGGAAAATGTCTAGAGTATCTGCGTTACGAGACTTCAGGCACCTGGGGAAAATTATTTTCTGACCAGCAGTCTCCGGAAGAGGAGCCAGGCCTTGTGTGTGGCCTTGGCCTGGGTCCCGGTCTTGCACTTTCTCCCTCTAGCCTGGTGGGCCAGGGCCAGGGGCCTTTGCTTTAATCCTACAGTTTCTGCTCAATCATTAGCCCTTCCTATGACCCTCACCTGGATGTGATCGTCCCTCTTTTACGCTCTAGTAACAGTATTGTTTTGGGTGGGTCAACATCCAAAACACTAGTGTCCTCATTTAATTAAGGTCAGGTCTCCTTATACTGGGTTAGCACTAAAGTAATTGCAGTTTTTGCAATTACTTTTAATGGCAAAGGCCACAATTACTTTTGCACCAATCTAATAACTTCCTTCATGGCAAAAACTTTTTGCTACCTTTATACTAAGTGTCTTGTACCTAGCAGCTGCTTTCAAAATGTATTAAATGAATGAATGAAATAAAAATAAAATTAAATTCAATGGTATATCATTTATCTTGGCATCTGATGTAAATTAGGTATCAATAAAGGGTAGCTATGATTATGAGGATACATAATTTCAGAACTAAGTTGTGAGGCGTCTTATTTCCATATCTCAACTAGTATTTGAAATGCAGCTTTAGGTGAAAAAGTTTAGGCTTCTAGACCATGTTTTTAAAAAGTTAATCAAACAATGGAAGCCTCAATATATAGTAGAATTTCTCTTGTATGTTGAACTCCCTAGAATATGCTCATAAACATATTTCTTTTTCAAGATAATTTTATTTTTCATGTTATGAAAATGTTAATGTAATTATACTAATCTTAAAATAAACAAAATCATGCTTAGTTTTGTCGTCCAGAGATAACCATATGAATGTGTAAATTTTGTTTTCTAGGCAGGATTCTTTTTTTTCAACATAGCTGTGATTCATTCAAATGAGTGAATTTAACAAATATTTGCATTACGTTTTTTATGTGTCAGGGCTGTGCTTATAGTGTGTACACTGTGTTTACATAGAGAATATAATTTTGTATTCAATTTTTTAGCAAATATAATAATAGACATTTGCCAATGTTATTCAAAACTCTTTGTAAATATAATCATGCTTTTTAAAAACTAAGCATCCTATGGTTGATCATTTTGGTCCTTTTCAATATTATAATACTGCAACATTGTTTTAGATGATTAGGATGCTTTGTTTAGGAAAGATTCCCAGATATAGATTTACTGGGAGGAAAGCTATGAGCATTTTAAGACTTTTGATTTACCAACTTGCTTTCCAAAATGGGGTACAAATTAACTGAATGGAAAGATAGAAATACAGAAAACAAAGAAAGGTAAATAATTGTGATATAGTATTTTGCAAATGTTGAAATAAATTCTTTAGCTAGAAAAAAAAGAAATATAGGAAACATGGAGAAATAGAAAATGTTTCTATATACAGAATACAGAAAAATACAGTTTTAAAAAAGTATACCTTAATATTAAGGCTTCCGCGGCAAACCAGAGTGAAGTGATGTTCAACCCCACTTTGTCAAATGCTTGAAATTCATTTGCAGTTGCCAGGTTATCTGGAGGTTTTGACGGTGCCCAGAGAGAGAAGGAAGTGTCTGTTTGAGGTGCCTTGCTCCTAATCCAGTGTCTCCTAAAAGCACAGAACCTTGGTAATTCAAGCAAGATGTCTTTCTGGTATGCCTAGAGGCACCTAAAACCATGACACAGTTAGGACAAATATAGTAGATTGTACACACACAGGAGTTTCATGTAACAAGTGAAACCAAGGTTTCTTTCAAAGCTTAGGGTTTCTTTCATGTGAAAGATACATTCTTATTTTTAGATAGGAAGAACTCCAGGCTGAAGCAAGCAGTGTGATATAATCTTGTATTGTCTTGAAGGAAATTAGCCAGGGAATTGATACATGTTTAGCCATGTCATTCCAGGAATCCTTTAAGCTGACTATAGGGAGCTAATACTTTCTGAAAGTAATTTTACCCAAAAGAAACACAGACTTTTGGCTGGGCGCGGTGGCTCACGCCTGTAATCCCAGCACTTTGGGAGGCTGAGGCGGGCAGATCATGAGGTCAGGAGATCGAGACTATCCTGGATAACACGGTGAAACCCCGTCTCTACTAAAAATAGAAAAAATTGACAACTGAGTATAAAGCTTAGAAATTTGGCAGTGAATAAAGAGGTAGAATATTTACCAGTCCAACTCTTGGAACCCTTCCCAAAGCATACTCCTAAAGGCTGAGTGTTTAGCTAACTCTTACAAATGCAAAGATTTATCAGGCCTTCACTGGCTGATTGCAGGTGTTATGCACATGAGGTCATGATTTCAATTCCCACATAACACGGTTAACTGTACTTTATTTCATAACCAGCCTACCTTGTCCTACACTGAATTGGTGTTTGTAAGGAGACAGCATGAGGTAGGCCCTGGGAAGGAAGAAACACGGGGTTAGAAGCTCCTTTGATTGATCCCCTAGTATATGCCATTAATTTTATAAGAAAGACCAGGTAAAAGAGGAATGATCAATCATTCACTGTAAATTCATCACCAATGTGGAAGAAGAGTTTATGTGTATGAAGGACAGTTCATTTCAAATTATAGGATATACGAATAAAATAATACTATCATTAACCTCTGCATTTCTTTCTTTTTTTGAGATGGGATCTCGCTCTGTCACCCAGGCTGGACTACAGTGGTGAGATCTTGGCCCACTGCAACCTCAGCCTCCCGGGCTCAAGCGATTCTCGTGCCTCAGCCTCCCACGTAGCTGGGACTATAAGTGTGCACCACCACCCTGGCTAATTTTTGTATTTTTCGTGGAGACAGGGTTTCACCATGTTGGCTAGGCTGGTCTTTAACTCCTGACCTCAAGTGATCTCCCTGCTTCAGCCTCCCAAAGTGCTGGGATTACAGGTATGAGCCACCTCGCCCAGTCCAACCTCTGCATTTCTTATCTAGTGCATTCACTCATTTATTCAATAAATATTTATGAAGGGCCTATCACATGCTAAAGTTTATGCAGGAAAGGTCAATTCCTTTTATCTAGACAGTGTTATGTGACACAACCTTTAGCAAACAACAAAACCAATTCTCTTAGTCCATATGGGCTTCTATAGCAAAATATCATAAACTG
Organism: Homo sapiens; assembly: GCF_000001405.40. Classification (NCBI taxonomy): domain Eukaryota; kingdom Metazoa; phylum Chordata; class Mammalia; order Primates; family Hominidae; genus Homo; species Homo sapiens. The sequence goes on from NW_018654717.1 coordinate 4,721,412, forward strand.
GGTGGTATATAATCAACAGAAATATATTCTCACAGTCCAAGAGACTGGGAAGTCCAAGATTAAGGCACCGGCAGATTTGATATCTGGTGAATGTCATCTTTTTACTGTGTCCTCACCTTGCAAAAGGGCTAAACAAGCTTCCCTGGAGCTTTTGTATAAGGTCACTAGTCCCATTCACCCCTAAAGGAACCACACCTTAATACCATGACCTTGAAGATGAGGTTTCAACATGAATTTTGGAGGAGACAGTCAGATCATAGAACCAACAAAAATCTTAATAGATCATTGGCACTGGGAATGACTTGGGTCTCTTGCTTGGAGAGTAACTACACTGATATATTAGCAATCTCGAACTCTTGACTTTTTTTTTTTTGAGGCAGAATCTCACTCTCACCCAGGCTTGAGTGCTTTGGCTCACTGCAACCTCTGCTTCCCAGGTTCAAGTGATTCTCCTGTCTCAGCCTCCCGAGTAGCTGGGGACTACAGATGCGCACCACCATGCCCGGCTAATTTTTGTATTTTTCGGCGGAGACAGGGTTTTACCGTGTTGCCCAGCTGGTCTCAAACTTCTGACCTCAAGTGATTTGCCTGCCTTGGCCTCCCAGAATGCTGGCATTACAGGTGTGAGCCACCGCTCCAGGACTATATTATCAATCTCTATCCGGTAATTGCTTCCCTGGGAAGAGAGAAAGCCAACTAAAATCAGATCGAACGAAAAGGAAAGAAGACTGGATATGAAAACCTACAGAGCCCAACATTCCAGGACATCGGAGTAGCCACTGAAGACAATTTAGAAGGAATGATAGAAAGGCAACCACTTTTTCTCTTCAAATCAAACCAAGGTTTTGGCATACTAGAAATGAAAAGCAGAGTTCCTCCTTTGTAAGTGCAGCTTGACCAGATCAGAGATTTGACTTTCCTGGGGGACTTTGTTTCTAGAGATCAGTGTCTCTCTTCTGCTGTATTAGAGATATTTTTCTCCTCCTATTGAGTTCCGGTTGAAATGTGAACCTCTGACACATTAGTTCCCTGTAGCATGGTCAAGACAAGGTTACTAGATTTCCATAAGACATTCTTAAATTCAGCAGCTTTTTTCAACCTATCCCCCAGTCAACAGTAATAACATGATGGGTGATATTCACTAGGGCCACAGAGGTAAAAAGCAACTATAGGTACACAGATTAAAATAAATGGTAAAACCTATGTTACATGTTAAACTCTATCACAGGCACAAGGAAAAGTAATTTTTGAAAATAAATTAATTTGTTCTATACAGGCAAATTTCAGGATTTCAGGGACAAAGATGACATTCTAAACACACACTCTTGGCTCTTTTTCTCTCTCAGTTTCTCAAAAAAAATGACAAAATAATGTAATTTAAAAAATTCTATAGATTACTGAAGATTAGAGAAGGGACTGACTCTGTTTGGAGGCAAGTCTCTGTGGGTTTCTTATATTTCTGTATATCTCACAAGCAGAGGCAATGGCCACATTGGTTCTGGACTATCTTTTCAAGGATGTTTGTATAGCAAACAGTCTTGGAAGACAGAGATAGTGCCTCCCAACATAACAAATGGCAGGCATTATAAAAGATTCAGATACCCTAAGCTCAGGGTTCCTCTCTTGTAACTCAACCCACTGCATGTGAAGGAGACACCTGGTTGTCTTCTACTCACTCTGTGAGATCTGAGACTCAGAGAATCAGTACAAGATAAAGCAAATGCTCTAGCTACTGCTATTGCTGTAATAAAGTTCTTTGCCTCTGACCCAAGAGTCTCATGTCTTCTGTCAACATCCATGAAACTGGTAGCTTAACCTGTTAATTTGCAAGTAGAGTAAAATCTCAGACCCTTTATAACTCTTGATAATTTTGCTGACATGGATGGGATGCCAACAGAGACCTGACTTTCTGGAAAAGGAAGAATCCTGTGAGCCAATGAATGGGATTTGAGAGAAGTCCGTGGAAAACAGTAGTGAAGATATTGACCACTATTTTTTACTGATGCCTAATTCTAGCCTGTTTTTAGTTTCTTTAGTTATGTCGGTTCCAGATTTTTTAGTGGAATCATAGTTAGTTAATTTCAATATTTTTAAATAATAAAGGCATTAAGTCTATGAGTAAACCATCCCCCAAATCCAGAGAGCAGCATCTCCCCCACTGGGAATGGCCATGGAAGCTCCTGCCACTGGCTCACCAGGGAGGGCAGAAGGAAAATGGCTAGAGTTTGGTAGGTAGAGATTGCATGAGAAAGGGTTTCCTATAACCTGCTAGCTTATGAGGGACCATCAGAAACCCCAGAAAAGTTTGTGGGATTCCAGACAGAAGAGACCATTGCTTGGCTTACCGGGATTTAACTGGGGACTCTAAAAGCCTCACCGAGAAGTTCCATATGTATGTGGGCAATGACTGGACATGTGGCAAGTAGGCAGGTGGACCTGAGAGCAGTCCCTCAGGACGACATAGAAAGATGAGGGTGCCCTGTCATTCAGGATAGGGTTGAGCATGGAAGTCCCAGTGGGGTTCTGTTGAGGAGAATGCAGAGCACATAGAATGAGGAACTAGAAACTGTAATAGGACCATGGACATCGGTGGATATACCATAGCATGATGCCCAAGATCCAGATGCCTTGCCGTGAGAACCAAGAGCCAGGACAGCAAACAAACCCCAGGGAAACAGCTCCCTTCTGGGGATGAGAGAAGGAGGAGAGGGAGGAGGACAATCTTTAATATTCAATTGCCAGTGTTTAAATCCAAACTGACCCTTCTTAGAACCAAAAGCAACAGAGATACTGAGTTGAAATGGGGATTTAGGAGAGAAATTAGGTACTGTCATAGACAAGAAGATCAAGTTGCATGTATAAACACCTGAGTTGCAAGTTTTAAACCTGCTGTATCTTAAATGCATTCTTAATCCCATCTTCGGATGCCTGTTTTGTCCCCTTTCTCCCTGGCGCCTTCAATGTCGGTCCACTGGCTGCTCTGGATTAGTCATGCCCCTGTGATTCATTACCGTGCTCACCAAAAATTCCTTTCCATGACCCCTTGATCCCCTTAAACTACCACTGCATTTCTTATCACTCCCACTTGAATTTCCTGTAAACATACTTATATCTTTAATTATTTAATTCCTGTTCATTCCTAGAGTCACTATTATTTGGTGTTCGTCACCGCTATCCGACTGGAATTGAGCTTTTAAAGTTCACATGCAAAAATCAATCCATAATTCAATCAATCAATCAATCAACTTTTCAGAGTCCCTCCTTTCCCATCTCTCTGTGATATTTATCAGTGTCAATTGAGCTCTCACTCTCCTTGAAACTCTTCATTTAAAAAATTTTTTCTTATTCTACTTTCTCTTAGATTAAATTCGGCCTGATTCTAACTTTCAGTAGGCTTGGGTAATTTATTCGAGACACTGAAGCTTGCCTTTTGGGTTTTACTTATTTAACTGAGATGTTAGATTGAATTGTGCTGTTTATTTTTAAAGATAAAGAAACAAATTACCATGGCAAAGCCTAGCTGGTGGCCGAGGTACACTGCCACCATACTAAAGAGCTGGTGTCTGGAAGTCTTTTTGTGCATAGTAGGAAAGCACTAAATCACCCAGTGATTTGTGCTATCTGGCAGAGACCATCTGATTGATGTTGCATACATTTGCATAAATTAGTCTCACGTTTCTTCTTCCTGCTTAATGTTCTCAAAAGGAAGACTGCCCAGCCTTTGAGAATATTGAAGTCAGAAGGCTGAGCTGCGGTGGCCATCTGACATTGTGGAGTGCTGGCTTGCAATGAACCATGGTAATGAGTGCAGGGAGAGTACTGCACTCTTGACACAGGGAAGGCTAAACCCTCACTTGCTCCACAGAGGAGACATAATTTCTCTTACTTTTGCAGGGATACCATATATTTGGGGATGCTGACAGCTTAACCAACTAAAGACCTCTACTCTCTGATTTGGAAAGGGCATTAGATATAATGCTATTTCTGATTGCTTTTTCTTTTTGTTTTTAACCATATTTTATAGCCAAATAGAAACAGATGCATTTGCTCCCTGAAATAACTTCAGAAGATGTTTTCTTGAAACACTGCTGGTGAAGTAATGTGGTTACCCTACAGAAGTGTGGCTTACCAAATGCAAGCACACGGGTAGGGAGGACAAAACCCCCAAAGGAAAAACCCAGAAGGAACAGAAAAACAAAAGAACCAAACCCCTCGGTATACCCAAATACTTGTTTATATTCATCTCAGAGTATTTTGAAATAAAACATTATCTCCAGAACCTTTTGTGATTTGTGAAAATTTCCTTAAATTCGAAGTGTAGTGTTTACCTTTTGATAGTGAGTCCAAGTACCTGTTGAAGAGTAGGATAGTGAGAGAAGGATTTAAATTGCACAGGATGCAATAGGTCCTCAGAATTGCTAACTGTTATTTATTACCTTTTGGTTTTGCTGTAAGAAGTAGTTGGTGACAATATTACTTAAGTATCACCATCTAACAAACCACCCCAAATCTCAGCAACCTAAAATAATAATTCATTACTACTCATGAGTCTGTGGGCCAACTTGGCAGTTCTGCTGATTTGCACTGGGCTGGCACACATGTCTGTGGTCAGTGAGTAAGGTGGCTGTGTGCTGGATTGGTTAGGAAAGCTACTATGATATATTCGGCTGTTGGCTGGCTGCCAGCTGGGGCAACAAGATGATAGAACCCCTTTGTTCCTCATTATCAGACAGGCTAGCCCAGGCTTGTTTTCACTGTGGCTGGACAGGATTCCAAGAATGAGAGCAGAAGTGAAGCTGGACAGCTCAGAACTACCTCAACACCATTTCCACTTTAGTCCATTGAAAAAAGCAAACCGCAAGGCCAGCCCAGACTCAGGGAATGGGAAATCAGACTCCACTTCTTGATGGGAGGAGCCACACAGTCACATTGCAAAGGGTGGGGTGGATACAGGGAGAAGAGAAGAAATTAAGGAAAAATTTGCAATCAATATACTACAGGGATATCTCTAATAGTTTAATCATTTTTAGAAACTTTGCAGACAGACTTATCCGAGTACTGTGCCCCAAAAGATATGACTGAGCAATTAGATTCACTACAAGAATCTGATAAGTAACATGCGAAAAATAAACATCTTCAGTGTTTCAGAAGAATATGGCATAAATCTGACTTACGTGTTAAAACAGAGTCTTTACAGAAGGAAGTGAACATCACGGGTATGCCTTCTGCAAATAAGTATTGGTGAAAACCCATTTACTTTAAGTAGTTTCTCCTTTGAACAATTAAACTCTGGTCATTCTTCACATGAACACTGTCTGTTACCTGGGAAGTAGCCTAGAGGTTATCTAGTCTAGTGATTTTTCAATTCTGCTCAGTTCTGTGTGCACTAAAGTTTTCATGGAGGCGTCCCAGAGACCCCCTTCAGCTGTGGGGAAATGTTGGAGGGGAAGAGGGGGAATGATCTGGGATGAGAAATTCTTGGGCAAGTATGTCAGAGCTCTGAGTCCTGTACATGAATCCAATTCAATCAGGCTAGGGCTGCCCTTTCCTATTTTGCTTATTGGGTTTTGATAAACGATTTCACTGAAAGTTAATGTTTACACAGCTTTTGAAAAGGTTGGAACTCAACAACTAAAAAACAAACAACCCAATTAAAATATGGGCAAAGTACCTGAGTACACATTTTTCCAAAGAAGACATACAATGGCCAATAAACACATGAAAAGATGTTCAACATTATTAATCATTAGGAAAGTGCTAATCAAAAGCACAGTGAGATACCACCTCATACCCACTAGGATGGCTACTACTAAAAAAGCAAAAAGTAACAAGTATTGGTAAGGGTATGGAAAAATTGGTACCCTGTGTACTGTTAGTGGGAATGTAAAATGGTGCTAAGGATAACAGTATGGCCGTTCTTAAAAAAATTAAAACTAGAATTATCATATTATCCAGCACTTCTCCTTCAGGGTATGTAACAAAAAGAACTGGAAGTAAGGACTCGAGATATTTATATACCCTTATGTTCATAGTAGCATTATTCACAATAGTCAAGAGGTAGAAGCAAGCCAAATGTCCATGTTGGATGAATGGCCAAACAAAATGTATATCCATACAATGGAAAATTATTCAGCCTTAAAAAAGGAAATACTGACACATGTACAAGATAGATGAAGCTTAAAGACCGTATGCTAAGTGAAATAAGCCAGACATAAAAGGACAAATACTCATGTGAGGTCCCTAAAACAGTCAAATTCATAGACACAGAAAGTAGAATGGTGGTTACCAGGAGATAGAGAAGAAGGGGGAATGGGGAGTAAGTGCTTAGTGAGTACAATTTCAGTTTTGGAAGATGAAAAAAGTTCTGCAGGTCATTATCCTTAGTGGAATGACTGGAAAATAAAAAGTAAAACTCATATGTTCTCACTTATAAGTGAAAGATAAACAATGGACACTTGTGAACATAGAGAATGAAGACTCCAAAAGGTGGGAGGGTGAGAGGGTATGAGGGATGAAATGATACCTATTGGGTACCATGGACATTATTTGGGTGACGGATGCACTGAAAGCCCAGACTTTACCACTACAGAATATAACCATGTAACACAACTGCACTTGTACCCCTAAATCCTTAAAGAAAAGTTTTAAAAAAGGAAAAAAACAAAAAAATTCTAGAGATGGATGATAATGATGATGTCAGTACAGCAATATGAATATGCTTAGTGCCAAATAATGTCCAAGGACTTTTAAGTGGGCTGTACTTGAGTTAAACACCTAAAAATGGTTAAAATGCTAAACCTTCTATATTTATATTTTACTTACAATGGAATGAAACAGGTTGGAAAATCTCTGATCAAATCCAAATCCCTCATTTTACATTTGAGAAATGCAGACTTTGCCATTAAAAAAAAACTCATCAGAGTGGTACATTTGTTACCATGAACCTACATCAAAACCTCATCACTCAAGTTCATGGTTAATTTTAAGGTGTACTGTAGGTGGTGAACATTCTGTGGGTTTGGACAAATATGTAATGACATGTAGCCGCAATTATAGTATCATTCAGAGTATTTCCTCTGTGTTCTGCTTATTCATACCTCTATCTCCCCTAACCCTGGCAGTCACTGATAGTTTCAGTGTCTCCATAGTTTTTCCTTTTCCACAATGTCCTATTGTGGGAGTAATACAGCATGTAGCCATTTCCTATTGGCTTCCCTCATTTAGTAACATGCATTTCAGTTTCTTCTGTGTCTTTTCATGACTTGATAGGTCGTTTTTATTTAGTGCTAAATTGTCTGGACATATCACAGTTTATCCTACTGAAGGATATCTTGGTTGCTTCCAAGTTTTGCAATTATGAATAAAGCAGCTACAAACATCCCCGTGCAGTTTTCTGTGGACATAGTTTTCAACTTCTTTGAGTAAATACCAAGGAGTGTGTTTGATGGATTATATGGTAAGAGTATGTTTAGTTTTGTAAGAAACTGCTAAACAGCCTTCCAAAGTGGCTGTAACCATTTTGCTTTTCCACCATCAAAGAATGAGAGTTCCTGTTGCTCTGTATCCTTGCCAGTATTTTGTGTTGTCAGCGTTCTGGATTTTGGTCATTCTAATAGGTGTAAAGTATATCTCACTGTTGTTTTAATTTGCATTTCCCCAATGAAATATGATATCCTTTCACGTTTATTTCCCATCTGTATATCTTTTTTGGTGAAGTATTGTTAAGGTCTTTGACTTATTTTTAAATTGGGTTGTTTGTTTGTTTTTTTATTGTTGAGTTTTAGGAGTTCTTTGTATATTTTGCATAACGGTCCTTTATCAGTATGTCTTGGCAAATATTTTCTCCCAGTGTGTGTCTTATCTTTTCATTTTCACTTGATCTTAGCCAAAAGGCTGAGAAGCAATGTCTTTTCATTTTCTTGGCAGTGTTTTTCCCAGAGTAGAAATTTTCAATTTTAATGAAGTTCAACATAGCAATTATTTCTTTTATGAATCATGCCTTTTGTGTTGTATCTAAAATCATCAGCGTAAGGTCATATAGATTTTCTTCTATGTTATCTTTTAGGAATTTTATAGTTCTGTGTTTTACATTTACATCTGTGATCCATTTGGAGTGTTGTTGTTGAAGGCATAAGGTCTGTGTCTAGTGTGTCTAGATTCACTTTATTTTCTTTTTTATGCATGTGGCTGTATAGTTGTTTGAACACCTTTTGTTGCTTGTCAAAAATCAGTTGACTCTATTTATGTATGTCTGTTTCTGAGCTCTTTATCCTGTTCCATTGATATATTTGTCTATACTTTTACCAATATTTGGGTAGTGTCACTCCTCCAACTTTATTTTCTTCCTCAAATATTGTGCTGGTTATTCTGAGTCCTTTCTCTTTCCACATAAACATTAAAATTAGTTTGTGGATATATGCAAAATAATTTGCTGGGATTTTTATTGAGATTGTATTAAATCTATATATCAAGTTGGGAAGAACTGACATTTTGACAATATTGATTCTTCCTATCTCTGGGCATGGAATATCCATTCATTTATTTAGTTTTTCTTTCATTTGTTTTCAAAGAGTATAGCTTCCTTCATAAAGATCTTGTACATATTTTGTTAGATGTATACCAAAGTATTTCATTTTGGGGGGTGCTAACATAAATGGTGTTGTTTTAATTTAAATTCCACTTTATTATTGGTATATAGAAAAGAAATGGACTTTTGTATATTAACCTTGCCTCCTGAAAACTTGCTGTGATTTCTTATTAATTAGTTCCAGGAAGTTTTTTTGTTGTTGCTGTTGTCGATTCTTTTGAATTTTCTACATAGACAATCATATCATCTGTGAACACAGACAGTTTATTTCGTCCTTCCTAATCAGTATATCTTTTCTTTCTTTTTCTTTTCTTGTTACATTAACTAGGACTTCCAGTACAAGTTTGAAAATGAGTGGCGAGGGGGATATCCTTGCCTTGTTCCTGATCTTAGTGGGAAAGCTTCTGGTTTCTCACCATTAAGTATAATGTTAGCTGCAGGCTTTTTGTAGGTGCTTTTTATCAAGTTGAGAATGTTTCCCTCTATCCTTAATTACTTGAGAGTTTTTGTCGTGAATGAGTATTGTGTTTTGTCAAATGCTTTTTCTGTATCTATTAGTAAGATCATATGATCGTTCTAATTTAGCCTGTTGAAGTGATGGATTACATTAATTGATTTTGGAATATTGAAATAGACTTATATACCTAGGATAAATTTCAATGGGTAATGGTGTATAATTCTTTTTATATATAGTTGGATATGATCTGCTAGAATTTTGTTGAGGATTTTGCTGTCTATGTTTATGAGAGATATTGGTTTGTAGTTTTCTTATAATGTCTTTGTTGGCTTTTGTATTAGAGTGACGTTAGCTTGGTAGAATGAATTAGGAAGTATTCCCTCTGCTTCCACCTTCTGAAAGAGATTACAAATAATTGGCATAATTTTTTCCTTATACTTGTGGTAGAATTCATCAGTGAATCCATTTGGGCCTGGACTTTCCTGTTTTGGAAGGTTATTAATTATTGCTTCAATTTTAAAAAATAGATATAGGTCTAATAAGAGTGTCTATTGCCTCTGGTGTGTGTTTTGGCAGATTATGTCTTTCAAGGAATAAGCCCATTTCATCTACATTGTCAAATTTGTGGGCACAGAGTTGTTTATTATTGTTTACATGTCCATGGGATCTGTAGTGATGTCCCTCTTTCATTTCTGATATTAATAATTTCTTTCTTCTTACTCTTTTCTAAGCCTGACTAGAGGCTCATCGTTTTATTGATTTGTTCAAAAAAACAGATTTGGGATTCTTATCTTCTCTATTTCCTGTTTTCAGTTTCATTGGTTCCTGCTCTAATTTTAATTTGTTTTCTTCTGTTCCCTCTGGAATTTTGTTTGTTTGTTCGTTTTTGAGACAGAGTCTAGTTCTGTTGCCCAGATTGCAGTGCAGTGGCATTATCTCAGCTCACTGCAACCTCTGCCTCCTGGGTTCAAGTGATTCTCATGCCTCAGCCTCCCAAGTAGCTTGGGATTACAGATGCATGCCACCACGCCCAGCTAATTTTTGTATTATTAGTAGAGATGGGGTTTCGCCATATTGGCTAGACTGGTCTCAAACTCCTGACCTCTAGTGATCCGCCTCCTCAGCCTCCCAAAGTGTTGGGATTACAGGCATGAGCCACTGCGCCAGACTGTTTCCTCTGGATTTAATTTTCTCTTCTTTTTCATGTTTCCTAAGATGGAAGCTTAGATGATTTTTAGATCTTTCTTATTTTAAATGCCATAAGTTTCTCTCTAAGCATTGCTTTTCCTGCATATCACAAATTTGGCTAAGTTGTGTTTTCATTTTCATTTAGTTCAAAATGTTTTAACATTTCTTTTGAGTTTTCCTCTTTAAACCATTTTAATTAGAAATGTGTTATTTAAACTCCAAGTATTTTGTGATTTTTTCCAGTTATTTTTTGTTATTGATTGCTACTTTAATTCCTTTGTGCTCTCAGAGCAGGCCCTGTATGATTTTTATTCTTTTTAATTTGTTCAGGTGTGTTTTATGGCCCCGAATGTGGTTTACCTTGGTGAATGTTCCAGGTGAGCTTCAGAAGACCATGTATCCTGCTCTTGTTGAGTGAAATAGTCTATGGATATCAGTTATACTCAGCTGATTGATTATATTGTTGAGTTCACATGTGTCCTTACTGACTTTCTCCCTGCTGGATCTTCATTTCTGGTAAAGGAGTGTCTAAGTCTCCAACTATGATAGTGGATTCATCTGTATCTCCTTGAAGTTCTATCAATTTTTGCCCAATATATTTTAACACTTTGTTGTTAGGCACATATATGTTAAGAACGTTTATATCTTCTTGGAGAATTGCCTCCTTTATCATTATGTAATGCCTCTTTTTATCCATCGTAACTTTCTTTGCTTTGAAGTCTGCTTGTCTGAAAGTAAAATAGCTACTTCTGGCTTCTTTGGGTGAATATTAGCATAGTCTTTCTTCTGCATGATTTACTTTTTTTTTTTTTGACTGAGTCTCACTGTGTTACCAAGGCTGGAGTGCAATAGCGTGATCTGGGCTCCCTGGAACCTCTACCTCCCAGGTTCAAGTGATTCTCCTGCCTCAGCCTTCTGACTAGCTGGGACTACAGGCACGTGCTACCGTGCCTGGCTAATTTTTGTATTTTGGTAGAGATAGGATTTCGCCATGTTGGCCAGGCTGGTCCTGAACTCCTGACCTCAAGTGATGTGCCCACCTCAGCCTCCTAAAGTGCTGGGATTACAGGTGTGAGCCACCGTGCTTGTCCATCATTTACTTTTGATCTATGTGTATGTTTATATTTGAAGTGGGTCTCTTGTAGGCAATAGATAGTTGGGTATTAATCCATTTTTGAATCCATTCCAATAATCTCTGTCTTCTAATTGGTGCATTTAGACTACTGACATTTAAAAAGGATTATTGATATAGTTGGATGGATATCTACCACAGACACTTCACTTTTTTCCCCTGGCAACATAACTTGGAGGACTTTCCATATCAATCAGTACATGTAGATCATCCTATGATTATTTTAACAACTGCCTGCTATCCCACTATATGGATGTACCACAATTTATTTAACCAGTTCTATGATGACAGGCATTGAGGTCATCAAATCTTTTGCCCTTGTATCTATCTTTTTAGTTGTACCTCCCCTTCTGGACTGTTAGTGCTTCTGAGGGCATAGACTACAACTTACTCATTGTTGTTCTTTCAGAACTCTGCACAGTGCCCCAGCCTTAATATTACTACTTATTAAGGAAACGAATAAATGAATTTAGCAAGCTGGGCCCAGTCACTTTAGATTCTGGTCCTGATTCCCTATGCGTGGGCTTTCTGAGCATGGGTAGGTCACATCACCTTTCAGGCTTCAGTGTCAACACTGAAGTAAGTAGATAAAATGACACAGTGCTTCTAGCTCTGAACTCCTATGATTCCTGGTGTTAGACTGACCTAGGAGCTGATCCCCTTTTCAGTCTCAGGACTTGAGGTGAGGAAAAGTTCCTCTCCTGCTGTTGAATAAAGCCCCATCTTACCTGGGCCACCACTCAGAGCTTGGTCTGTTCAAAACCTGGTCATTTTCATTTGGGAGTAGACATGAAGGGTTGGCTGGTCCTTTAATCCTCAGGGCCATGTGAGGTGGCTCTGCACTGGGATGAAGATCTTTCTGTAAGAGGTATTTGCCTGGGCTACAGTGTCTGATACAGAGTTTCACACAGCCTAAGTGCTATTTGCATAAAATGTCCCCATAATGCAGGGCATTGTGCCTTTTCTGCAAAGAAAACCCATTAACAAAGGGCCTCACAATGATGGGAAAATGGATGTTAACATTTCTGCCTGACTGATAATCTCTGATGTTACCCTTGGGAAGCCCCAGCTTTCAGAATGATTTATTTGTCAGGTTTTGGCGTTTTTTTAGTCCCATAATCGGTTATCTGGCAAATGCAGCAGTGGGCAGTAGCAGGAGGTTCAGTGCTGGAAACAAAATTAAGAGAGTTTTATGTTTTCTGGGGATTTAGTTGTTTCTGTTTTCTGGGGTGAAGTTTTCATTTCAAACAAAATAGAAAGGGACAAAGAATCAGTAGGCTTTTTTGGGTTTGGTTTGTTGTTCTTTGCATGTCCTTTTTTCTTACTGCCAAACTCTCAAGTTGAATATTTGGCCCTCAGGGGTGAAGCTGGGGATGAGGGTTTTTTTTTTTTTTTTTTTTTTGACATTTCCTGTGATATCTTTGGTTTTATATTTCTTTGTTGTACAGAAACCTTATAGTGATATTATTGGAGAATTCGTCAGGTGATATCTTGGCAAGAGGCCAGAGCACAGTCTGTTTTGCTGCACATAACAGGCATTGGGTGGGAGAGATGCCCAATGGCCAGAACCTTAGAACTCCTTTCTGAGGGAGAATACAGGAGATTATTTGGATTAGTTACCTGCTCGCATTTTCCTCTTGCATTTGAAAGCATATTACCTCAGTTAAGGTCCCTGTGTGCTTCTATATAATGTCCATACATAGGATAGCTTTTTTTCCCCAGTGGCTTCTCAAAATCCCCCAGTTTTATGAAATAAATATTACACTTAATGCCTGAACTTTTGAGTCCAGGGTTCATATCAATAACATTAGCAACAGTGCTAATTATGGCCTCTAGTGGCTTCTCAGAGTTGGACAGAGTCTTTGTTGTATGGACGAAGGTCCACTTACCACTCAACAGATACATTATTTATGGTTGGCATTGAAATAGGTGTTTTGGGGTAGAGCATATGGTTTCTTCTCTCACTAGATTTACAATGTAAGAGAAAGAAGAAAAATTAACCATATAAGATAGATCTGAAGTCTGTTTTTGATTATGTCAACAAAAAGTCAAACTTTGTAAAATATTTGAAGACATTTACTCTGAGCCAAATATGAGTGACCAATGGCCCGTGACACAGCCCTGAGCAGGTCCTGAGAACATGTGCCACAGCTTGCTTTTACAAGTTTTAGGGAGACGAGGCATGAATCAATACATGTAAGAGGTACGTTGGTTTGGTCCAGAAAGATGGGACATCTAGAAGTGGAGGCTTCCAGGTCATAGACAGGTTGAAAGATTTTCTGCTGGGCAATTGGTTGAAAAAGTTATTATTTATAGAAAGGAATGTCTGGGTTATGAGAAGGGGTTGTGGAGACCAAGGTTTTATCATGCAGATGAAGCCTCCAGGTAGCAGGCTGCAGAGAGAATAGATTGTAAATGTTTCTTTTGTTTTCTTTCTTTCTTTCTTTCTTTTTGAGATGGAATTTTGCTCTTGTTGCCCAAGCTGGAGTGCAATGGCACGAGCTCAGCTCACTGCAACATCCGTCTCCTGGATTCAAGAGATTCTCCTGCCTCAGCCTCCCAAGTAGCTGGGATTACAGGCATGCACCACCATGCCCGACTAATTTTTTGTATTTTTAGTAGAAACTGGGTTTCACCACGTTAGCTATGGCTGTTCTCGAACTCCTGAACTCAGGTGATCCACCCGCCTTGGACCCCCAAAGTGCTGGGATTACAGGCATTAGCCACCATGCCCAGTCTTGTAAATGTTTCTTATCAGACTTAAAGAGTCTGTTCTAAAGCAATTCCAAAAGTAAGGAGGCTGCAATGAAGCATATCTAGTTCCCCCTTCCCATCATGTCCTAAACTAGATTTTTCAGGTTAATTTTTGGAATGCACTTGGCTGAGACGAGGGGTCCACTCAGATGATTGGCGGGGGCAGCAGGGAAGGGGGGGCACATCTTAAAATTTTATTTTTGGTTTACAATTAAGTACCAGGGGAGTGAAAGAAATAGTAATATATGCTGACTGTGATGTCCAAGATAATCTGTGTCAAGAGGAATCAAAACTCCATGGTCCAGATAGAGGACCCTTATATCTTTAACCTCAAAAATGTGATGTAACCTGGTGGGCAGCTCAGAGTTCAGACTCCAGTAACTCCACTGACAACACTCCCTGACCTTGAACTTGTCTCACACATGAAAGGTTTTTGCTCCATTAGGAAAGAAAGATGACTAAAATGACCTCCATCAGGGGGATAAGATGTCTCATTCATTAATTAAAGAAAAATTCTTCAGGGAGCCTTACACACTCCTTGGGATAAGAATTGCTACAGCCTCCCTTCCGACTGATCATGAAACATGTTTTAGGACAAGGTTTTGGCACAGAAAATACAATCAGAATCTCTCCTACAAGAAGTGTAATTACAGGGGGCTTTGAATTGACAGTGGCTGACAAGATTTCAACCAGCGCGTTAGAAAATCAATGACAAACACGCTTTTCGACATCAGGGAGCTGTGATGGGCTCCGCTTGATTGACAGCCAGGGAGATATGTGTAACTATTTGCAGTTTACCTAATATTGGTTTATAGGCTTCTTTACTGGCCAACAACAGTGTTTCTCACTTTGCTCTGCCTTCCGTTTGCCAATTCCCTGTAGATGAGATGAAACTGAATCTTATTATCACTCCACCTTGAAGGGGAATTCAAACGCATCACTTTGAGGTCTAAAAAAAAGTCTCTAATCAACAGTAGGTAAATGAAAAAGTGAAGTAAAATATGATTCATAAAAACTGTTCCCACGCAATAGTTAAGCCGCTCTGCTGATTTAGACAGGGGCATGTTTTAAAAGTTTCTATCTCTATACTTTAAACAAATATTAAGAGGGATCAGCCATCATTTGTGTGTGTGTGCGTCTGCATATTTGTCACAAAGATATCTGCAGTTTTTCTAAATAAAAATGAAAATTTAAAATTGGCCTCATGGTTTTTTAAAAAGCATTTTCTAGTCACCCAGTTGGTTCTTAGAAGTAAAACTCAGAATATTCGTTCATTTTCTTGGCTGAACCCTACAAAACGTCTACTTTGCAGGACAAAAGCAACTGAATATTGGCAGTTTCATAAGGATCAACCAAATAAACCAGCTAAAAGCCTTATGATATCTTGTGCATTGTGATTTCAGGAGCTCTGCAAAGGACCTATAACCTTAATACTAGATAAAACCACCTGTTCTGTAATCTAAAAAATGATTATATAATAATACATAGTAAATAGTATGTAAATAAAACATTGAGAACAACACATCTCTCAACTTGAACTAAAGTATCCATGACCAACATCAGAGTCATTCCTTGGAGCTAAATGAGGCAGGCACACAGCAGAGCCCAGATGGCATAAAGGGGTGGTGAGTGGAGGCACAGGGACATGGAAAGGGTGGCCTGTCCTCTGCAGAGCCTCTGGAACAACTCTGTCAATGCTATGATGCTTACCTTTCTGAAAGGTCATCCTCCCACGTTATAGTCAGTGTCTTGGCTGAGGAGTGGTGTTCCCAGATCTACATAGGTAGATTGCATAGTCACTGACTCTGCTGGGAAGAGACCGGGTTGTTTCTCATTCAAAGTCCTGACCGCTAAGATGTGACTGATCCTATATGGCCTTTTGGGCCAAAATGGAGAGACTAAAGACACAATTGAACAATGGCCAGACCACATATAAAAACAGAACACTGATCTAAAACCTGCTCCAGAAACCAACCCCCTTATCTACACTAACCAGCCCAGCAACAAGTCGAAACTGTAGGAGGCCAGATTGCTATCTCTAGTAACAGTCCTGAAAGCCAAAAAATCACTTCTGTATCAGTTGGCTCCAAATGGCCAGGACTTGATTAATAAATCACAGCTTATCCTCATTTTTGTCCCTGCTTCCAATTTAGGACCCACCAGAGAAAGCCAAATATGCTTCCCTAACCAATCCCATAGGATGCCGTGCTCTGAGTCTGCCCGCCTGCAGCCTCCCCATGCCAGCAGTCTCCAATCAGGACACACCTGATGCCTTCACTTCTTGCCACTGTGAAGCTCTTCCACTCCATTGCCTGTCTTTGAGTCTCTGCCAAAATGCAGTTGATGCTGGCTAACTCTCTTGTTATAGTAAGCTCTAAATAAACGGTCGTTCTGTTTTCCTATGGTTGGTCTTCGTTTATTTCCAAAAGACACTTCACCTCCCACCTGTGGTTCTGAACATCCGCACATTTTAAAGTTACTGCTTCATCAGCTTCTTTGTCCTGGCGCCAGGCCTCTGTCAGTCCTCAGGCACTGGAGGTTTCCATCCCCTCTGGGCCACTGTATACCAGGCGAGGGAGGCAGGAGCACTGCCCTAAAGCTGTTTATCTACGTTCCTTCCACTGCTTCCCTCTGACTATGGCTCTGGTGCCATTGTGGAGGTGCCCGCGGGTAAGGCGGGGGAAGCAGAAAAAGTCCCTTTTATTCTTGGTTGTTTCTAAATAATCCCCTTTCCGACAAGGTCAGGCGTAAAAAGTGGAGTGGGGATGAACGTTCCGGCTTCTGCTCTCCTTGCTTTCCCTTTGTGTCTCCTCCTGTCTCCTCCCCTAGAATCCTCGGGCAGACTTTGGGCTTCGTTCCCTTCCTCTGTGTCTTTTTGTCCACCTCCCATAAGGCAACACCCGTCTCTATGAAACATCCTCTACACTATGAAAGAAACAGTTCGGGCGCGGTGGTTCATGCCTGTAATCCCAGCACTTTGGGAGGCCGAGGTGAGTGGATCACCTGAGGTCAGGAGTTCGAGACTAACCTGGACAACATGGCAAAACCCCGTCTGTATTAAAAATACAAAAATTAGCCGAGTGTGGTGGCCGGCACCTGTAATCCCAGCTACTTGTAGAATTGAGGCAGGAGACTCACTTGAACACGGGAGGTGGAGGTCTCAGTGCGTGGAGATCCCGCCATTGCACTCCAGCCTGGGCAACAAGAGAGAAACTCCTTAAGGCCCAGCACTTTGGGAGGCCGAGGCGGGTGGATCACGAGGTCAGGAGATCGAGGCCATCCTGGCTAACACGGTGAAACCCTGTCTCTACTAAAAATACAAAAACAAAATTAGCCAGGTATGGTGGTGGGCACCTGTAGTCCCAGCTACTCAGGAGGCTGAGGCAGGAGAATGGGGTGAACCTGGGAGATGGAGCTTGCAGTGAGCCGAGATCGCGCCACTGCCCTCCAGTCTGGGCGACAGAGGGAGACTCCATCTCAAAAAGAAAAAGAAAAAGAAAAAAGAAAAAAGAAAGTGTCTCTAGGTCTTGTAGAACCAAGTCTGCATCCACATCGGTAGATGACTAGCTGCTGCCCCAAGCCCCCTCATTGTCCCACCAGCGCAACCCCTCCGCAAGTACACCTGGAGTAACAGGTGGCAGCTGAACTCTGCTCCAATGGTAAGGCCTGGACTGTTCTCATTGGCTAGTACCTGGTCTATTCTCATTGGCTGGTTCCCAGTACTTCGGTTCCTGGACTGTTATGGTTCACTGGAGCCTGGTCTATTCTCATTGGCTGGTGATTGGCCTGTTCTGATTGGCTGGTGCATGTGCAGCACTGGTTGTTGAATAATTCAAATTTCGTATCTACCCTAACTCCTTATCTCAGGCTGCCTGGGAGGAAGGCAAGACATACAGAAGTGCAAATGAAAACACATGTGAATATTTTAAAAACTATTACTCCTTTATAAGCAGAGCTCCTAAACTCCTAAGCCAACCCCCAGTGAAGCTAGGTAAGCAAGGCGCGAGTCTTACTTTCTGCATGCCAGCATGTTGCATTGTGCTTACGGCCCACGCCCTTGAAATCAGACAAGGCTGTGCTCATTCCAGGCTCTGCCACTGACCAACAGGATAACCTTGGGTCGGCTATTGACTTGTCTGAGCTCCAGAGTCCTGATCTGTAAAGCAGACCAATGATGCTTACAGTGATGTGAGGATTTAATGAGGTGATGTGTAAAATACACAGCCCAGTGCTTGGTTGATAGACAGTACCTATTGGTATTTTTTTTAAAAGGATTTTTTCCAATATTTTGAATTTTAACAGAATCTTATGAAGCTTTGGTGTAGAGTACATGAACATAATATCAACTTTGTGGATTTGAGTTTTAACAGCATGAGTTGGGGTGTTCTTATCAAGGTTCATGGTTGTAAATATGAGAGTTGGAGTCTGTCTTGCATAAGCAGAAGGCGGATTTAATACATTCATTCTCAATAGGGGTTACATTGCCCAGAGAAGGAGTGAAAATTAGTCTCTGAGGACCAAAGAAAAGCTTAGATATTGCAATAGTCCGTTACCCTCCACAGGGTCATCGTCTTTAAACAGATGTACTGAATATCTGTGATATTAAAATGTCATTGGAGGGGATGGGGAAATGGGAATGATCAGAGGAAAAAAAAAGTCTTAAAAAGTGTTTTAGTGGTTATGGGGGTGTGTGAAAAGGTTAAGAAACGTGGGAGGAAGTGGGTAGCTCTTAGAGTCTATGTGTCTGTACACTGGCCAGAATACCAGGCTCAGATCAGGGGACATCTGTCAGCCAGACAGAGGTAGGCTGGTTAGGACATGCCATGATTGCCACCAGGTCACAGTTATTTGGGCTCAGTGTCTGCCATCTTCTCATTTTCAGGCAGGTGTATTTCTTATCTTCTAATCTTTGACCTGCCTTCCGGGAGGCGAGTGGAGATGCCACTCATTCCTTTCAGGCTTTCCCTTTCTCCCTGAGGGGGATGGGTCCTTGGTTGCTAAGCCTGTTCTAACCTCTGACCAGTCTATGGAATTTTCTTGACTCATCCTTTCTTACTCAACTTTCTTATTCTCAGTGCCTCCTTCATCAACTGTGCTCAGGTTCCCTAAGAGGGGAGCCCATGGTTTTCTAAACTCAGACTGGAAAGGGTTGGGTAGCTGGGGCCAGGGAAGAGCAGGGGGCAACTGAACAGCTCTAGAGAGGCTTTTGTGGTTGTCGTCATCGGGATTGCCTGGCATGCTTCTTGGAGACAGTACTTTGTCTTGTCTGGCATAATTAGTGCATTCGTGTATTTTGTACAATGCTTTAGTGTTTAGCATTTCACATACGTTATCTTATTTGACAGCAACAACACTGTGATGGAACCCTTGTTATGAAATTCATCTTCTAACTGAAGACATATGTGTACAGGAAGTACAAACTATGAAGATATAAAGGTTCAAAAGGAGAGTTGGAAAGAATCAAGATGTATTGTACATTCTGAGACTAATCAAGGTCTTCTCTGATTTCAGTCCCAGTGATAATTAGGTAGCTCTGTCTTTCCTAAGTTGAATGCTCTGTGGCTACAGGGCTACTTGAGACATTCCCTCTCAGCCCTCATAGCTGGCTAGCTGGTTTCAACACAGTATTATTTATGTTCATAAAGTCCTGAAACAGTAGTGCCTCTGTCCCCCAGCCACATTAATCACTCCTCTCTCTGTGTGCGACCACTGAACCGCACACGTGCCTCACATTCCTGGCTTGTTTAGTATATGCCCAGTACTGGGCTAAGTGGTTTTACATGGAAGATTTCATTTAGCCTGTGCAGCAACCCTCAGACATAGGTACTACTATTATGTGGATTCTATAGATGCAGAAACTGAGGGTGTAAATAAACTGTGATCATACAGCTAAGAAAATGGCACAGCTGGGATTCGAATATCCATCTGCCTGATTCCTGAGCCTGAGTTCTTCCTCTCTGCTCTACCTGTTGCCTCTTTGTTTATAAATTGGCTTCTCCCATTGGTGTCTAAACTCTTGAGGACAAGGGCCATGACTTTTATATTTTGCCCCTAGAAATAGTGCCTGGAACATAATAGATCCTCAAACAATACTTGTTGGATTAATGAATGGATGAGTGAATGGATATCTCTGGAGCCTTTCTGAAAACACAGTGTTCAGGTATCAAGTGAATATCCTTGCTCAGGATGCTTAATTGGCTGAACAATACATTGGCTCAGAACTTTGAACTCTCCTCTAATTTCCTGAGGGATACGGCTGTTCTCTTCAGTCTGGGTGTGGCTGCGTTTCCCTACTGATGTCTTGTTTTGTTCTTCCTGTTGAGTGAGAACAAACACTCTAGCCAAGTAAATCATGAGGTTATTATAAAAAAATGGGGGGGGGGGCTCATAAGAATAAAAAGTTTTAAATAAATTACAGTCACTTAAAAACATGTATCATACATGGAGTGACTTGTAGAGAAAAGTTTTCTTTTCTGTTTTGGCTTTTTTTTTGGCAAATAGTCACCTACTAATCAGGGAATTATTAGATATTTGAAAAGGTGGAGAGAAAGCTAGAAACTGTGATGAATATAATGTTTTATATATATTTTAAGGTCTTCCTTTTCTCAATTTTGCTTCAGAAATAACATGGTTTTGGGTGTTTTACTTTGCTTGAAAGCTCATTTTCAACTTCATAGGGAAAAGGTTTCTCTCTTCTTAGAGGTTCATCTGTTTGAACTTCTGTCTCTGAGTGCTATCAGCTCCCTGGGTACCTGTGATTATTTAATTACCTGATTATTAGCTGAATATTTGTCTTAAAGTGTTTGCATATTATTGAAGAAAAATAATCAATTTCTTCAGAAATGATTCACAGAATATGTTCTTAAGATTCAAAAGTGGAAGGTAAAATTATGAATGAATTTATGATGTAATTCCAAGTCAGAGAAATCAAGGAAAAATGTAGTCTCTAGCTCCTGTATTGACCTTTCTCCAGTAGAGTCTCTTTGAAGTGACCTTCTCTCTCCGTCTTCAGAGCAGATGACCTGTCTTTGCAAGCAGGCTTCTGAGGCAATTATTTTTGGTTGACTTTCAGGTTAACATTAAAGGCAAAAGAGGGACCCAGGCTTAAAAAGAAATGTTTGCAGCATGGACCAGAGCCAGACTTATGGGGTTCTCTGCCTTCTACACTCCTCTAGTGAGTGGTTCTTAACTTTGGCTGCACATTAGAATCACCTAGATATCTGGAATTCTGATTTACTTTTACTGGTGTATGACCCAGGAATCAAAGTTTGATAAAGCATCCCAGATGATTATAATGTAGAACCAAGATTGAGGGTCATTATAAAGGAATTTCATGTAACACAGAACAATTGCTGGAAGTCCTAGCTAGAGCAATCTGACAAGAAAAGAAATAAAGGGCATCCAAATTGGAAAGGAAGAAGTCAAATTATCCTTGTTTGCAGATGATATGATCTTATATTTGAAAAAGTCTAAAGACTCCACTAAAAAATTATTAGAGCTAATAGATAAATTCAGTAAAGTTGCAGGATACAAAATCAACATAAAAATCACTAGCATGTCTATATACCAACAGCAAACAATCTGAAAAAGAAATCAATAAGGTAATGCCTTTTACAATAGTTACAAATGAAACAAAATACCCAGGAATTAACTAAGCCAAAGAAGTGAGAAATCTCTGCAATGAAAACTATAAAATGTTGACAAAAGAAATCAGAGGACACAAAAAAAGGAAAGATACTCCATGTTCATGGATTGGAAGAATTAATGTGGTTAAATTCTCGATACTAACTAAGGCAGTGTACAGATTCAAAGCCCTATAAAAATACCAATGACATTCTTCAAAGAAATAGGAAAAACAATCCTAAAACTTATATGGAATCAGAAAGGACCCAGAATAGCCAAAGCCATCCTGAAAAAAAAAACAAAACAAAACAAAACAAAGCAAAAAAACCCAAAAACTGGAGGAATCACATTACCTGACTTCAAATTATACTACTAAGCTATTGTAACTAAAATAGCATGGTATTGACATAAAAACAGACACACAGACCAATGGAACAGAATAGAGAACCAGAAACAAATACATACGTCTACAGTGAACTCATTTTTAACAAAGGTGCCAAGAACATACATTGGGAAGAAAATAGTGTCTTTAATAAATGGTGTTGGGAAAACTTGACATTTATATGCAAAAGAATAAAACTGGACCCCTATCTCTTTCCATATACAAAAATCAAGTCAAATTGGATTAAAGGATTAAATAAAAGACCTCAAAGTATAAAACTACTTAAAGGAAATACTGGGGAAGCTCTCCAGGGCATGGTCTTGACAAAATGTCTTGTGTAGTACCTCATAAGCACAGGCAACCAAAGAAAAACATAGACAAATGAGATTATATCAAGTTAAAAAGCTTCTTCACAGCAAAGGAAACAATCAACAAAGTGAAGAGACCACCTAAAGAATGGGAGAAAATATTTACAAATCACTCATCTGACAAGGGATTAATAATAAAAATATATTAGAAGTTCAAACAACTCTATAGGAAAAAAAACCTAATAATCTGGTTAAAAATGGGCAAAAGATCTGAATAGACATTCTCAAAATAAGATTTACAAATGGCAAACAGGTATATGAAAAGGTGCTCAACATCACTGATCATCAGAGAAATGCAAATTAAAAACCACAATGAGATATCATCTCACCGCAATAAAATAGCTTTTATCCAAAAGACGGGCAATAACAAATGCTGGTGAGGATGTGGAGAAAAGGGAACCCTCCTACACTGTTGGTGGGAATGTAAATTAGCACAATCACTGTGGAAAACAGTATGGAGGTTCCTCAAAAACCAAAAATAGAGCTCCCATATGATCCAGCAATCCTACTTCTAGGTATTTACTCAAAATAAAGGAAATCGGTACATAGAATATATCTGTACTCTCATGTTCATTGCAGCAACTTGAGTGCTCATCAACAGATGAATGGATAAAGAAAATATGGTACATATACAGAATGGAGTACTATTCAACCATGAAAAAGAATGAGATTCTGTCATTTGCAACAATACGGATGAAACTGGAAGTCATTATATTAAGTTAAATAAGCCAGGCACAGAAAGACAAACTTCACATGTTCTCATTTATTTATGGGAGCTAAAAATTAAAGCAAACTCATGGAGAGAGACAGTAGGAGGATGGTTATCAGAGGTAGTGGAGGGAGGGAGATAGGGATGGCTAATGGGTACAAAAATATATTTAGATAGAATGAATAAGATCTAGTTTGATAGCACAACAGGGTGGCTACAGTCAGGAACAATTTATTGTACATTTAAAAATAACTAAGAGTATAATTGCATAGCTTGTAACACAAAGTAAAGATAAATGCGTGAGGTGATGGATGACCCATTTGCCCTGATGTGCTTATTTCACATTGCATGCCTGTATCAAAATATTTCATGTACCCCATAAATATATCCACCTACTATGTACTCCCAAAATTAAAAATTAAATAGATTATAAAAACAAACAAAAAAGAACAATTGCTAATGGAGAAACAAAGGGGTGAGAGTTCTCACTGACTTAGCTATAGAAAACCAACCTACAAGTAAGAATCAAGCGGAAGATTTGTCCTAGCTCCCTGGGTGCTGATTGTTTAAATCCTTACTTCTGAAAATGTGGTCTAGACCAGCAGCAGCAGCAGCAGCAGCAGCAGCAGCAGCAGCAGCAGCATCACCTGGGATTTTGAAAGAAATGCAGAATCTCAGCCCTTGACCTAGGGAATCAGAGTCTACATTTTCACAAGGTCTCCAAATGATGCATCTGCCATGGTGAGGTTTGAGAAGCCTGACCTAGATAGACACAGGGCGGAAGAGAATGACCAAGGGTGGGGAAATGCCAGCTCTGGGCTTCATACAAGGCCAAGCATGGTTTTTGTTGACACCTTATTTAGCTGATACATCATGATGGTTCTTGATTCTCAATGCTCTCCTAGAAATTTTCCCTGTGACCCAAGGGAAGTCCCTTTAAATGGTGTTTTTCCTGTCCCCCATCTTACATTTCTTGGGAAAGATGGTTGCAAGTGTGTTTGCTGCTGGTGGTAGTTGGCCTTATTAAGCTCACTCTTACCCCCTATGTCTAATTATATATAATACAGTTAAATAACTATTACATTAATATGCCCACGGATACTGAAACCAGGAAATTTCAGAGCACATAGGATAGACTAAAAGCAAACAATACATTTTCTCAAGAGACAGTATACACAGGAGTTAGAAGTGTATTCCAAAATTGCCTGAAGGTATTTATGAATCACAGTTCCAGAAGAAGTGGCCAATATGAGAAAGGGAAGGGTAATGGTCAAAGCTGAAAACTGCCACTTACCACTTGGGTAACTCTTTGAGCTTTTATTTTCTCACCTGTAAAACACATAATAGTATGCAGCCAACCTCAAAGGATTGTTTTAAGAATCCAGAGAGAAAGTAAATCTGAAAAATTTTGTAAAGTGTAAAGTGCTTCACACGCATAAAAAATTGTTGTGGCTCTTATTATTAAATCTAAATTCTTTGGAAAGCATTCCTTAGGGAGGACAATTCCGTCTTCCTAAAATGTGGCCTGGAGCCTCCTTTGACTTTTGAACCTGGACCTGACCCAGTGTGACAGTTCTCATGTCCCTAAAAAATATAACCATGATGTTGGTCCCAGGAAAACTTCTGTATATATCTGTTTAATAAATTGGAAATAGAATACATATGTAATTTGATTTTCCTGCTTTTTTTCCGACAACATTTCAGTTTCCCACTAATCATTAACATTTTTCCATGTTGTTAAATATTATCTGAAAACATTTTAAATTACCCTAAAGTATTTCATATTCTAAAATTTGTTTTTTCTTGTATTATGGGACACATTAGGTCTCTAATTTTGACTCTTATAAGTAATAATACTGTAGTAATTATCATTAAACATAAATATCAAAATGCATCTCTTTTTTCCTCTTAGTGTATACTTCTAGGAATGGATTTATTGGGTCAGGCTTAAAGATTTTTAAGGCTTTTAATGTATACTGTGATGTGTCCAGTGAAACGTGGCTTGAAGTGTATGAGGATGTTTATTTTAACATGTGCTCATCAGGGGTAATAACCTTTTTCATCTGTTTGAAAGGCAAATATGATACTTTAAAATTATAATTTGCATTGCATTGCTTTATTAGTAAGGTTATATGTTTTTCATATGTGGATTGACCATATACACTTTTTCTTTTGTTAGTTTCACCCTCATCTCATTTTTCTCTCAGAGTATTTTTATGCATCTGTAATTTTATTATCCTCACCCACAGCACTGCTCCCAAAGCTGAAAATTGTAAGCCAGGTGAGGAAGAAGGAAGTCTCCTTTCTGTTCCCTTTTGTTTTTAACTGATTTTTTTTTTTTTTTTTTTTTTTTTTTGAGACAGGTTCTCAGTCTGTCTCTCAGGCTGGAAAACAGCGGCACGATCTTGGCTCACTGCACCCTCCACCTCTTGGCCTCAAGGGATCCTCCCACCTCAGTCTTCCTAGTAGCTGTGACTACAGGCACATGCCACCACACCCGGCTAATTTTTTATATTTTTTGTAGAGAGGGGTTTTCACTGTGTTGCCCAGGCTGGTCTTAAACTCCTGAGCTCAAGTGATCCACCTCCCTTGGCCGCTCATAATGCTGGGATTACAGGTGTAAGCCATTGGGCCCAGCCTCCTTCCTGTGCTAATAAGGCTTTGCATTGTTCATAAAATTAGGCACTAATTCTGCCAGGTATAGAGGTTATAGTCAAGATAAAAACAGTATTCTCAAATATCATAATCTTTCTTATTTTATCACTGAATGATAATTTCAACTTCTAGCACTTTCAAAATCAAATGAATTCAAATTAGCCAAAAATCTAAACTGAACCTTGCTCAATTGATAAATGATAGAACATCTGTATAAATCTATATAATCCGGTCCAACATTCTATAATTCGAATGTGCATTTGTCTATGTAATGTCTGGATTCTGATGTAGAATTTGCTGAGAGTGGTATTACAAAAAATAAATATATGTGATTACAGTTGTCCCTTGGCAGGGACGACTGCAGTCCCTACTCTCATACCGAAGTACTTGTTTGTTCAAGTCCGTGATATAAAATGGGATAGTATTTGCATCGAAACTCCACATATCCTCGCATATACGTTAAACCATCGCTAGACTACCTATAATACTCAATACAGTGTAAGTGCTTTGTAAACAGTTGTTATAACATATTATTTAGGGGATAATGACAAGTTCGCACATTTTCGGTACAGATTCAATCACCCATTTTTTTCAGATACTTTCCATCTGTGGCTGGTGGGAGAACCCATGAACACAGAGGGCTTACAGTACTGTAATATTAATAATATAAAATATGTTACTATTAGATATACAGGTTAGAATTGATACACTTTATAGAATCTTATGTACTATTCATCAATATGCTTATTTTGATAACACATTTCTTATCTACTATATGCATTAGTATCATCTAAAGCCAAAATTTGCTAATACCAGAAGAAGGAAATAATAAATATTTGAAGATGAGGAATCTTGCTCTGTCCTTATATACTGGTCTTCATAGAAAACCATTTTCATTCATCTTAGACCCGGCATTAAAGGTTTGGTAGTAGCAGAGCCCAGAGAAGTCCTCAGGCATGGGGTTTTGCCCGGCAGGTGTTGGTATGGCCAACCAACAGGGTCACAGTGGGTCACTGCCCGAGTTGACGCTAAGTTCCTTTCCAGGGATTGCATGGCTTCATTCCAGAAGTGTTATTTCCTCGTCTCTTAGACTTTACTTCCATGGTTAAGAGAAGTGATAAAGTGGCTCATTCATGTAGGCTTTCTGTGGAGAACTAAAAGCAAAGATGGGCCCAAGGTGTAATCAATGAAGATTTTCCATCAGAATCAACTCCATATTAAAACAGACATCCTGATAAATGCAAATAATCCATAAATTCTTACTAAATAAGATGGTATTTTAAAAGAAATTATAAAACTCACGAAGGATTTTAAAAATAACATATGCCCACACTGTACTTAATTTTACATCAACATTGATCCTGAGACAAGCCACCAATTCAAAAGGGGATGGAGCAGAAAAGAAAAACTCTAAATTACATGTAGATATTGATTAAAGGCAAAATTGATTAAGGTAAACTGATTTATAAAGCACACACACACACACACACACACACACACACACTTATATATATATATGCATGCCTTAGAATTGAGCAGGTAAGTTTTAACTGTGATGGGTTGATTCTTAGGTCTGATTTTCTCTGCCAGGACTCAGTAGAAAGCTCACCCCAGATCATTTTAATAGGGTCCAAATATTTTGGGAACTCTTTAACCCTTGACTTCAGTATGACGTGGTCTTAGAGAAGTTCTGGAATAAAAGCCTGTGACCCTCAACTTCAAGTGAGAGGGTATGACTTGAGTTACATTGAATGTGACACTTGAGGCTATAATTGTCCTGCCCTTATTTAAAAAAAAAAAAAGCTTATATTTATTGAGTGTTTACTAGTGCCCAGCCCATGCCTCCTCTTATTTAATCCTCACAATAAACAAATGATTTAGGTTCAACTATTTTTTTCATTTTACAACTGAATAAATGAGGCTCAGTGAGGTTAATTAAATCACCCGAATATGTTTCACAAAGCCACAGTAAAAAGAAATAAACAAAAACCAGTTGTTTTTCAAGTGCCTTGGCAAAGTCAGTTCTGTTCCCTGTGTACCCCGGATTCCCTGCCTGCTGTTATCAGTTTCGGAAGATAATCAAGACTCACTCCACTTTGCTAAACCAGGCAATGTCTACTTTTTCATAGCACTAGCTACTTGAAAAGGAATGTTAATTAAAATGAATCCACAAGTTCCAGTTTCAATAATAAGAATGGGTCGTATTTCATAGTTAAGATGCTATGTTGACAACAAACACTTATCAAGTATAAAATAACCACAACTATATATATATATTTTTTGAGACAGGGTCTCACTCTGTCCCCCAGGCTGGAGTGCAGTGGTGCCATCACCGCTCACTGTAGCCTCTACCTCTCCGGTCTCGGGTGATCCTTCCACCTCAGCTTCTCGAGTAGCTGGGACTACAGGCATGTGCCAACACTCCCAGCTAATTTTTGTATTTTTTGTATAGAGTCGAGGTCTCACCATGTTGCCCAGGCTGGTCTCGAACTTGTGGGCTCAAGCAGTTTGCCCACCTTGGCCTCACAACGTGTTGGAATTACAGGTGTGAGCCACCATACACACTCAGGTGCTCACAATCATTTTTAAAAGACAGATTTGTGTGTAGTTGGTCTTATTTTCCCAGGATATGGCACATATGTTGGTGGGCTTTGGATCAAGCCTAACATCTGAGAAGATGGTAAGATGAATTTGATTTACATTTCTAGAAACTGATTTTTTTCCCCTCAACTGATAAGTTAGCTGACAAAGGGGAAGGAAACAGGTCAAGTATAGTTTGATACCAAATTACCCTCATTATATTAAAAGAATAAAGTGATGACTTGAGCTCATGTAGATCAAAGAGAGAATGTATTGTGACTGTATTCTTGTTGTGGACATTGTTTGACCACAGCGTCGTGAGGAAACTGGAGCTGACGTAGCTGATTGACCCACATGAATGTGGAAGTCGGGTTCTCCCCAAAACATGCTCAGTCAGGACCAGGCCACAGAAGTGAGGCTAACCTGGGCTTCTCACCTGAGAATAGTAACATCGTAGTAATGAAGGCTGATGAAGCAATAGAAACAGGTGTTCATCAGATATTTTCCTAGAGATCTCCGGATCTCAGCCCACCAAGGCAATATGATCATGTCAAAGTGATTCTGCCTCCCCTTCCCACGATCATGATGCAACTTTTGTTTGTTTGCTTCTTATTTACTGAAGTAGTTAAATTTTCAATTTCCTCAGGAAATTATGCAAAACCTCATTTCCTGTAAAAAACACATCCCAGAGATTCAGATTTTACATCAAAAGTAAATATAAGGGATTGAGATTACTATCTATATTTTGAGCTGAGTCAAAAATTGTCAAAGAATGTGATTAAGTATGGCTATTTAAAATAAAGTAACAATTATAGAATACGTCTTACTTCATGGACTTTGGAATGCAAATACACCAGAATACAAGGACACTCATTTTTTTCCCTTTGTTTTGCTTTTTTCCTCTCTCTCTCTTTTTTTCTGGCAGTATGCAACTAGCTGAACAGTTCTATAAATAGAAGGAAGTATCATCATTTTAGGAAATATAATAGAGATAAATATGGAACAATAGGAGACAGATAGGAACACGTGGGCAGTCCTGTGTCTGCCATTAGCTATTCATGAAGTTCTGGGATTCCCAAATACACATCTAACAGTGATAGTCATACAGCTCAGAGGGAATCAGGAGACATCCTGGAGAAATAATTGTCTATGAGAAATTGCCAACACCTAAGTATAAATTAAATATAATCTTGACTAAGCGTTCCCTGTCATTAATCATTGTGCAACGTCGCTCCCATGACCTCCGGGCAGCATTAAACTCCAGGAAACATTCCTGGCTCTGTTCTAAAGACGTTGTGTCTGGGCCAGGAGAATGTGGGAAATAGCTTCTGCCCAGAGGATGGGGGTGGGTCTGGTATTCGACCCACCCCTCGACCCCTTCAAGCCCCAGGAAGGCAGACATTTCCACAGTCTCTGGGTCTAAAGATGACTAAGTCACGGGAGTAGTTTCTCATGCTGTTTCAGTGCTATCAGCTCACAAGGAATCTGCAAACACCACAGAGACAATTCCCTCTGGAAATGAGGCCCAGGCAGTCTGATTGGAGAACCAGAGACTGAAGAATCCTGAACGAATATCCAGAAATCATAATGTTATCTGCTTTGAAAGTAGTATTCCACTCACAGCTTTAGTTTACAGGGAGTATTCACAGACAATTCAGGGACCTCCAAGGATTCAGAATTATATACCATGGCAAGATTGTACACTTTACATCAGGGACAAAATGGTGCTAAAGTCCAAGCCCAAGCGTTCTCCCTTTCGGTGCACACTGAGTGATTTCATGTTCTCTCTTATTTTGCCACCCACTGAGGGAAGCGGTTAATTTAAAAATATGAGGTTACTCCCCAGTCACAACCACTGCACTGGTTTCCTGCCGGGCCATGCTTCAGGCGTTGGGTGCTCACACGACCTTGACCAATACAAAACTAAATCAGCCAAGACTCGAACACAAGACCTGAATTTTGGCTCTTGTTTAAACCTCAGAATCTGACCCTCTCTCCACGTGGCTCCTGACTATCTTGTCCTGCCCTGCAGTGCGTGATATTATTTTTGTGCACTCTGCTCTCTTTGCCTTGCTTTGGCTGCTGCCCTATCTGGTAGAGACCTAGGGTTGGCTTTCACTCAGTTCCATTCCAAAGCTGGAACAGGAGGAAAACAAGCTAGTTGCAAACCGTTCAGATGGCCTAGTCCAGGTTTAAAAACATTGCATCATGCACTCCTGTGGATGCAGGGCCAGCCATCTAATCCTATTCTCTACCAACAGTTGGTGAGGGCTGGAAGTTGGCCAGTAAGCCGGTCATGTGTCCTGGGGCCAAGGATTGCATTGGATTGTTTTGTTTTCCATGAAGGGAGTTGGTTCCAGGAAACTCAGTAGTGAGGAAAGCAGGGAAACGTTGCAAATATGCAGAATCTGAAGTGGTTGAGCCTGAAAAGGGGCATCCACACCAAGGTGGCAGAGACGGCACTGAAGCACTGTCACAAGAGCTGCAGATCTGAGGCCAGACGATGGCAAAAGGCAGTTCCATGGGTTAAAAAAAGAAATGTGTGAAAAGTGCTTTAGGAAAAGTTTTTGTGGATAAGCACTCAAAAAATGGTAGCTGTAAGGTTAATGTTTAAAGTAAGAGAGTTCTAGACCGTTCTTCTGTCTTTGTAATCATGCTCCTTTGAAAAACCGTATTTTTTTTCTGCCTACCTAGTTTCCACGTTAGGACAGGGTATTTCCCCATTAGGATTAAAACAAGCGTTTTAGAGTTGGATTGCCTGGATTTGAGTTTCAGCGCTGCCATTTGCCAGCTATCTGACCTTGGTCAAGGTAACCTGTTTGAGTCTCACTTTCCTAAGGTGATAGAACGCACCTCCTAGGGAAGTTGTAAAGTTTCAATGAGATACTTGGTGACAAGCCTTTTTCACAGTGACAGGTATTATTATTTTTGAATATTTCTTGTTTCTACTCTTGAATTTCCTTTTTCATTTTTTTGTTATTTAAAAAAAATGGTAGAGATGGGGGTCTCACCATGTTGCCCAGGCTGCTCTCAAACTCCAGGGCTCCAATGATTCTCCTACGTTAACCTCCCAAAGTGTTGAGACTGCAGACATGAGCCACCACGCCCAGCCAATCTTTCCCCTTTTATAAGAGTGAAATAATATATGTTAAATATCTGGCGTAGTTCTATATGAATATTAGCAGTCGTTATTATTATTATTAGCAGTAGTAACGGTCGTAGTCGTAGTAGTATATTTGGCATAGCTTGCCTCAGATTACTCAGAGAGTTCACGACAAAGCTGAAGTTAAAAACCAGGCCTCTGAAATCCCAGCCTATAGAAGATTTCATTTAAAGATGGTACCAAGTCCGGGCACGGTGGCTCATGCCTGTAATCCCAGCACTTTGGGAGGCTGAGGCGGGTGGATCATGAGGTCAGGAGTTCGAGACCAGCCTGGCCAACATAGTGAAACCCTGTCTCTACTAAAAATACAAAAATTAGCCGGGCATGGTGGCATGTGCCTGTAGTCCCAGCTACTTGGGAGGCTGAGGAAGGATAATCGCTTGAACGTGGTTAGCGCAGGTTATGGTGAGCTGAGATCGTGCCATTGCATTCCAGCCTGGGCAACAGAGTGAGACTCCGTCTAAAAAAAAAAAAAAAAAAAAGATGGTACCAAAATGCCATCTACCTTTACTCAATGAAATCAGTTCCTGTTCCTGTTTATTTTAGATAGCATTTAGCAGGAATTCTCAAAGACTTTGACTTCTCCACTGGAGTATCTCCAGGCCGCAGTGCAAATTCCTAGGAGACGCTTCTCACTCCAGGTTTGGAGTATTCCCTTAAATATATTTGCATGAATGAAACTGGAGGTAATTACCTTACATGAAAGAAATTGGAAACAAATCCAAATACCCTATGTTCTCACTTATAAGTGGGAGCTAAATGGACATGTGGACATAGTGAGTGGAGTAATAGACATTGGGAACCCAGAAAGGTAGGAGGGTTGGCGGGGGGTGCTGAGGGATGAGAAATTATCTAATAAGGACAATGTACACTATTTGAGTGATGATTATACCAGAAGTCCTGACTTCAACACTATACAATATATCCGTGTCACAAAACTGTGCTTGTATCCTCTAAAGCTATAAAAAAGTGTACATATATTTACTGATTATATAAATATAAAAGACCATTCTTTTATCACTTAACATTTTCACTTTAGCTTTAAATCTCCAGGTGGCTGCAATCGTTAAAGATCTGGCTTTTTAATATACAGGATGGGGAGCAATGGGTGACCAAAGTATGAATACTAACTCCTGTCAGTGGTCCACACTCTGGGTTTTCCCTGCGGGCCAAACACCACCCAGGGGGTGGCACTTGGAGAGGTAGAAAGGATTTAGAACTCTGTTTTTAAAAAATATCTTACCACCTAAGAGATTCTTTAGGTTCCCGTGTTTCTAGCCTACTCGCTAATACCAGGGAAGCCTCCTAATCTTAGGCTTTCTGATGGAGGCAGGCAAGTCCAAGTCACCAGGAGAAGCAGATTCTTAAAGCTGCAAGTTGAAAGAGGCTCAGTGGTTATGTAAAACTGAGAGGGGAATCTAGAATGAGTAACTATTTAAGTTGTTGTAAAATATGGATCACCTTTGAGAGTGAAAAGACAACTCTTAGTAAATATGCTTGTGACAGCCTTTGAAAATCGATGTAATTCACCATCAAAGAGAAAAAACATATGGCCCTCCCCATAAATGCAGAAAAAGTATTCGACAAAATTCAACATCCATTTATGATCAAAACTCTCAGCAAATCAGGAATAGAAGGAAATTTCCTCAATATCATAAAGAATATTATTAAAGAAAGTATGCTGATAATATCATACTTAATGGTGACATATTGAATACTTTCTCCCTAAGATAAAAGATAAGGATGTCTGCTAGCACCTCTTCTATGCGAGGTTTTATTAGAGGTCCTAGCTGGTGCAATGAAGCCAGAAAAGAAAGAAAAGTCACAAAAATTGTAAAGGAAAAAAATAAGACAATTAAAATGGCAGACAATATTATTTGTGTATAAAACCTCAAGAAATCAACAAAACAGTTCGTGTATTTAATAAGGTTGCAGGATACAAGGAGAATATACAAAAGTCATTTGTATTTCTAAATACAAATAGTAGCAAACAATTAGAAAATAACAATTCCATTCACAATAGCACCAAAACGAAAAAGTTTAGGAATAAATTTAACAAAAGCTATACCACTATGGTGAAAACCAAAATATTGCTGAGAAAAATTAAATAAGGCCTAATAAATGAAGAAATACATGATATTTGGAAGACTCAATATTGCCAAGATGTCAATTATTCCAAAGATGATCAAAGAAACAAAACAAAACAAAAAAACAACCTTCTGCCTCTGGAAAGACAATATAAAGAAAATGAAAGCTCAAGACACATATTATGGGAAGGTATTTTCTTCTTTCTTTTTCCCTTTTTTTTTTTTTTTTTTTGAGATGGAGTCTAGCTTTGTTGCCCAGGCTGAAGTGGAGTGGTGCGATCTCGGCTCACTGCAACCTCCGCCTCCTGGGTTCAAGCAATTCTGCTGCCTCAGCCTCCCAAGGAGCTGGGACTACAGGCTCACGTGGCACATCTGGCTGATATATATATATATATTTTTGTATTTTAATAGAGACAGGGTTTCACCGTGTTGCCCAGGCTGGTCATGAACTCCTGAGCTAAGGCAATACACCCACCTCGGGCTCCCAAAGTGCTGGGATTGCAGATATGAGCCACCGCGCCCAGTCGGGAAGGTATTTTCAATACGTTAATCGCCATAAGGGACTAGAGTCAGGGATATGTAATGGACTTCTATATATCCAAAATAAGGACAAACAGTCCAATAAAAAAACAGGCAAAAGATGGAATAGATATTTTACAGAAGAAGATGTGTGAATGATCGATAAGCACACAAAAACATACTTAATTAACATCATTAATCATTGGGGATATGCAATTTTTTTTTTGAGACAGTTTTGCTCTGTCATCTGGACTGGAGTGTAGTGGTATGATGACGGTTCCCTGCAGCCTCAACCTCCTAGGCTCAAGTGATTCTCCTGTCTCAGCCTCCTGAGTAGCTGGGACT
Organism: Homo sapiens; assembly: GCF_000001405.40. Lineage (NCBI taxonomy): Eukaryota > Metazoa > Chordata > Mammalia > Primates > Hominidae > Homo > Homo sapiens. The sequence continues at coordinate 4,755,961 of NW_018654717.1, forward strand.
ACAAGCATGCACCACCATACCCAGCTAATTTTAAGATTTTTTTGTGTGTGTGTTTGTAGAGACTGGGTCTCATCGTGTTCCTCAGGCTGGTCTCAAACTCCTGGGCTCAAATAGTCCTCCTGTCTCGGACTCCCAAAATGCTGGGATTATAGGCATGAACCATCACCCTTGACCAGGGACATGCAGATTGAAACTGTACTGAGATGCCACTTCACACACACTAGAATGGCTAACATTTAAAAGACTGATAACCACCAAATATTAGCTAAGATGTGGAGGAACTATGACTGTCATATATTGCTGGTAAGTGTATAAAATGAAACACTCATTTTGGAAATCTCTTTGGCAGCTTTTTGTTTTTTAGAGTTAAACCTACACCAATCTTATAATCCAGTGAGTTCACTCTTAGTTATATATCCAGGAGAAATCAAAGCTATGCCAATGGAAAGGCTGTGTAAGAATGTTTATAGTGGCTGGGGGCAGTGGCTCACACCTGTAATCCCAGCACTTTGGGAGGCCGAGGTGGGTGGATCACAAGGTCAGGAGATCGAGACCATCCTGGCTAACACGGTGAAATCCCGTCTCTACTAAAAATACAAAAAATGAGCCGGGCGTGGTGGCGGGCGCCTGTAGTCCCAGCTACTGGGGAGGCTGAGGCAGGAGAATGGCGTGAACCCAGGAGGCAGAGCTTGCAGTGAGACGAGATCATGCCACGGCACTCCAGCCTGGGCAACAGAGCCAGACTCTGTCTCAAAAAAAAAAAAAAAAAAAAAAAAAAGAATGTTTATAGCAGCTCTGTACACAATTCTTCAAACTGGAAACAACCCACGTATCCATTAACAGTGAAATATACTCAGCAATAAAAAAAAATAAACATGCAATAGTATGGCTGAATCTCAGAAACATTATGTTGGGTGAAATAATCCAAACTTATAAGAGTTCAAATGTATGAGTTCATTTATATGAAGTTCAAGATTTGGAAAGGATAATCTATGGTGATAGAAATCAGAATAGTAGTTACCTGTGTATGAGGGTGAGAGGGGTTTGAGGGGTGACAGTATGAGGAAACCTGGGGTCATAGAAATGGAGTATATCTTGAGTTGTTGCTTATACAGGTGGATCTACTTGTCAAAACCTATAGAATTGTACTCTTAAGAGCTATAATTTTAACTATAAGTAACTTATATTTTCAGAGAGTTGGGGTCTTGCTGTGTCACCCAGGCTAGAGTACAGGGGCATGATCACAGCTCACTGTAGCCTCGAACTCCTGGGCTCAAGGAATTCTCCCACCTCAGCCTCTCAAGTAGCTGGGACCATAGGCATCCTCCACTGCTCCCAATTTGTAAGTTTTAACTTGATAAAAACTACATGGAACCGGCCAGGCGCGGTGGCTCATGCCTGTAATCCCACCACTTTGGGAGGCCGAGGCGGGTGGATCACCTGAGGTCGGGAGTTGGAGACCAGCCTGACCAACGTGGTAGAGAAACCCTATCTCTACTAAAAATACAAAATTAGCCGGGTGTAGTAGTGCATGTGCGTAATCCCAACTACTCAGGAGGCTGAGGCAAGAGACTCGCTTGAACCTGGGAGGCAGAGGTTGCAGTGAGCCAAGATCGCGCCATTGCACTCCAGCCTGGACAACGAGAATGAAACTCTGCCTAAAAAAACAAACAAACAAAAAACAAACAAACAAAAAACCTACATGGAATCAATATGTAAACCTGGGCAGTCCCAGGGAAACTGAGATATATTGTCACTTAAGTCTGGAGGTTTCCAGTGCAAGCTGGCAAAGTGACAAAGGAGTCCCTGTTTCTTAGGAAGAAGTAACGAAAAAACTAGCTGGTCATTGAGCAGAAAATAGCCTCCTTTCCTGATCCCCAAGTACAAAGAATGGAGACAGTGATTGAAGAGCTAACTGAAGCAGAAGACACTGATGACACAGGTCTGCTCTGACCTGGGTCTGCCCTGGAAACTATTTTCTCCGTTGTAATTGCAAAAACTAGAGGTCCCTAAACGCCTGACCATCTGGTCCCTGCTTGCCACTGGGACCCAGAGTGCTGGAAGGGCAGTTTTTTTCTGTCATATTGGCCCTGGGGCTGATTTTCTGGATCAGGAACTTTAGAAAGAGAGCTGGTGTATAATCCTGAAGCATCCGTATGCAGCCTTTTTCTCCGCTTGGATTTGTACTTGAAGGACTCTGTTTGCAAAATGAGATTTCTGCTCAGCGGAGTTGTTTTTCTGAGAGACGCTGAATCAATGGCTTCTTTAACATGCTTTGATTACCTAATCTCTAGGCTGCATTTCAGCTTTTTCTTTAATTAAAGGATCCTTGGAGCTGAACAGAGAAAATCAAATCTCTTGAGAGCCTCAAAATTGGTTCACAGATGGAAAGAATATTTGGGAACTACCAAGTGCTAGTTCCCATTCTGGCATCATTCCTTATACAGAAGGGATAAACCAGAAAGTTGCTGGTGTTTCAACACCACATAGAAGAAAAAAGAGAAAAGCAAAGGGATCTCCTGTCTTGTAACTGTTCTTTTTTTTTTTTTTTTTTTTTTGAGATGGAGTCTTCCTCTGTCACCCAAGCTAGAGTGCAGTGGAGCAATCTCAGCTCACTGCAACCTCCACCTCCCGGGTTCAAGCGATTCTCCTGCCTCAGCCTCCAGAGTAGCTGGGACTACAGGCATGCCCCACCACACCCAGCTAATTTTTGTATTTTTAATAGAAATGGAGTTTCACCATGTTGGCCAGGTTGGTCTCGAAATCCTGACCTCAAGTGATTGGCCCGCCTCGGCTTCCCAAAGTGCTGGGATTACAGGCATGAGTCACCACGCTGGGCCAGAACAGTTCCTTTTAAAAGGTCTTCCTCAACTGGCTTCACTTGACTGTTCCTTATAGTTTAATATTCCGAATAGGTTTTCCCTCATGGTTCTCCATCAAGGTTGAGGCTACCGTACCCTCCCTACCTTTCAGACTGGACACCTTGGACTCACTTTGATTCCTCACTCTTCCTTGCCCTCCGCAGATGATGATGGTCTCCAACTCCTGCAGAGGCTTCCTCTTTCAGGCCCAACACATCCATCCACGCTCATGCCCAGTAACACCTCCCCTGTTTAGACCATTTTTTCTTCTTCCCTAGACCATTGCAGTTGACCTGAACTGACTTCCTAACCTCTAGTCCCTGTCCCTGTCCAACCTATCCTGCAAAGGTATGTCCACTTATTTGACCCAATGTCCAGCTCAGATCACCAGATTTCCATATCACCACATCTTCAGTGGGCTACCATCACTTATGGAATTAAGCACAAACTCTTCTCTGAATCAGTTTTCTCTACTCTGACTCTCCCCCACAGCTTCAGTTGCCTGATTTCCTGCCATGCTTTTTCAACTCTGGGCCTTGGCTAATAATATTTCTCTTTTTTGGAGTGTCTTTCGTCTCTGTCCATTTCATTCTTTAATGCTCATTCCAGTGCTAATTCCTTTACGAAGTCTTCCCTGAACTTCTAATTGGATGTGTTCTCTTCCTCCTCTAAGCGTCTTAGTACATTGGAAGAAAATCTTATGAACGTACTTTCTGTCTTATAGTAAAGTCTACTTTTGTCTTATTTCCACTATTAGATTATAAACTCCTTGAAGGCCAGAGCCATGTTTGGCTGATCTTTGTAAGCCCGTCTATATTTTATACAGTACTTAACACATAGTAGTCCTTTAAAAACTATGAGTTGACTTCAATTTAATTCCTACTACTTAAAATTTGTATTTATACTACATAGGTTAGGATTAGTGTTAGCTCTCACTTTCCAAATAATCTATTGTGGTCTTCAGTTGGTATGACACATTAAAAATGAAGGGAAAGGGCTGGGTGCTGTGGCTCATGCTTGTAATCCCTGCACTTTGGGAGGCCGAGGCAGGCAGATCACCTGAAACCAGGAGTTTGAGACCAGCCTGCCCAACATGGTGAAACCCCGACTCTACTAAAAATACAAAAAAATTACCCGGGTGTGGTGGTGTGCGCCTGTAATCCCAGCTACTTGGGAGGCTGAAGCAGGAGAATTGCTTCAAGCTGGGAGGCAGAGGCTGCAGTGAGCCGAGACTGTGCCATTGCACTCCAGCCTGGGCAACAGGAGCAAAACTCCATCTAAAAAAAAAAAAAAAAAAAAAAAAAAAAAGGGAAAGGCCAGAAGATAGGACTGCTATTTAATGAATTAATTTATTTATTTGAGACAGGGTCTCACTCTGCCACCTAGGCTGGAATGCAGTGGCAAAATCATTGCTCACTGCAGCCTCAAACCCCTGGGAACACGTGATCCTCCTGCCTTAGCGTCCTGAGTAGCTGGGACTACGTGTGCATGCCACCACACCTGGCTAATTTTTGTTTTTTTTGTTTGTTTGTTTGTTCAGTTTTTTGTAGAAATTGGGTCTTGCAATGTTGCTCACTCTTGTCTCTAACTCCTGGCCTCAACCAATCCTCACACCTCTGTCTCCCAAAGTCCTGGAATTACACGTATGATCCATCGTGCTAGGAGCAGCACTGATGTTCCTTAATACTCTTCAACTTTAAAGCATCATATACTTGTCATGGCCCTCAGTTAAATAGGTGCTGTGCTACCTTAGGAAATAAAATATGGGAGGTGTAAGAGAGCTGTGGGTCTTAGGAATTGTCTGGGAAGCAGAATGAGCTGGAAGCTTAGTGGTGGTTAACGACCTGCCCTGTTGCCTGTGACTACTGCAGAGTTATCAACAACTCAACAACTTTGGAGTCATGACCATTTTTCCTTTGGGGAACTGTCTACAAAATATTATTGTTGCTGTGTCTTAATATTTGATAAGGTTGTTCTTGCAAATGTCGGGCTTTCTAGGCATCACTGGAGGAACCTAGGAAAGAACATTTTTTTCTAAGGTTGAATGGGGTTTTAAAGGAAGAAGAGTTGGGTTTTATGATAGTAGGAGAAATTGAAATTCTTAAGGGAAAAGTAAATATCGATGGGTCAGAGGAATTTGGGGGAGTTGAGGTTGCTTTTACATTTCTCTCTCATTACCTAGAGATTTCCTTCTGGAACTCTTCTCGGATAAAACTGTGATGTGTTTCATTACTGTTTTAAGCAAGAGAGCCAGTATCTGTCCAATATGCTCAATAAATATTCACTGATGAATTGCTAATAAATGCCCCTGACTATTTCAAATGGATTAGCTCTGCTTGATGTGAGAGCCATATGGAACTTCCATCTAAGATGACTTCTATCCCTCCTGCAGTTCAGAGATGACCTGGAATTGCATTTGTTTTTTGTTTGTTTGTTTGATAAACCGTGAGTGTATGAGTCCATTCTCACGCTGCCAGTAAAGACATACCTGAGACTGGGTAATTTATAAATAAAAGAGGTTAATTGACTCCCAGTTTTGCATGGCTGGGGAGCCTCAGGAAACTTATGATCATGGCAGAAGGGGAAGCAAATATGTCCTTCTTCACAAGGCGGCAGGAGGGAGAATGAGAAACAAGTGAAGGGGGAAGCGCCTTATAAAACTGTCAGATCTCATGAGAACTTACCACAATCATGAGAATAGCATGGGGAAAACTGCCTCCATGACTCAATTACTTCCCACCAGGTCCATACCATGACACATGGGGATTATGGGAATTACAATTCAAGATAGATTTAGTGGGGGACACAGCCAAACAGTATCAGTGGGCTTCCAATATCTTTGATACCCCAGCCCTGGACCCCTTGACTGCACATTAGACACTTCATTTGGACATGAGTGGATCCTAAATTTGATGAGAAAGGCTCTTCAGGTTATTTTTCATGTTTTCACAGGCCTTGCAGGTCACATGCTTATTTTATTCCTAATCTTCATCCAGTTTTTCCACTCCGTTGGTTTCCTCTTCTTCCATTGTGAAGAGCAGATTCTTAGGTAGGAGACCATTTAAGCCAATATGTTCATTGGAGCCTGTGAGGAATGCGGAACTCCTTTTAGTCCTTGGCAAGGAATGACCGTCCTAGGGAACAGAGCAGGAAGAGAAGAATCTGAGCCAGAGAGGCCACCTCTCCTCACTGTTTCTGGACAATGCTTCAGGATGTAGCCTTTGGGCTTCAGGAACCAAGTCCGGGTTTTAATCAGGACAGTGGTTCTGAAACAATTCTTTTCTAAGACAAGGTTTTCCCTGCCTCCACGGGAAGAAGTCAATGCAGAGGAATTACTGTCAACTGGGTTTCTACCTTTCTGATTTAAGGCTGTGATTAACTTTTTGAAAGTAAACATAAACATAGTAAAAAAAAAAAAAGAAAAGCTAGAATATATTGATAAACATTTTAAAATAAAAATTTAAATATTATAATGCAAAAATAGTATTATATACATATCAGGTAGATCCTTCTAGATATTTTTGCCAAGCAAATATACACACACATATATTTAAAAAATATATTCATACTAATTGCTCAGCCATCTGGGTTTTGTTTTTCTTTTTTTATTATTTATTCACTTGTTTGAGACAGTCTCACTTTGTCATCCAGGCCGGAGTGCAGTGGCACGATCCCAAATCACTGCAACCTCTACCTCCTGTGCTCAAGCGATTGTCTTGCTTCAGCCTTTCCAGTAGTTGGGACTGCAGGTGCATGCTATCATGCCCAGCTAATTTTTGTATTTTTTTTTTGTAGGGGTGGGGTTTCACCATGTTTCCCAGGCTGATCTTGAACTCCTGAGCTCAAGCCATCTGTGCACCTTGACCTCCCAAAGTGCTGGGATTACCGGCATGGGCCACCGTGCCTGGCCTGTTTTTCTTTTTTTAAAAACACATTACCTTGTGTAGTACTTCCCTGTCAATGAGTGTAGATATATATAAACATTTGCAGTGGCTTCATGAATATGATTTTAGGAATGTTTTATGTTAAGTGGTACGTATCGTTGTTTCAGCATTGGGTTTGAATGAAGTTACAGTCATTAATATTAATTATTTTGCTTAATTTTGTTTTGCAATGAAGATTCAGGGTTCTTTTGGTGTAATATTCATATTAATATTTGGGGAAATAATTCTGACATTTGGCCTAAAATATTTTTTATGTAACCCAAATATTATGATGTATCATTCGGGGCCATGCTTTCTCTCATGAGTTTAGGTAACATTAGGCTCTAGCTGTTATTCTAGGTTGGAGGAGTTCAGAGTCCCACCCTCCCCCCACAAATTCTACATTTTCCTTTCATTTTTCCCTGTTTTTATTTCTGATCCCATAGATTCTTCACTGTGTCACCTTAAGTCCGATTTGGATGTAAAGCCAAACGCAGAGCTTGCCTTTCTCTATTTCCCACAGGCAATGCAATCTCACTGTGTTTTGTGCTTAATTGAAGATCTGAGGTGTCATAGGGAAAAACCCCATCATGTGTTATACGGCCTTTCTCATTTTCCAGATAAACACCTTCCCCACTGCATGCTGGCTCTGCCATCACCCCCACGCCCTGACCCCCAGATCACACTGTTCCTCCATTGAGGAGCCACTCCATGTGGTGGGACAGTCTGTCCAGTGGGGCCCCCAGAATTCTGGTGAACAAAAATAGCACAGACATATAACTGTTTATTCATTTTGGTTTATTTGAATGGAATTGGCTACCTTTTGATGCTACCATTCAAATGGACTTATTCACTTAACATACAGTTATGGACCTATGGAGCAAAAAACAACCCCAAAGGATGAAGTCCAACCTCCTCATTTTGCAGAACAAGAAACCAGGGGCAATATTTCCAACCTCACTGGGATCTTTAGGACAGAGCCTTACTCAGAATTTCAAGTTTCTGGATTTTGATACCACTTCTTTGCATCATGAGACAAAATCAGGAGCCCTTTCCCCACCACAGAGAAAGAAGGAAGCCCCTGCAACTCCTAGCCCCATCTCTGGGTCAGCAGGATTCAGGACCAGAAGATACAGACAGAAGAGGTACAAAAAACATACAGATGCTTTAGGCTCTAAAGCATCCAGGCTTAAAAAATAGGCAGAAATTAAAGGAGACGAGTTTTCAAAGAGCAGAGAAAGAGTGAACTATTAGCATTCAAACCACGAAATCTAACGTTACTGCTGTGACTCCTGCTTATCTCATAAATCTGCCTAAGCCTTTGTGACCAGAAGGATGACCTCAGTTTGGGGACCCTGGGCCTGAGATCCAAGATTTTGAAGATTTGTTCCAGGAGTCGCCCTCTGACTCTTTATACAGTCCTTGGGAATTACCTTAACCTTTTTGTGAACTGACCCCTTTGTAAAGCAAGATAATATTACCTGCCTTCATACGATGCCTTTTAAAAATCTATGAGATTCCTGGGGGAGGGGGAAATGTTGTGTTTTAGTTTAGAGGGAAAAGTCATATTTTGCCCTTTCACCAACACTTAGATGATTATCTGAGATAAACAACGTAATTAAGTTTGTGTGTGTGTGTATGTGTGTATGTGTTTAATACTTTTCAGTTGAACAAAATGTAATCACCCCATGAATGGTTTCACCTTGACTTTTGAAAATCTTTGTTTCATCTTGGGATGTTATAGCTCATATCTCATAGGAAAAACCAGCCTTGGAGAATAAAATTTGAAATTATAGACAAATATTGCCATCTCTTGTAGAATGTGCCTGGAAATTCTCTTTTCTCTGTATGCATTATATGCATTATATTTTCTCTGTATGAATATAACATAATATAGAGTTCTTGCTGGCTACTGATATCTAGTCCCTTGAGTTAGGGTGCCAATAGCTTATTTGCAAGTCAGTTTGCTGATGGCTTCTAATTGTACAGCATCTGTTCTAATCTCTCTAGTGAGCTTTAAAATTGAATTCTAACTTCCTGCGGAGTCTCCACTTGAGTATTCCAAAGCCAAGTCCAACTAAAAATGTCCCGAACAGAGCTCGTCATTATCTTCCCTGTCCTCCATACCAAGTTGTCCTCTGTCCCAGTTAGTCATCCAAGCCTGACATTCATTCCACACCATTCCCCTTCTGTCACCCAGCACTTTTGAGTAATTGGGAAATCTTATGACTATATCTGAAGTCTTTCTCCTTTTCTTTGCAGTATCATAGTTCTAATTCAGTCCCTTATAGCTTATCTGAACTACTGCTACTTATTCAAAAAATATTTGTTGGGGATATATTGCATGCCAGGCACCATTCTAGGAAAGTGGGATACAATTAGTAAACCAAATGTACAAAGATCCCTGCCCTAGAATATTTAGGGGAAAAAAGAGGGCAGAAAATAAAAACATAATGAATGGGTAAATTGTACAGCAAATTTAAAAAATATAATGAATTTTAAGAAATTATGTAGTAAATTTAAAAAATAACTGCTGGCTGGGTGCGATGGCTCACGCCTGTAATCCCAGCTCTTTGGGAGGCCAGGGTGGGCAGATCACCTGAGGTCAGGAGTTCGAGACCAGCCTGACCAACATGGTGAAACCCCATCTCTACTAAAAATGCAAAAATTAGCCAGGTGTAGTGACACATGCCTGTAATCCCAGCTACTCGGGAGGCTGAGGCAGGAGGATCGCTTGAACCTGGGAGGCAGAGGTTGCAGTGAGCCAAGATCATGCCATTGCACTCCAGCTTGGGCAACAAGAGTGAAACTCCGTCTCAAAAAAGAAATGATAATAATAACTACTATGCATAGGACATAGGTGCTAGGAGGAATTTGGGTGGAGAAGCTGTAGTTTGCCTTTTTAAATAGGATAATTGGAGTAAGCCTTTTTGAGAAGATAACATTTTATGAAAGGCTTGAAGGAGAAAAGCCACGTGTTCCCTGGGGGAAAACATGGCAGACAGAGGGAAGGGGCCTTCAATTGGGAACGTGGCTGCTAGTGTGCAAGTGAAACAACACAGCTGGAGGCGCAGGAGCCAGGAGAGAGTGATTAGAAGTGCGATGAGGGTTCACTATGTGAACTTCAGCTGAACAGGACGAAGAGGCATTGTGGAGTTTTGAGCAGAGGAATCATGGGACCTGATGTTTGTTTTAAGAAGGTCACTCTGCCTGCTGCCTTGAGAACAAACTTAAGAAACCAGAGACAAACCGGGAGACAAGGCTGGCAGCTGTAGCCACAATCCAGGTGAGAGATATTGGTGGCTGAGACAGGGTGGTAGCAGTGGAGGTGGTGAGAAAAGGCAGGTTGTAGAAATATTTTGAAAGTAAAGACAACAGAGTTTCTGGAAATACTGGGTTGCAGTGTGAGAGAAGTACAGGAGCCAAGGATAGGGAGTTTAGTGACCCAAAGGGTTTACCTGCCCATGGCTTCTCCCGGTGCAGCAGTACTTCCTCTGCGAAATTCATCTTCCCTCCTTTTTTTTTTTTTTTTTTTTTTGACGGTGTCTCACTCTGTCATTTAGGCTGGAGTGCAGTGGTGCGATCCTGGCTCACTGCAACCACTTCCTGAGTTCAAGCGATTCTCCTGCCTCAGCCTCCTGAGTAGCTGGGATTACAGGCACATGCCACAATGCTGGGCTAATTTTCTTTTTTTTTGTATTTTTAGTAGAGACGGGGTTTCACCATGTTGGCCAGGCTGGCCTTGAACTGTGACCTCAGGTGATCCACCTGCCTCAGCCTCCCAAGATGTTGGAATTACAGACATGAACCAACACACCTGGCCCCCTGCTACTTCCAGGGCAATCCTTCTATGGGGCAAATCTGGACCTGTCTCTCCTTGCTTAAAAACTTCAGCAGAATCTCTTTCCCTAGAGCCCCTTCATTTGTTACAAGATGCCATCTCTGAGGTGGCCCTGCCTCACCATCTTCGTTTCCCGCTTCTGTACCTTGTACTCCAAACCATCTGCAGGGGCCTGCCTGCACTTCCAGGAGGGATTATGATTTTGCCTCTTAGACAATGGTGTTTTATGTTTTCCTAGTTTGCTTGTGTGATACCTTGTTCCTGAAACTCTCTTTTCTGCTGATTTGCCCAATTGTTGGGAATTCTATTTGTACTACAATATCAGACATTTAACCGGGGAAGTGGAGGTTGCAGTGAGCCGAGATCACACCACTGCACTCCAGCCTGGGCAACAGAGCCAGACTCAATCTTAAAAAAAAAAAAAAAAAAAAAAAAAAAAAGTAATGCTGTATCCTGAGTTGCAACCTGGAGCCCTGTGGACTGGGGAGGGATTTGGCTTAATTTAGATTCACAAAGACCCAGACTCTGAGCATTCTTTAGAAGCTGGACTGGCCACCACCCGTGGGTACCCACTGTTCCTGGTGCACACCTGCCATAACAATCATTGCATCACATTAAAATGTGTCTGTTTCTTTTGGGACTGAATATAAGTTCCTCACTCCCCTCACCTGCAAGTACTTGGCACATTACTGGGCACAAAAAGTAAAACTGACCCTTGGACAACACAGATTGGAACTTCAGAGATTCACTTATATCCAAATTTTCTTCCACCTCTGCCGCCCCGAGATAGCAAGACCAACCCCTTCTCTTCCTCCTCCTCCTTCGTCTACTCAACCTGAAGACGACAAAGATGAAGACCTTTATGATAATTGATGTTCACTGAATGAATACTAAATACATTTTCTTGGCTGGGTGCAGTGGCTCACGCCTGTAATCCGAGCACTTTGGGAGGCCGAGGCAAGCAGATCCTGAGGTCAGGAGTTGGAGACCAGCCTGGCCAACCTGACGATACCCTGTCTCTACTAAAAATACAAAAATTAGCTGGGTGTGGTGGTGTGTGCCTGTAATCCCAGCTACTCAGGAGGCTGAGGCACGAGAATAGCTTGAACCCAGGAGGCAGAGGCTGCAGTGAGCCAAGATCACACCACTGTACTCCAACCTAAACGACAGAGGAAGATTCCTTCTCAATAAATAAATAAATAAAGTACATTTTCTCTTTTTTATGATTTACTTAGTAACATATTCTTTTCTCTAGGTTGCTTTATTCTAAGAAACAGTACATGATACATATCACACAAAAAATATGTATTAATCGATTGTTTATGTTATCAGTAAGGCTTCTAGTCAACAGTGGGCTGTTCACAGTTAAGTTTTGCGGGAGTCAAAAGTTATACGAGGATTTCCGACTGCACCAGGGTATGTCCTCAACTCCCACACTGTTCAAGGTTCAACTGTGGAAAGAATTCCATGAATGTCTGCTGCTCTGGTTTGTATGTGCGGAGTCTGGGTCTTCATGAATCTAAATGAAGCCAAATCCCTCCCCAGTCCACAGGGCTTTTGGTTGCAACTCAGAATATAGCATTACCTTTTTTTTTTTTTTTAGATGAAGTCTCACTCTGTCACCCAGGCTGGAGTGCAGTGGCATGATCTCTGCTCACTGCAACCTCCGCCTCCCAGGTTCCAGCGATTCTCCTGCCTCAATCTCCGAAGTAGCTGGGATTACAGGTGTGCAGCACCACACCTGGCTAATTTTTGTATTTTTTGGTAGATACGGGGTTTCATCATATTGGCCAGGCTGTTCTCGAACTCCTGACCTCAGGTGACCCACCCATCTTGGCCTCCCAAATTGCTGGGATTACAGGCCTGAGCCACTGCGCCCGGACTAGCATTACCTTTTATCCCCGAAAACCCAGAGGTCAGATGAAGTCAGTGTAGTGCCTCATGTGGCTAATGACTTTCCCTCCATCCCACTTCAGGTTCTCTCCGCATTGCTTCAGCCACCCTGGGTTCCAGGGGGCCCACATGCCCCTTGGGTATTTCTGCAGTGAATCTTGTACATTTTACATTTCTCTCCAGAATATAAGGAAACAAAAGCACAGACAGCGTTTTCTCCTGGCAGTCCTGGTGACTTCTCTGTGTAGGGTTAGTATGGCAGTGGAGATAGCCCAACAGAGTGACCAAGGGACATGTCTTTGTGGCGAACGGAGGTTCCCTTTGTGGCCCAAGTCTGAAAGAAGCAGATGGGGCCATTTTGCAAGCTTTCTACTTAAAGAAAATCAGGAATAGAATAAAAAGGGGTTTTGGACGCACAGGCTCACGCAACAGAGCAGATGCAGGAAGCATCAAGCTGAGTTTTTCGGGAGGAAAAAAAAGAAATGAGAACCCGAACAAGGCATTCCCCCTACAGTGAAATAAAGACCCCAATGCTCCATTACACTGTCTGTTTAGCTCTCACAGCAGGGGTCCTGGGATTGCAGCCAGGTGCACAAACCAAGGCTATTTGCTGAAAGACAATGGCACCCAGCCTTTAGCCAGTGCAGCCTCGCGCATGTGCTTGGGAGAGCCACAGCCTCCGAGTGGCTATGTTGGTGGCAGCCTGGCAACCTCACGTTTTTCTGAAGGCTGGAGGGGCTGGGGGAGAGGCAGTGTGGAGGAGTTGGCAAGGGCAGTGGGTCTGGGGCTTTAAACAATCTCAAATGCCCTGTGGCTTTCTAAGTCTTTGGTAAATTACCCTTTATTCTCTTTGTTAAGCCTCAGCAGCCTGGAATTGTCTCCTCAAAAGTCAGCCATCTGTTCCCCTCCTGTCTATATTCTGACCGCAAAAAAGGGGCTTAATTTCAGGAAAAGACTATTCTTTCCTTTAAAAATAATGGAAAAGGAGCCAGGCACGGTGGCACGTGCCTGTAGTCCCAGCTACTAGGGGCGTGGGAGGCCTGAGATGGGAGGATCGCTTGAGGCCAGGACTTCTGGGCTGTAGTGCACCATGCCAATAGAGTGTCCACACTAAGTTCAGCATCCATGTGACCTCCCAGCAGTGGGGGACCACCACATTGCCTAAGGATGAGTGAAACCACCCGGGCCGGGAATTGAGCAGGTTCAAACTCCCATGCTGATCAGTAATGGGATCACGCCTGTGAATAGCCACTGCACTCCAGCTTGGGCAACATAGTGAGACCCCGTCTCTAAAGAGAAAAAAAAAATTATAGAAAAAAATAACAGAAAAGGAAATGGAGAAGGGGAAATGAATGAGGATGAAAGTTTTAGAGATATCAAAGAAGAAGGTGGGCATTTCTGAAAGAGAACCCTTAAAAAGCACATTGTGAATTTCTTGGTGACTGGAGTTTGGAGGAGTGGCACATTAGTCAGCATGTTGCTGAACAAAAAAATAATATGTATCAAGCTAGTTTTAAATGCAAGGAACTGGACTAGGTGCTGTGAAAGGGGTTTGCGGGGAAGACTTTCAAGGAATAGTTCTTGAACTCAAGAGAGACAAAGTGTAGAAATTTAAATAACAATGTAAGAAAAAAAACAGCTCAAGAAACGTTGCAAGATGAATGTCAGGTACAGGCTAGAAGTTCTATAATCATCTAGCACAGGGTGCAAGCACTGTGAGCTGAAAAGTTTCAAGGAAGGGAAAGTGAATATAAGGAAATGGAAAAGATCCACAGAGGCACCAAGTTCACTTTCCTATCCAAACAGAATCCTTTCTGCAGCACACAGCTTCTTTTGAAGTATTTTTGATTACAGGCATCCATTACCTCCTCAAGTCCAGCCCTTTTGTTTTGAGAATGTTATTTTTTTTCTAGAAAATTCTCAACACAGAGCTGAGGACTAGCTTTCTTTAACTCTTCTACTCCCTTCTTTTTTCCTTCTAGGCAAGATAGTTTTGCACAGCCCCTCTTTAAACTTGAGGACAATCTCCAGCAGTTCCCGGGTCCTCTCCTCTCAGGACAAAGCACCCCTCCCTGTTTCCCTCATATGGTTGGGAATCTAGCTGTCCTCTGGCCTCATTCTAGTATGGAAATTCTCCTGTCCCCAGGGGGTGCCCAGCCATGAGCCTAGGACTCCAGATGTGATTTTTTTTTCTTTTTTTTTAGATCGAGTCTCACTCTGTCGCCCAGGCTGGAGTGCAGTGGCGTGATCTCAGCTCACTGCAACCTTTGCCTCCTGGGTTCAAGCGATTCTCCTGCCTCAGCCTCCTGAGTAGCTGGGATTACAGGCGTGTGCCACCATGCCCAGCTAATTTTTGTATCTTTAGTAGAGATGGGGTTTCACCATGTTGGCCAGGCTGGGCTCGAACTCCTGACCTCAGGTGATCCACTCGCCTCAGCCTCCCAAAGTCCTGGGATTACAGGCATGATCCACCACGCTCCACCTCCAGATATATTCTGATAGATGATTCTACAACCATTATTTATCATTCTCTAAACATGATTCTCCTATCCATACAGCCTAACGTTGCCTTGGGTTTTAGCTACCACACTGTAAGTGGCAAACCTATGATCAACCAAAAAAAAAAAAACTCTTCAGTCTTTTCCACTTAAACTTGCTGCTGAGACAGGTGTCCCCTGCTTGAGCAGAATGTCGAGAGGGGCAGATGTGGAGATCAAGTGAAGGTGTTTGGATTGGGGGCAGGTTGGAGCAGTCCAGGTGTTCAGTGAACTGAGGAGCTGCCAGATATCAAAATTTACTTTCAGTCAGGCACGGTGGTGCACCCCTGTAGTCCCAGCTACTTGGGAAGCTGAAGCAGAGGATGCCTTGAGCCCAAGAGTTTGAGACCAGCTTGGGCAATATAGTGAGACCTCGATCTCTAAAAAAATTTTTACTTTAACACTACAATATTAAAATATTTTTATACCAGCATGAATACAGATTGAATAGAATACAGAAACAGAGACATGGAAATTAAGTATATGTTAGAGATTTCTTTTCCAATAAGTAGGCAGCTATGAATTATTCATATACGGTATTTGGAAATTTGGCTGTTTATTTGTTTGAAGTGACAATTCAATGCATTGTTATCTACCACTATGCACCCAAATTAAGTTCAGATATATTAAGGATCTAAATGTTATAATTTATAAATATATATAAAAATCTTCCCCCAAAAGACATAAGACCCCAAAAATGTTATTTAAAATGTCGTACACAGGCTAGGCACGGTGGCTCACGCCTGTAATCTTGGCACTTTGGGAGGCAGAGGCGGGCGGATCACGAGGTCAGGAGATCGAGACCATC
Source organism: Homo sapiens (assembly GCF_000001405.40). Lineage (NCBI taxonomy): Eukaryota > Metazoa > Chordata > Mammalia > Primates > Hominidae > Homo > Homo sapiens. Next base: position 4,771,824 of record NW_018654717.1, read on the forward strand.
CTGGCCAACGTGGTGAAATGCCATTTCTACTAAAATATAAAAAATTAGCCGGGCATGGTGGCGCGTCCCTGTAGTCCCAGCTACTCTGGAGGCTGAGGCAGGGGAATCGCTTCAACCTGGAAGGCGGGGGTTGCAGTGAGCCAAGATCGCGCCACTGCACTCCAGCCTGGTGACAGAGCAAGACTCCGTCTAAAAAAAAAAAAAAAAAAGAAAGAAAGAAAGAAAATGTTGTACGCAGCAGAAGACTTTAGTGTTTTTTAAGAATAAAACGACTCTGCCTTTGTGGTACTCGCCAAGATGGATAATGGATCTTTTGCATGTGAGAGGGTTGGGCTGTAAAGGAATGACTTTTTTAAGAGAAAAAAACAGGTAGCATTCCACAAAGTATTATAAAAATAGAACATACTATTTTTCCTGTAAACTTTCCAGATTCCAAGTCTTTTCTAACTGCACTACCAAGAATATCTACACATATACATGTAAATATGAACATATGATATGTGTGTATATATCCATACATATATAAAATATATAAATATATAATATATATGAAAGAAAAGTATCAGATGTTTCCAGGGTCCCTGTTTGATATCACACTTACATATAATACCCACTTTCTCTAAACCCCGTCCACATATTCCTTACAGGAAAGCTGTCACCCGGCTAAACGCAGCTGATGACACTCAGAAGTCTTGGTGATAGAGAAAACAGCTCCATACAAAAGATAGTGAGACAGTTTTTCTAAGAGTAAAAGGGCTCCAGGCATGTGGTAGAGCCTCTGGAAAATACCGTTGAATGAATAAGTGATTTAATGAACAAACAAATGAAGCACCAAAGGTTGAAGGGCTTCTAAGTTTTTCACCCTGATGTGGGTGGGTTAAGGACCTATCAGAGGCCTTGAGAAAAAACTGCCCTTACAGCCTTAACCCTGCAGGCCTTGAACAAGATGGACATTTTGGCTCCATTGATCATCCAGTTTACTTGTTTTTCTGTCCATCTCTCCCCTGTAACAATATGGGCTGTTCTAGCTGTAATTCACCTCTGGAGCCATCAGAATCCTCCTGGTAAAAATGGCCCTAATATCAAACACAGAGGCCACTGCTAGTAAACTTTATAAATCGAACAAGAAATCATATGATATAATCAGATAAGTAGCCTTATTTTGTCTCACAGTGTGTCATCATAACCCTGCCCCTGGGTTGACTACTCTCTGACAACGTGGTTTGGTAACTCTTTGGTAAAAGTTCTTCAAACATTTCAAGACACATGGTGTCATTCCAATAATATAAACGTCCAGGCTGGGTACGGCGACTAACGTCTGTAATCCCAGCACTTCCGGAGGCCTAGGCGGGCTGATCACTTGAGGCCAGAAGTTTGAGACCAGCCTGACCAACACGGTGAAACCCCGTCTCTACTAAAAATACAAAAAAAATTAGCCGGGCGTGGCAGGTACACGTCTATAATCTCAGCTACTCAGGAGGCTGAGACAGGAAAATTGCTTGAACCTGGGAGGCAGAGGTGGCAATGAGCTGAGATAATGCCACTGCACTCCAGCCTGGGAGACAGAGTAAAACTTGGTCTCAAAAACAAAACAAAGCAAAACACAACACAACACAACAAAAAAAGTCCAGCCCCAGGTAATACACTTTAAACTTGAGTTAACGTTAACTCTTGCCTCCCCCTGCTGGACCCCACTGAGAGCTGCCTGGTTGCTGGGGTGTGGTATGGCGGGGGGTGGGGGTCCTCTTACCCTCATAGTTTGCCAACTGGGACCCAGGCAGGCAGGGGAGAGGGCAGGGAGTAAGGGGATGTTGGAAAGTTCTTGCTCAACTGCTACTGGTCTGAGGTGACTCACTCTCTTGGGATCTCTAGATTTTTAAAACCAACTTTTTCTCTCATCAGCCATTTTGTGGGATATTTGGAGACTCTCCTAGCGGTGCTCCTCAGACCGCAGATCTTGAGATGTGGTCAATTCCCTTTCATCAATGGCCGCTCCAGGTTCAGACCTTGTTTTTTCGTTGGTTTAGGCCATGAAGAATTTCTCCATTGGTCTCTCCTCCTTCATGTTGGCCTCTACCTGGATTGTAAATGGATCCAGGATAGCTCATTCTCACCCAGGATCCTTTTTGGTTCTATAGGAAACATTTATGCATTCTCTGCCCAGGCTGACTCTGCATATTCTAGGAAATCTCAAGCAGCGACTCTTTTCAAAAAAGTTTTTCTTTTTTTTCTTTTTTTTTTTTTTTTGAGATGGAGTCTCACTCTGTTGCCCAGGCTGGAGTGTGTTGGTGCAATCATAGCTTACTATGGACTCCAACTCCTGGGCTCAAGCGATCCTCCTGCTTTAGTCTCCCAAGTAGATGGGACTACAAGCATTTGCCATAATACCTGGCTTTTAAAAAGTATTTAAATAATTTTATTTCCAAATTAATATAGTAACCTGAGTTCAGTTACCAACACATTGAAGATTTGAAAATAATTATTTCCTTTTAGACACACTCTTACTCCCAGCTTTTCTTTCTTTAAACGGAGCAAATAACTTTTGTATAGGTGGTACAAACGTAAACTTTAGTCAAGTTCAAGTCCCATATCAACAGAATGCACATTAGAGAGATTTTATTATACTGTTGTTTATTTGGTATATTGTCTTTAAAAAAAATCAAAGAATACATGCAAAAGCTCAAAAGACTGATTCTTCATTGTTTCCAGCTGAATGTGATAGAGATGAAAAGTGGGTCATTGTTACTTGACTACATCATAAATTTTACATGAATGCTTCAGTTGACAGCTATTATTTATCATAACTATGCTCTTACTCTGCTACCTATTACAACCCTTTAAAAACCCACAACACCACCTCTGTGTATTTCCCACTGGGGTAAAAGGCATTTAAAATATAAAGTATCTTTTTTATGCTAAAAAGGTCACAGTTACTAATCTTCTACTATATAGCTAGTATTACTCATGCTGTTTTTATTTATAGGGTGCTTAACAGTCAGATAGTAGTTAACCTTTCCAATCATCCCGGGCAGGAGCATGTTAGGAAATCATTTCAAATTAGTGCAGAGATCCCAATCAGTAAACTCAGGAATTAGCAGAGGATCCTGGAATGAAATGATGACATCCAATTGACTGAGTACAGTATGTAGAATGTCTTTCAGATAAAGTTAATTTAAGAAATATATTTTTAAATTTTTATTTATTGATACATCATATTTGTACATATTTACAGGGTACATGTGATATTTTGTTACATGCATAGAATGTGTAATGATCACATCAAGGTATTTAGAATATCCATCACCTGGAATATTTATCATTTCTTTGTGTTGGGAACATTTTAAGTCCTCTCTTTCAATTATTTTGAAATATACAATATATTCATGTTAACTATAGTCACCGTAGTCTGCTGTCAAACATTAAAACCTATTCCTTCTATCTAACTATATGTTTGTACTGATTAACCAGCTTATTTTTATCCAACCCCCTTCTCCCCACCACATACCCTTTCTGCCCTCTGGTATCTATGATTCCATTCTCTACCTCCGTGAGATCAATATTTTTTAGCTCCTACATGTGAGTGAGAACATGCAATATTTGTCTTTCTGTGCTTGTCTAATTTCATTTGACATAATGTCCTCCAGTTTCATCCATGTTGCTGCAAATGACATGATTTTATCAAGCCAGTGACTCTTCTTTACAGAGTGTCAATGAGCTCAGCAACACATCTCTCCTAACTTCCAGATTTCCTGGACAGAGTCAGATGTCCATCCATTCTGCAGCCTCAGCCACAAAGAACACATTTGAAGCCCTCCAAACAATTCAATTAAAGCTACTCTCACTCGTCACCTTTAGATAGAACTCATAGCAATCAATTACCCCTTCCAAACCAACTCCCCTCACACATTCTTTCTGATTTCCCTCTCTCTTGACCTTTTTATACTTCTGGTATGTGGGAATAGCCCTTGGGTGCAAAGCCTAAGACTTGTCTAACCACTTTTCAGATATTTCTTTTGAAAAATTGATGCTTGTCTCACAACGAATTTCAATATTGGATACCTTAGTGCCTCAGTTGAGTAGTTTAGTATATTTTTATACTAGTTGATAAAATCTTACTTTTTGTCCCAGGTTGATGGCTCTGATTCTATGGCTAAATGGAGACCCTACTAGTAAAATAGGCTTATTAATCTTAATATGAGTATGTTAAAAGCCACAGGACAAGGATTTTAAAAAGGATCATCTGTTTAACTTGTTTTCTGTGGTAGCCAAGCCTCCAAGATGGTCCCTGCCCCCTGGGATTCATATCTTTGTGTAGTGTGACGAAATCCATACTGGCTCAGGGTTGCTGGTCTGTTTGATCAGTAGAATACAGAGAAGTAATGAGATGTTACTTCCAAGATTAGATTATAAAATATTTTGATTTCATCACACTTGCTCCTTGTCTCATGTAGATATTTGCCCTCAGGGAAGCCATGTTACGATCAGTTTCATTCTGGGGAGAAGCCATGTTGTGTGATCAGTTTCATTCTGGGGGTGGGGGAAGCCATGTTGTAATCAGTTTCACTCTGGAGGAAGCCATGTTGTGACCAGTTTCATGGAGCGTCCCACATAGGAAGGAACAGAAGCCTCCTGCCAGCAGCTACATGACTGAACTTGGAAATGGGGCCTCCAGCCCCAGAAGCTAAGTTTTCAGAGACTACAGCCGCTGATGACAGTTCAGCTGCAACTTAGTGAGACATCCTGAGCCGGAACCATGCAGCCACCCCATTCCTAGATTCTTGAACCTTAGTAACTATGTGAAACAAAGTGTTTGTTATTTCAAGTTCCTAGGTTTGGAGCTTTTTAATGCAGCAATAGAAAAGTGATATGACGTATAAATAGTTGGACTAAAGTTCTTCACATTTGCAAAGTGTTTTGCAAAGTATTGCATTTACTAACATAACTGAGTCCCTCTATATTCTAAAGTCCATTATAAAAATAAAATATAAATTTATTGGACTCATCTTCATTCCTTTCAAAATATTTATTGCAGGATTTCTTTGCAAATATAAGCAGAAAAATTAGGTATATTTTTCTAACTAAATGATTTCGCATTGAAACTGTTCTATTTTTGTCTTGCTTAATTTTTATTATGTTCTTCTGAGAAGAACAACCATTTAGCACCGGAGAACTGAGGCAGAGACTACAAGAGGCTTTCAACAGATGATTGTGCAGCTAACAAGGGAAGGGAGAAAGAGGGTTAACCTGGGTCTTACTGACAGACTGTGCCCCTATGCTGAGTTACGTTTCCAAACACAGGGATGTGAGAGTTTGTTAATGTAACTGATTCTTCATAGTATTAAGCATGTTTCATCTTTTATCATTACTAAAGCATCTGAAAATAAAAGTCCTAAAAACAGTAGTGTGAGGGGGTGGGGGCGAATTCAGAATTTGCTAATACATCAGTAGCAAACTGACAAATTCTATTTGGTGCCATGTGAGAAGCCTAACACGACTCATTAGAGCATAAAACATGTTCCAGAAGCCATTCCTAAGGTAGCCAGGATGAAATACACACAATCTCTCTGTCCGCGTCCTACTCTTTCCCTTGCAGCGGGAATCTGAATTCTGAAACTGCATTTGTAATGCGGAAGAGTCACCTTGCTAAAGACTTTGGTATCTTCCTTCCCCTTCCTACCTGATCTTTCCACCTCCTGGGAGGTTTGGGGTTCAAGGCTGCCTCCATCTCTATTACGGGGGTGAGATGCCATTTAGTAAACATTCCTAAGTCTGTGTCATGGTTCTGTTTACATCCGATGCCCATTTCACACTCAGGCCTGAGCAGTTTCTGAAACGGTTCGTTCTGGCACAGTCTAGCCTGCTTCAGACTTCCTTTGCAGCTAATGGAAAGACCAGGGCTGACACTGCTGCCCCTCACAGGTTATGTCTGTTAGCCGCATCTTCATTCTTATCTGGGAGAAAATTTATATGGTCTGTGCAGGAACACAGGTTGACTCAGGTAAACTAAGGTAAACTCAGGTACACCCAGCTACATTCAGGCATTCTCAGCTATACTCAGGTTCAGGAGTTTCTGGTTCAATGATACCTTTCCGTAGTTCTCAAATTGCGATTTTCAATTAAAAAAGATAATTTGAAACTATATCTGAAGTATAGAATGAAAATTTAAAAATGAGATGATCTTTAAGGATAAGCTTGCTGTTAAGTAAATAAGAAAAGAGATTAAAATGAATAATAAAAAATATTAAAAATGAGATGACTAAATGTATTAAGTAGCTATATTAAATATAGATTAACAAGTATATTTTGTAGTCTTTGGTATGAATCGAGTATAAACAAATGGATTTGGATTTCTGAACCCACGGTCCGGTTTTTTCTTTTAAGAAGAAAAGCTGTCATGGCCACGGAGGTGTCCCTTGGTCGGGCTTGCACCTGCACATCTCCCTTCGGTGACAAGTACAAGGCTGTAGCAGGGGAGTCTGATCACGTCTCTACTTCCCGGAGCTCATGGCACCTGTGGGACAGGACATTTACCTTCAAGGCCTGAGTTGCTCCCCATCAAGGCCTTCATAGGGCGGAGATACCTTTGGCGGAAGAAGAGAAAATGTTCCTTATGTGGTATTTTGCCTGTGACAAATAAATACTCACACATCAATTAATTGGTTAAGAAGTGAACTACACTAGATTTGTTAAAGTCTCCTAAAATTGAAATAGAGAAAAGAGCTTATTTCCAGATGTCCGAAGCAGGACTACCTAACCATATAGAAGTAGATACTAAATTACATAAAATAATCCTAATTTTAAATATCCCTCATATCTCACTGTATTAGTCCATTCTTGCATTGCTATAAAGAAATACCTGAGATGGGGTAATTTATAAATAATAGAGGTTTAATTGGTTCACAGTTCTGCAGGCTATGCAGGAAACATGTTGTTGGCATCTGCTGGGTTTCTGGGGGGGTCTCAGGAAACTTACAATCATGGCAGAAGGTGAAGGAGGAGCAGGCACATCTTACATGGCCAGAGTAGGAGCAAGAGTGATCGAGGGAGGAGGTACTATGCACTTTTAAACAGCCAGATCTCACAAGAGCTCACTCACTATCAGCAGGACAGTATCAAGAAGAATGGTGCTAAACCATTCATGAGCAAGCTGGCTACATGATCCAGTCATCTCTCACCAGGCCCCACCTCCAACACTGGGTATTACAATTTGACGTGAGGTTTGGTAGGGACAGAAAATCCAAGCTATATGAACTGCTCATTCCTATGACACAATTCTACTAGCTATATATCTGCACAGTGGCGTTGAGATAATATGCATTCCTTGAGGCTGAGTGTATTCTTCTTTTCTTTTTTTTTTTTTTTTTGAACATGGTCAAGCTCTGTTGCCCAGGCTGGAGTGCAGTGATGCAATCTCGACTCACTGCAACCTGTGCCTCCCGGGTTCAAGTGGTTCTTCTGCCTCACCCTCCTGAGTAGCTGGGAGTACAAACGTGCACCATCACTCCTGGCTAATATTTTTATTTACAGTACAAAAAGGGTTTCACCATATTGACCAGAAGACTGGTCTTGAGCTCCTGACCTCAGTGATCTGCCCACCTCAGCCTCCCAAAGTGTTGGGATTATAGGCATGAGCCATTGTGCCCAGCCCTGGTTGTACTTCTCATGTATACTTAGCATGCCTAGTATTTGTGGAACGCCAGTAAATATTTGTTATACAACTGATCAATGGAATTAATGAACTTTGCATACTTATAAATAAAAATATCTGATTCATCTACATAATTTACCCAAATGAAGGGCTGCAGCTGTCCTTCATGTTTAGCAATGTTATACATTCTCTTTTGTTTTCTCCTAGTCTAGTGATAGATGCAATTTTCTTGCTTTACTTACTTCCCACATAACCTCTGGGTGACCTTAAATGAGGCCTTACCTATCTGGCACTTTATCTTGTCAAAATTCCTTGCATGGTTGTCACTCCTATCTATCTTGATTCACGGTTGGATCAATCGACCGAGTAGGTATTTAATCCCTGAAATCAATCTCTCCGGATTCTCAATCATTTGTCTTTGCTGGGTTTGACTTCCTTCCAGTTCTACGTATGAGCCTTTGTAAGGTTATCTCAACCTCAGCAGCCCAGGGGAGAATTTCCTAGAGGTGGCTGAGAGGCACATGCGTCTTTGGCCCTGATGAGGACCTCTGTGTATTTATGTGTGTGGACACGTAGTCCCTTGGAGCCAAGCAAAGGAGATTTGTAAACGAATGTAGTTTCTGCTGCTGACTGCCTGTCTGCCCACAGTCTTTTCATTTACAAATAGTGCCCACTCTTTCAGTCTTGTTGAGGGCTAGCTATGGGAAGACATGCCAAGCTCATGAATTCCCATTTAGCTGCCACACATGTAACATGAAACCAGGTGCAGCCTATCAGTAAGAGGAAAGTACCTAAATGGCAGAAATGTCAAAGGGAAAGCAGGTCGGTAATGGCATCCTATCCCCAGTGTGATATGTAGACCATCAGCTCCAAAGTCCTGCAGGCTGCCTGAGTGCACAGTAAATGGGGTCAGGCTCTCCTTTGTGTTGAAATTTCTACCCAGCCAAAAGTTAGATCTTCTTGGAAGCAAATTTACTCTTTCAGCCGTTTAATGGAATCTACCTGCCCCTGCAACTGTCAGTGGTATCATCATCACTTCCAGAGGTAACAAAAGTGGGGATTGCTGCCGGCAGCCACTCGTGAGCAATTCTGCTCAGTTGTCTGTGTAATGTTTAAATTGAGGACTACTACCTTGGTGCCCGGCTGTATGCTTTCTATGCAATTTCTTGAAATTCCTCTCCCGATGCTCTGACATATACCATTAGAATTTTTCAGATGAAGAAATTGAGGCCATAAGAAGATACTCTCAAGATTATACAGCTATGAAGGAGGAGAAGGATTTCAAGCCTGTCCTGCCCAACAGCAGGGCCTGAGAATTAGGAAGGTGGCTGCAGAAGATGGGTTTACCCCAGTGCCAATCTGTGTGGCCTCACTGACAGTGATTGATCTGACCTCATCTCCCTAACTTCAGAAAAAGTTCTTCCATCTTACTTCAATCTATTTCAATGGGAAAATATTGGTATCCTCATGTCATTTTGTTTTTGCCTCCTTGTAAATACTTATTGAACATGTGAAAGTGTATATCCAAAGAGTTAGAAACGTGACTGTCATCTAAATATAGAATGAACAGGCATCAAAAATGTATTCAACTCATTGAGGGAACCAGTATGTTGGTAATGCTGGTTCCAAAAGCATTTTGAGGAACTGAATATTCAGAGGCATTTTAGGGGGAAAAATGCCAGAATAAGATTCCTGGATTAGACGCAAAACTGTTAACATCCTACAGGCAATACAATCTGAAATTGAGGTTATCATCTCTACCAAATAGAAATCTACAAACTAACATGTAACCTCACAGTAGTGTCTAGCTCTGAACCAAGTTAATGACAGAGTCAAACACAAGTACCTTTCCTTAGATTGATGGGTTCTCAAACTTTTCTGCATGTTAAAATCACTTGGAGAAATTTTTTTTTGATCGTGACACCCGAGATCCCACATGTATTAGTTTTTTATTGCTGCTGTTACAAACTACCACAAACATCGTGGCTTAATGCAATCCAGCTTTATTCTCTTACAGTTCTGGAGGTCAGAGTTGAAAATTGGTCCAAAGAGCTGCTTCCTTCTAGAGGCTCTAGAGGAGAATCCATTCCTTGCCTTTTTTACCTTCTAAAGGCTGCATGCATTTCTTGGCTTGTGGCCCCTTCCTCACCGTGTGAGGCAACAGCACAGGGTCTTCTCTGACCTCTGCCTCCATCTTTAAGCCTTATCTCTCTGACTCTGACCCTCCAGCCTTCTTTTGGTAATCACCATTGTGATGACCTTGGGCGTATTCAGATAATCCAGGATATTTTCCCCATCTACAGAGCCTTAACTTAATCATATCTGCAAAGTCTCTTACATGTAAGGGAACATATTCATAGGGTCTAAGGATTAGGTGGTGGGCATCTTTGGGAGGTTATTGTTTAGCCTATCACATCACCCCCCACCATTAAATCAGGATGTCTAGGGGTGGGAGCCAGGCAGCCATAGTTTTCGAACATCCCAGGTGTTTCCAATTATGAAGCAAAGTTTGAAAACTGCTTTCCTAAATAATGAAATAACCTTTAAATGATGCCTTAATATACCATTGAGAGGACAACTCTACGTTTTCAGGGGTTACACACCACCCCAAAATAGGCCGCTCTGACATATTGACTATTTTGAGTTTAGGGCACCTGAAAAACAACAGGTGTGAGAGGGTCACTCTGACTTTCTGTTTCTTACAAGTAGGAGATGAAATTCGCTTGTGAAAGATCCCTTCCCTATAGCAGAAGGAAAGCATCACTCTTATCATCAAGGATAGGAAGTTGAGGCCAAGGGAAATTTGTACAAACAAACCTTGTTAGACTAAACTTACCTTCCGAGCCACTTTTTCACTCAATTAACCACTCAGCCCAAGCTTCTTGGCCTTGTGACATTTTCACAATTCATGACTCTTTAATTCTGTATGTAAGTGTTCAATCTAACTGTGCCTTTGGGTCTGCATTTCCTTATGTAGTCTCTCCTGCCATGTAAAACTTGTATTAAGTAAATTTGTTCTTCTGCTGTTGATCTGTCTTATGTCTGTCTTAAGTCAATTTAATTCTTAGCCCCAGAAAAAAAAAAAATAGGGTACAGGTAAAATTTTGCTTCCTCTGTAATTGTAAATTTTGGATAATTTTTCTTAACAAACTGAAGAAATTACTGAATATTTATCAAACGACCAGAGCTATGTTCCATTTAACATCTGCAATCACTTCTTTGTTGTATCTGATCCTGACCTGGTTGCTCTTTTCCCTAACTGTGTAAACTTGGTGAGTCAATGCTGCCTTTTGCCCTTATGTAAAATGGAGCAAATGGAACTCATTTCTGTCAGAATGGTGGTGACAGTGGAGGAAGGTGTAAACCAAGTGGTTGAAATGCCATCTGTCACTGTGATGCTGCACATGTCCGTGGTCAGCTGCTGGAGGATGCATCAGCCTCAGGTTTGCATAGCCAAGAATCATGATCTGCGGACCGCAAAAGACTGAGGCTTGTCAATGCTGCTCAAGTAACGAAAATGAAAATAACATGCACATGCACATACCCACCCATCTATCCTTCAGTGATGCCTGACGGCTGAAAGCAAGCAGAGGAGAGCTGTGAAAACAGTTAGTGGCGCCATACCTGGGAATCTTGGTGAATCTCCAAAAAACATAAAATCTCTTGCAGTAAACCTATCATCAGTCTGAGTTTACTGCATTTCACCCAGCGCTGATCCTACAGCCTCAGGGTAAACTTTTCAGAAGAGACTGGTACTGATTTTCAACCCGAACACCTGAATTTATTAGAGTCATTCTTGTCTTTTAATTGAAACAACAGGACATTCCCCAGGTTTGCAGTGATCTGCAGGATATTCTTGAAAACTCTGAAAGGCCTGAAGAATGTGTCTCAGGCTGAAGGGAGGGAAAAGTTTCACTCTTAAGGTCCCATTTAGAGACCACATTCCCATCTCTGGACTCCTCTGTTCTGTTCATGTGGACAAATATTGCTCTTTTTTAGATATAAGATTCAACTTAGTTGACAAGCTTCATCAGTTCCTTGTTACAAGACTAATAACCACAACTTTAATGAGCTATGAATCAGGTTTTCTAAAGCCATTATTTTCAAATCTCCTTCAACCAGCAGAGCCAATTTTTCAAATAAAATCATACAAAAGCCAATATATACATGACAAAGGAAAAACTGTGACCTTCGCAGTTGGCACTATTATGCTTCTTAAAATAGGACATACAGTTGATCCTAATTATTTACTAATTTCAGATTTCTGACTTCACTTACCTGCTAAAATTAATTTGTAACCTCCAAATCAGTACTTGTGGTGCTTTTGTAACCACTAGCATACATCCACAGAGCAGTGAAAAAATTGTCACCTGAGGCTCCTGTTCCCAGCTGAGGCTGAACAAGGTGGCTCTCTGCCTTCTTGTTTTAGCTCTTATACAGTAAACAAGAGTCCTTTTGGAAATCTATTTAGTGGCACTTGTTTTACATTTTTATGGTTTTTGTTAGTGATTTTGCGTTTAAAATGGCCTCAAATAGTGCTGAAGAGCGGTCTAGTGGTCCTAAGTACAAGAAGGCTGTGATGTGCCTTACGGAGAAGTACGTGTGTTCAAGAAGCTTCATTAGGGTATGAGTTATAGCACTAGTGGTCGGGAGTTCAATGTTAATGAGTAAACAGTATATATTAAATATGGTGTCTTGGCTGGGCGTGGTGGCTCACCCCTGTAATCTTAGCACTTTGGGAGGCTGAGGCAGGTGGGTCACGAGGTCAGGAGTTCAAAACCAGCCTGGCCAACATGGTGAAACCCCGTCTCTACTAAAAATACAAAAAAATTAGTCAGGCGTGGTGGTGGGCACCTGTAATCCCACCTACTTGGGAGGCTGAGGCAGGAGAATCACTTGAACCCAGGAGGTGAAGGTTGCAGTGAGTTGAGATTGTGCTACTGCACTCCACTCTGGGTGACAGAGTGAGACTCCATCTCAAAATAAATACGTAAAAAACACACTGTCTTTAAAAAGAAAAACACATAAAACAAGGTTATCCATTAATCAGTTAATAAAAATGTCATGACCAGAGATTTGCAGGAACCTAATCCTCTGTTTCCCCGAGACGCAATGGTTCAGCACTCTCTGATTCAGTGTTTGCTATGATTTTATAAAATAGAACTACTATGAATAATAAGAATCGACTGTGTCTTTGTTTGGAAAAATATCTGGATGGCAGCTTAAGTTAGATGGTGAAACTCCAGGGGCGTAGGCAGAAATGTTTGTTCCTACAGGGATGAAGTAGAGAAAGAAAAGAAGAAAAGACAGGAAGAGAAAGGGAGGAGAGAGGAGCTACAGGTAGGAAGGGACATATTAGGTTGGTGTGAAAGTAAGTGCGGTTTTTACCATCACTTTTAATATTTGCCCCCATCTCACTGAAGGACCAAAAGAGCAGCCCCCAGCAACAGACACTGAAAAGGTGCTGGGGAACAGGAATGTCTAATCCAGACTTTTAGGATTTCTTGCCATGTTGGGTGTACTATGAAACCGTGATTTCCAGCTTTCTTAAAGTTTACTATACTTACATGTGCGTCTCATGCTAGCTGTTTAGTTTCTTTTTTTCTCACGGAAATCAGGAAAGTTTCCCATCTTCAGCAAAGCTATGTGCACTTTTAAGGAGGCAGCATCTCAGCAGAGAGAACCATGACAATGTAAGCCCTCCAGGGATCTGAAAGCATCTTGGAGAAGACTTTGCTTTGCTGAAGGCCTGGGCTTGAAAACCCCTTATCCTAGCAATTTTACCTGGCTTTCAAAGGGCTGGGTGGGCCCAGGAATCTGTTCTGTTTGCAGCAGGGCAAAACAGATAGAGAGCCTTGTGAAATGCCCTTGCCATGGTTCCCACCTTGACTTTGCAGAACAGAGTGCCAACCATGGACCGGGCATATAACAGCTGTGTCCCATAACAGAGTAGCAAGCACAGTTCCTCCTTGGATCTGTGCATAGCACATTCCCTGACAACACCCCTGAGAAAGAGTCACCAGGATTCAGCTTCTCCAGTCTCTTCTCACTTGGCCTTTCAGGAGGGTTGCAGGGTTGTGCCCAGAGCACAGTCGCAGAACCCACGACTGGACTGGGGCCTGAAAAACGCAATGTTCCCTGTAGCCAATTGCAGCGCTGCTTAGTAAGAAACCCTTTGCTTGTCTTTCTCCTTCCCTGTGGGATTCTGCTAGGAATCAGGCTTCCCCGACCTGACTTCTTTCTTGGAGGATGGAGTTTTAAATTTTATTTATTTATTTATTTATTTGAGGTAAGGTCTCACTTTGTTGCCGGGGATGCAGTGCAGTGGTGCAATCATAGCTCACTGCAGCCTCAGACTCCTGGGCTCAAGGGATCCTTCCACCTCAGCGTCCAGGCAGGTGCCACCATGCACGGTTAATTTTTTAAAAGTTTTTTTGTAGAGATGAGGTCTTGCTATGTTGCCCAGGCTAGTCTTGAACTCCCGATCTCAAGTGATCCTCCCACCTTGGCCTTCCAAAGCACTGGGATTACAGGCATGAGTCACCGGGCCCAACCACGATGGAGTTTTTCATGAAATGAAACCGTCCTCTGAACGTTCCAGCAAAGCTCCAGCAGATCGTGATTTCCCCTGACTACACACATGTGCCAGAAATGCTTTCATATCTAAGCCATTGAGCCAAGTTCATCAACTCGCCCCAGTGAACAGAGGATTCCTTGGGACCCTCCATAGCAGGAACTGGAGGAGACAAGCAAAAGAGGCTGCCACTACTGCTCCTGCCGCACTTGTACATTTAAGGGCCAAGGAATTCCAGAGCGCAACTTCATCTTCCTGGCTTGCCTGGTCTCTTTGCTTCTGCTCTGGGCTCCGGGATCCAAGAACCCAGGACTTCCTCATTCTGTGTCCTGACCCCAGCACGTGCACCAGCCATAATTATATCCCCACATCACAGACATGTTTACATCCCCTTTATCTCATTTTTTTCTTTACCAATTGTGTCAGGCTGACCCGTTTTCTCCTTTTGGGCTTATGGAGCAACAAATCAGCAGTTGTAAATATCTGTGACAAGGATAATTTATTTGCTACACATAAATGTGTTGGATGTAGGTGGTAACAGGAAAGAAACAAAAAAATTATTACTCAAAATGTAGTGATAAGATGCCAGGGTCTGAGTAAGTCTTCTGATGCACTTTTAGGATGGTAGAATATTTGTACCTTTTGAGAATATGAACTGAACAGCCGGTATAGTCACACATTTGGTCAGTTCTGTAAAATAGATATTAGACGACTTCTTTGACTGGGTAGGCTGTTTAATTCAGGCAGAATATTCTGACCAGTAGCCCTGGATAAACACAGACTGGCAATGGCCCAGGTTGTTTTCTTTTTCTTTTTTTCTTTTTTTTTTTTTTTGAGACGGAGTCTCACTCTGTCACCCAGGCTGCAGTGCAGTGGTGTGATCTCGGCTCACTGCAATCTCTGCCTCCTGTGTTCAAGCGATTCTAGTGCCTCAGCCTCCCAAGTGGCTGGGACTACAGGCATGTGCCACTACGTCTGGCTATTTTGTTGTTGTCGTTGTTAGTAGAGATGGGGTTTCACCATGTTGATCAGGCTGTTCTTGAACCCTTGACCTCAAATGATCTGCCTGCCTCCGCCTCCCGAAGTGCTGGGATTACAGGCATGAGCCTTCACACCCAGCCCCAGGTTTTTAATACCTATATGTAGTCTAGTTAAAAGGTTTTACAACAAAATGTGAATATCTCTCCTGTCTTTTTCTTCCTTTCCCAGGTGTGTGAGTGTGTGAGATGGGGCTGAGGGCTTGGAAGGTGAGCTCTAGGACAGGACCCACAGGCCTGGTGGCCTGGAGACAGGTGCACTCAGCTTCTCATCAGTAGGGAAATAGAGTTGGTTGAAGTCAGGCTTTGGGGAGCCAGGGCCAGGGACTCTCAGCTCACCTTCTGCTGCGAAGGTGAGTCAGCTTTCATGGCCCTCAGTTCGTATCTGGTTGGGCAGGTACCAAACAAAGCAGATGACATCACCCATGCATGGAATTCCACACTGTTCTCTGCTAAACACACTGTTTTCGATAGAACCTCTCATCTACAGAGACTCCTTATGCACGTACAGTTGCCAAGTGCTGTGTGGCCCAGAGTTACCTGTCGGCTCCTGGATCAGGCTCCTGGGTTGCCTGTCTGTGTAGACAGGGCCAGGCTCGTGGAACGAAGGGCAGTGGTCTTTGGTAGCTTGGTCTGAGCAAAGTCACATCTTCTGGCATTTGGTCAGGACAGCAGAGCTCCTTCTTAACAGAGAAGAGTAAATCCTCCTCCCTGGCTCCGTGGCCCTTCAGAGGTGGAAACATTGGTTCACTAACCCACCTTTCCACTTCTGATCATTTCTTTTTTATCACTTTTACCGGAACAAATGCAATTTCTAGCCTTCTCACTGCCCAGTTCCAGCAAAGCCCACGCAGCACTGTCAGATTCTTCTTCCTTAAATACAGCTTTGATCGTCATTCCTCCCCTGCTCAAAAAGCTGCAAATAGTTCCCACTACCTACAGAGGAAGGAAGACCGCACTTACTCAACCTGTCCCCGAGTCCACACAATAGGGCCTCAAGCTGCTTTTTCACCCTCTTCCCCTCCTTCCCTCCTAAATAAACCTTCCTCTTCCCTCAATTCTCTTTCCAGGTTGCTCAGAGTGTGTCTAGAACACCTTTTCCCCGGTGTCTCTGTTTAGGAATGATTCCTCCAATACCCCCACACCCCTCTCCCCGTGAAATCCTCCCCATTCTTCAAGTGTCAGCTCTTTCTCCAACTAATTCTTAATTCATTCAGCCCACAGGGATGTCTTTCACTGCTCTGAATTTACTGTCTGTTTCAGGCATTCATTTAGTGCTCCTGGTTCTCTCCAAACTTTTTTAAAAAAATACTTTCCTTTTAAGTTCAGGGGTACATGTGCAGGTTTGTTACAGAGGTAAACTCATGTCATGAGGGTTTGTTGTACAGATTATTTTATCACCCAGGTACTAAGCCTAGTACCCAATAGTTATTTGTCCTGATCCTCTCCCTCCTCCCACCCTCCACTCTCCAATAGGCCCCAGTGTGTGTTGTTCCCCTCCCTGTGTCCATGTGTTCTCATTATTTAGCTCCCACTTATAAGTGAGAACATGTGATATTTGTTTTTCTGTTCCTGCATTAGTTTGCTAAAGATAATGGCCTCCAGCTCCATCCATGTCCCTGCAAAGGACATGAGCTTGTTCTTTTTTATGGCTGCAGTTTCTCTCTAAATTTATTACAACAATAAGAAATTGGTGAGTGAGCATTGGCAACTGGTGGCCCATGGCAAGGAATATTCATGGGCTGGCCCCCTTCTCCCTTTCATAGGTCAGGCCTGGTCAGGAGTGAAGAGCAGAGGGGGAATAGGAAAGTTCTTACGTGAAGAAGCATCTGGCATTTACCCTAAGAGAAAGGATGTTTCCTAAACGGCAAGGCTGTTTTGTTTAGCAAAATAGAATTCTTCACTGTTTGGGGCCAAATACACTTTGTTTTCTAAAGCAGAGTCTAAATTACAGCTGTTCTACATAAAGCTGACGCCATTGCCTTCATCTCAGCCCCGCTGGGAGCGTGCTTCTGCCCTGTGTTCTGAGCAGCAGTAATGGATTTACGGAGATATTCACATACTCCTCCCCAGCCCCTCCCAACCCCTGGCAGGGTCCCATTTTTACAGCATGGCTGGACAACATCTCCACACTCTACCATGCATCCTGAGCCAAATGGACAGCTCATTCCTGACTCAAGTGTATGACCTTGGCTTCATCAATACATTAGTCTCAATAAATGAGCCAGACAGCCTCAGACCACTGTGGCATTGATACAGGATAAAACTTTTATACCTTGTGAAGGGAGAGTCTGGTCTTCCTACAACCAAGGCATGAGAAAGCCTCTTGAACTGAATTCCAAGAAGCTGCCAGCTATGATAAAAGGGTCCCTCGACTGCAAGTTTAAATGCCTGCTTTCTGATCCTTTATTACTCCTGATATGATCGGGAAAAGAACTTTGTTCTCGGCAGAGGTTTTCTTATCAGCAAATGAAGGTTTTTTGTTTATTTGTTTCCTGACGATTTCTTGTTTCTTTTCACACTCTAAAATGCTAGGTGTCTGAAGAATCTTTGCACCGAAGACTGAAGTACATGACCAATTTTTTTTTTTTTTTTTTTTTTTGAGACAGAGTCTGGCTCTGTCACCTAGGCTGGAGTGCAGTGGCAGGATCTCATCTCGCTGCAACCTCCGCCTCCCGGGTTCAGGCGATTCTTGTGCCTCAGCCTCCTGAGTAGCTGGGATTACAGGGCACCTGCCACCATGCCTGGCTAATTTTTGTATATTTTGTAGAGATGGGGTTTTGCCGCGTTGGCCAGGCTGGTCTTGAACACCTGGACTCAAATGATCAGCCCACCTCGGCCTCCAAAAGTGCTGGGATTATAGGCATGAGCCGTCACGCCGGGCCTAAAGTACATGACCTCTTAAGAGCTCTCCCAACATTGTGACCTCTGAGATTTGCTATAGTCCTCACTGCAGAAAGAATACGCATTTGTGAAAATCTGTCTCATTGCTTTGGAACTGTGCTCACAGTTCTTCTGTGCTTGTTTGCATGTCTGTTTGTTTAATCTGAAATGGCATGTCAGTGTTTTTCAAAATTCCTCACTCTTTTGGCATCAGTTAAGATTCTTGATTGCAAGCTACAGAAATCAAGTCTGGTTAACTTAATATGAAAAGGACTCTCATGGCAGTTTCTTTGAGATCTCACACTATCAGCTCTGTGAAGTGAGAACCTGGAATAACACACAAGGCATGTTATAAAGGAGCTCACTCCATTTGCGACATTTGTCCATCGCCAGCTGGTAGGTTTCCACTCCCCTTCCCTGCTTGCCCCACACCTGGGCAACCAAGTTAAGAAGACCGTGGATGTTCTGTGCCCCTGTCAATGTCCAGGAACCTCAGATAGTACCCCGTCTAGCCCATGTGCCAGCCCCAGCCCAACTTCATCCCCTAGCCATAATAAAAGCCCAAAGCCGCCCCTAAACCACCTTAGTTGCCTTCCAACATAAGCTGTTCCCTCCTAGAACTCACCAGCTTGTGAGTCCTAAATATAATTTATTCAACTTCGTTGGTGAGAGTGTTGTGTTATCTCTCATGACACATAGAAAACCCCTGGGTTAAGCCACAGAATTCCAGCTGAACGTGGGCTGCTGCCCCTGCCTGACTCTTGATGCTGCCACAACTTCTGGGAATAATTTGCAAACTGACCCTGGGTCTTTGTGACATACCCCGAAGATTCCAAGTTCTGGATGGGAGAATTGCCATGCTTGAGCCTAGGCACGTGCCATCATCCCTGGTTGCCAGGGCAGGAGGACGATCTCCTCTTCTGCTTCCCTAGTTATGAGCACAGCAGCTTTAGAAGTATCTGGGGGAAAAACAGTGAGACAAAATAACCTTCAAACACAATACTCAAAGATGGAAATTCTGTCATTGAAAGACTTACTAATTCTTTGTGAATAAAAAATATGCACCTCTTGTAGTCTTCAGATAATTAGAAAGCTTTTTAAAAAATTGAGATAAAATTCACATAACATAAAATCTACCATTTTAACCATTTTAAAGTGTACAAATCAGTTATCTTTATTCACAATGGGGTGCAGCCACTACTAATATCCAATTCCAGGACATTTTCATCACTTCAAAAAGGTATATTTTACCCCTAAGCAGTCAGTCCCCATTCCTCCTCCTCCCTTCCCCTGGCAATCACTAATCTGCTTTCTCTCATTGTGGATTTTCCTGTTCTGGACATTTCATATACATGGACTCAGATACTTTGAGGTCTTTTCTGACTGGTTTATTTCACTTAGCACAATATATTCAAGGTTCATTCATATTGTAGTGTGTATATCAGCACTTCATTTTTATTGCTAAAAATATTCCATTTTACGTTTACACCACATTTTGTTTATCTTTTCTGATTTTATTTTTATTTTCTTTTTTATTTTTTGAGACAGGGTCTCACTCTGTCATCCAGGCTGGAGTGCAGTGGCACAATCTTGGTTCATTGCAACTTCTGCCTCCTGGGTTCAAGTCATTCTCCTGCCTCAGCCTCCCGAGTAGCTGGGACTACAGGCACACACTACCATGCCTGGCCAATTTTTGTACAGAAGGCTAATTTAATACAGAAGGAGTTTCGCAATGTTGGCCTGGCTGGTCTCAAACTCGTGATCTCAAGTAATCTGCCTGCCTTGGCCTCCCAAAGTGCTGGGATTACAGGCGTGAGCCACTGCGCCCAGGGCCTTATTTATCTTTTGAACATTTGGGTTGTGTCAAATTTTTTTTTTTTTTTTTTTGAAACAGAGTCTCACTCTGTCCCCCAGGTTGGAGTGCAGTGGCATGAACTCGGCTCACTGCAAGCTCTACCTCCCAGGTTCACGCCATTCTCCTGCCTCAGCCTCCCGAGTAGCTGGGACTACAGGCACCCGCCACCACGCCCAGCTAATTTTTTTGTATTTTTAGTAGAGACAGGGTTTCACCGTGTTAGCCAGGATGGTTTCAATCTCCTGACCTCATGATCCGCCCACCTCGGCTTCCCAAAGTGCTGGGATTACAGGTGTGAGCCACCGCGCCCGGCTGGTTGTTTCAACTTTTTGGCTGTTTTGCATAATGCTCTTATAAACATTTATGTACAAGTTTCTGTGTGAATATCTGTTATCAATTCTCTTGTGTATATTCCTAGGTGGAGTGGAATTGCTTGGTCTTAACTGTAACTTCATGTTTAACTTTTTGAGGAACTACCGAACTACTGTTTGACATTTCTGCCAACAATGTATGAGGGAGTCACTTTCTCCACATCCTCACTAACACTTGTTATTCTCATTATTATTATTTTTATAGCTCTCTTAGTGGATATGAAGTGGTATCTCATTATGGTTTTGATGTGTACTTCCCTAATGACTAGTGGTGCTGAGCATTTATTTCATGTATTTATTGACCATTTGTGTATCTTCCTTGGAGAAATTACTATTCAAATTCTTTGCCCATTTTAAAATTTTATTATCTGTCTTTTTGTTGTTGAGTTGTAATAGTTCTTTATGCAGTCTGAGTATCCCTTATCTGAAATGCTTGGCACCAGGAGTGTTTCAGATTTCAAATTTTTATCAGATTTTTGGAATAATTGCATATACATAATGAGATGTCTTGGGGATGGGACACAAGTCTAAACACAAAATTTATTTATGTTTCATATACACCTTATATACATAGCCTGAAGGTAATTTATACAATATTTTAAAATAATTTTGTGCATGAAACAAAGTTTGTCTACACTGACCCATTCGAATGCAAAGGTGTCACTATCTCATATCAGTACTCAAAGCTTTGAATTTTGGAGAATTTCGGATTTTGAAATTTTAGATTAGTAATGTTCCAAATGAATCTTCTGGATACAAGTGTCTTAGCAGATATATGCTTTGCAAGTATTTTCTTCCATTTTCTGGGTTATCTTTTTATATTCTTTTTTTTTTTTTTTTTTTGAGACAAAGTCTCACTCTGTCACCCAGGCTGGAGTGCAGTGATGCAATCTTGGCTCACTGCAACCTCTGCCTCCTGGGTTCAAGCAATTCTCCTGCCTCAGCCTCCTGAGTAGCTGGGACTACAGGCACGTGCCACCACGCCCAGCTAATTTTTATATTTTTAGTAGAGACAGGGTTTCACCATGTTGGCCAGGCTGGTTTCAAACTCCTGACCTCAGGTGATCTGCCCACCTCAGGTGTCCTTTGAAGCAGAGTTTTTAATTGTGATAAAAGGTCTCATTTATCTATTGTTTCTTTTGCATTTGTGGTTTTTGGTGTCACATCTAAGAAATCATTGCCTAATCCAAGGCCATGAAGACTTACCCCTATGTTTTCTTCTAGGAGAGTTATAGTCTTTGCTCCTCCATTTATGTGTTTGATTCATTTTGAGTTCATTTTTGTAGATGGTGTGAGTTAGGGATCCAACTTGATTCTATTGCTTGTGGTTATCTAATTGTCTCAGCACCATTTGTTGAAATGACTATCCTTTCCCCATTGAATGGTCTTGGTGGCACTCTTGTCAAAAATCAATTGAACACAGATGTATGATTTTATTTCTGGGCTCTCAGTTCCATTCCATTGATCTGTATGTCTATCCTTATGTCAATACCACACTGTTTTGATTATTATAGCTTCTTGATTGTTTTCATATTTGGGGGAGAAACTAAAAAAGGAACTTTTTACACTAGGGAGATTGAACTGCAAGAATTGTAAGAATACAGATGCTAAGAATACACACACAATGCTACCTATCTGATTGAGGGTAAAAATAAGGAGGTGAAAACCCTGTTTGCGTCTGAAGAAACACATAATCTGCTCTATTTAGAATAATTTTATGTTGCTGAAGAGAATACTTTGTGTTAAAATACTTTATTACAAAGAAATTTCCATTAAAAATAAAATCTTGTACTTTTTTTGAAAATTTCGTTCAAAATCTCATGACTCAAGCACAATTATTCTAATTTCTCCATGGCTTCCTTCTAGTCTTTAGTTACATTTTACATATTTTTATGCATTTTAATCATATTATATGTAGACTTTTCCTTCTTTTTAAACTTAGCATTGCTATAAACAATTTTCTTATGCTCATATGGTTTTCATATATTAATAGGTACTTAAAATCATATTAATTTACATATCACAAGTTACTTAGCCAATTTATTATTTTATATTGTTTTTCTCACAAACTTTTTTTGCTTTTAAAAATAATAAAAGCCTTGTGCTTATGGTTTGTTTTTCTATTTTTGAAGTACTTCCTTAGGATAAATTACTATCATTATAATTAGTCAAATGGGAAGAATATTTTCACTTATTGTAGATTCTTCTCTAAAACTATGCTATCAATTTAAACTGTTTACAGCAATGTCTGATGGGTCAGTTCCTGGGTAGTCTTGCTGATATTTGGATTTAGTAGGTTTTCTTTCTGTTAACCCATCTGATAATATAAAGTGATTATTTTAATTTTTATCTTATAATTTCTAGCCAGCTTAAATACTTTTTATGCTTATCATCTTTATTTTCTTTTACATGCTTTATTGAGAATAGAGTATTTTAAAATGTTTTCTAACTATTAAAGTAATATTTGTTGAATATAGAAAAGCATGAAAAAAAAAGCCATCTATAATCCCACCATTGAGAAAGAACTAAGCTGAGTATCTTCAGAAATTGGAAGAATGTTGTATTCATAATTTGATTTTTTTTCCAATAACATCATTTGCCCATAGCTGACATATGGTATATAAATTTTACAGTATATTTTATTTACTTCTAAAATGAGTATGACAAAGTGAAAGTAGAGTGCTCACATCTGAGTTTCCAGAAAGTTCTGTGCTGGAGTTCCTGGTATGACCGACAGTGTCTGGGTCGAATTGTAAAGATCTCTGCCTTGGGACAGCTGACTCTCAAGGAAGTGGCAAAGCACAGCCTGCTAAGAACCTTGCTAATAACACACTGACGTGCTTCTCATATCTGTATTCCAAGGCCCTTCAGGAAAGGCTAGAGAGCACTACCTGTAGTTTGGCAGAGGGTCCAGTTTTTCTGCTGATCTTTTACATTTCTTAACATCAATTTATCCTCTTTGATCTGCCCCAATTGATTCAGACTTTTAAAAGTAGATTAATCAGTGACTAGGCAGGGTGCAGTGGCTCACACCTGCAATCCCAGCACTTTGAGAGGCTGAGGCGGGCA
This sequence comes from Homo sapiens, assembly GCF_000001405.40. Taxonomy (NCBI): domain Eukaryota; kingdom Metazoa; phylum Chordata; class Mammalia; order Primates; family Hominidae; genus Homo; species Homo sapiens. The sequence goes on from NW_018654717.1 coordinate 4,795,261, forward strand.
GATTTCTTGAGCCCCGGAGTTCGAGACCAGCCTGGGCAACATAGTGAAACTCCATCTCTACAAAAAGTACAAAAAATTAGCTGGGCATAATGGGGCACACCTGTACTCCCAGCTACTTGGGAAGCTGAGGTGGGAGGATTCATCTGTGCCCAGAAGGTAGAGGCTGCAGTAAGCAATGATCGCACCACTTCACTCCAGCCTGGGCAACAAAAGAGACCCTATCTCTAAATACGTAAATAAATAAATAAATAAATAAATACTTAATATTTGGAGTTTGCCATAAAGCATTTTTGGTTTGATGACTAAATATTTCCATAACTGTCACAATGAACTCAACAGCTGACTCATACTTTAAAGATTAATAAAAAGAGAAACTTTTGACCTCTATTTGATGCTTGGGGTTTCATTAAACTTATGCATCTATCCCAGCCATCATTTTTCTTTATTTTGTAATTGTTGAATCTAATTATATTCATGCATAGACCATTTTATAATTTACAAGGGTTAGAGTATCCTCGACATTTGAGGAAGCTTTTGCCTTGGGAATGAGTTGTGAGCATCTGCTCTGAGTATTTGGGAAAATGTTCAACTTGCAGTGGCCACAGTATAAATCCAAAGTCTAAGGGCAAATTCTGTGGAAGTAGCCAGTTCTTCGTTCCAAGAAATATTTTCTAGTCTTTTGGGGAGCCCTCACTATTTATAGACACTGTTGTATTTTAGAGTTTTCTTTCACAACAATACTCATGCTTCCCTTCTATTTATCCACAACAGTTTGGCTCCTTTGAAGACTTGGGATTTTCCTGAAGACAGAATTCACTTTGGAGTCAGGTCACCATGATAGCCTTTTACCATCTTAGAGCTAATATTTTGTGGGCAATAACCTTGCGAACTGCACAGAGATTTCAAGTTGATTATTTGACTGCCCAATTGTTTCAAGCTATGAAATTGTCAGATACTTACAAGCACCATGTGCTGAAAACTACCATCTTTTGCAGTGCTCACAAGGGTCTGTTTTAATTGGTGGCTTTACTCAGCCATGTTTCTGTTTTTCAAACCCCGGAGTCAGTTGGACTGCCTCCATATCACCACTTACCACTTCCAAGAGGAGATGAGTTCCCAGCCCATCGCTGCATACCCACCAGCTTGGACGTAGCTCCAGTTGCTGCCAAACAACAGCCTCGATAACTTTTGAGGTTTCTTCTGTTCCTGGGAGGCTATGATTCAGTCTTGTCTTCTAGCAATATTATGGAAACTGCATGCCAGTAACCTTTTAGATATCATCTTGATCTTCATGATACTGACTCATAAACTTAATAACTCTTCTAATTTGCAAAAGCAAAAATGTACACTGGAAAGATCATTATGCCCCCGCTAGGTTTGAAGCCTGGCTTCCAAGGCTTAGCTTCCTCATCAGAAAACAGAGACCTCACCTATCTCTTCCCCTAGCTGTTGGTATTGTTGGTTTCCTCTTTTCCTCCTTTAGCTGCAGGAGGCATTGTTTTAGAAAGAAAATCTGCTCACAGAAAGAACCATTCACTTTCTTTTCACCTGTGTGGGGCTAATCCTGCTGTGCTCCTCTGAGTGGTGGCAACCCTTGGGTTCTTCTCTTACCTGGAGTTGCAAGAGGAGCACAGACACCATTTCACTTAAGGGCACATTTTGGATGTGTGGCAGGGAGCCAGCCCATTTGTCATACAATGAGAGGAATGAGCCAAATTATTCTCAGTTGGGTTCATAACAAATTCAGTTGGGGTGGGAGTCTGGAAATAAAGGAGACAGGAAATGGTAATGAAATGGAAAATATATTTGCATAAATGTGTATAATTTCCCAAATCTTCCTGTAGGTTTAGAAAACCCATGGACTCTGTTGAGACAATCACTGGTGCTTTTTAGGGCCCCTGTCCCTTTCCTCTGCTCCTGAACGAGCCCGTGAAAAGCGGTCTCATCTCCAGAGGCCCTTGGATAGAACTGGAAAGAGATACTGATGCTCACAGGCATGTGCAGGGAGGAGCTGGGCCAAGCTGGGAACCTCTGGTTTGCATATGTTTAGGCAAGGCCTCCGAGGAGCACTGGGCATTCTGTGAGAAGAGATACAACTGCCAATGTCTTTGCTTGGAGTAGGTCTTCCTTCCTAAGTTTTAGCAAGTGACGTGAAGACCATCTGGCCTTTGGCTTTATACGGGCAGCCCAGGCCTTAGCAATCTCTCATGTTTCACAAGCACAAGCTGCTTGGGCTGGCCAAGGAGTCCCAGCGTCACAGGCCCTTGACCTTCCCAGTCACCATGTTGCTTTGCTCTGTGTGCTCTCCTCCAGGGGCCTGCAGGCTATGGTTTACGGGCCAAATATCACCACCTGACTTGTCTAAAATTAAAGTCTTCTTAAAACACTGCAATGCCCAATCATATATGGTGCTTTCATCTTATGGCAGCAGAGTTAAGTATTGGAGGGCCACAAAGCCTGGAATATTTACTATCTGGTCCTTGCAGAAAAAGGCTGCCAAGCTGTGCTTTGCTCACACCACCCTGATTGCCTTTCACTGCAGTTATCAAGCTTTCCCAAGGCTCTACTCTTTTCTTGGTTTCCCTGCTTCTCCACAAGGCTAACTCTTCTCTCTCTGTTAAAGTTCACTGCAGGCATCAGTTGCTCCAGGAAGGTTTCCTTGAACCCCAGATTGAACTCAGTGCTCTTGAGGGATATAAAATTATGTGTGATTAACTTAGTACCCTCAAGGCCTTCACATTTCCTGATACAAAACAGGTACTCAATTACGTTGGCTGGTTTGGTGCAACGAGATATGCACTGCTACATCGTGCTGCTGTCAAAAACGTAATTGCCAGTGGTGTAGGAATGGTCTGCTGAGAACTTTCATGGCAAATTCACTAGAGCTTCACTGCATGTGACCTCCTGCCAAGCAAAATTAACTTTGCCAGGCCTGACTTAGACCCCATCCAAGGGAGTTTAGTCAGCGGGATTGAGTGGGCCACATTCTGACTCTTGTTTTAATTGTCACAGCCTCTCCACAGAAGCCTCTTGGGCTCCATAATAAAAAGGCCCCAGGGCCACTGGCAGAAATGTGCTGTGTTCTCTCTTCTTGAATGCCAAAGGCAAGTTCTCTCTTGGGCTTCCCCTAAACAGTTATGATTTTGAGCTCCTATTAGATACCACCTGCCCTAAGCTCTTCCTTCATATCCCGCAAAAGAGCATTCTATTATGGGTTGCATTGCCAGAAATACAGCTAATGTGAAAAATTGATTTCATAGACATTCCCCAAGGAAATGGGTAGGTATGGATTTCTTAGTGTAGAATGACTGAGCATTTATATATAAATATGCATGAGCACAATTTACTGGAGTGCAAAGTGATTAGAAAAAATGCCCTTGGCTAAATTGTTTCTCATATTCCAATGTGCAATTGCAGAAGGTTTGTTCATCTCTGCTTTAAAACCTAGTTAAGTGATGGTCTAAAAGGGAACAATAAGAGAGATAAGAATTCATGGGCAAGTATAGAAAATGATCTTATAAGAAGTCAGATACAGTGATTTACTCTGTAATTGATTTGTGATCCAATCCTGATTATACCTTGGGATTCTTGCATTATGACTAATTCAAATTTGGCTTCTAAAGGAACTGCAACATTTGATATGAAATAAGATCTTGTTCTAGCAAGGAAATGAGTGCTCTCACTACTGTTTTAAATGATTCCAGCAGGCAGGGTTTGAATTCACTGGTGCTGCTGGCTGCTAACTTTGCAGACATTAAGATCGAGAACACGGCCCCTCCCACCCTCTTCTTCCCTTCTCTTGGCCTTCTTTTTACCATTTAAGATACAATGACCCTGAGAACGTGAAGAAACTTTATAGTTTGTCTAATCTAATGCTTTCACTTACAGATGAAGGAATCAAGACTCAGAGATTAAGTGATTTGCCAGAGGTCCCTAGTAAATTTCAGGGTTGAACTCATGCCTTGGCTCTTTAAATAATAACCTCTTTATGCTGTTATGAACCTGACAAAAGGTGTGTAAGGTGGCTTAGGAATATAAAAACTATCATTGGTCAGAACTACTGATTTAAAGCAATGGGAAATATATGATGATCAGAAGATACATTAATTCATTGACAGTACTTCCTGCATACTTCATAAAAGAAAGTTGAAAAAAATGTGAATTTCAGTTATCTGTGAAGAGTAGAGTATGGTGGTTAAACTCAAAATTTGTTCTTTAACATTCATGACACTGAGTAAGCAGAAACTGTATCCAAAATGAAAGACATTCCACAAGACAGCACGGTCACTGATAAAACCAAATTACTGGAACATTTTTCTATGATTTTTAAGTTCAAGGATTTCTGAACCATTTAAAGGGTGAAGGAAGCCCGGTATAATTTTGTCTTACTGTATTTCTTAATACAGCTGTGGTGTCAGAGGAATCCGCTGACTCTCATTGTTGCTCATGCATTTTTAAAAAATTAGTGGACTGTTTTAATTTTAAATATTGTTAGCAATAAAATTCTCATTAGCATTCTAAAGAAATAAGCACCTACCAATAGGTATTTCCTTTATCATCTGGCATTTTTGCAAAATCACATGCAATTTTATGAAAACTGTAAGACAGTCTGACTGATTTTTAACATGCCATATTTGAACTTGACTACTAGTTGTCATTGGTAGATAATCCACTGAACGCAAGAGTAGGCAGAAGGCAATAAGGCACACTAGCAGGGATACATGTGATTTGGGGGAGAATTAATTTTTATCCATTGTTATCTAACCCCCTGGGCCCCAACAAGACTCTGTTCTACTGGCACTGTCTCTTTTTTCTTCTTGTAATGCTGTAGAACATTCTGAGTATAATTTATAACAAAGAGCAATGCAGATAATGGCTCATGCAAGCGCCATAATGTTTAAATCATGGCAGTGACACTTGACAGACGGAAAGGTCAGGAGTTTGTCTTGACAATTACAACAGCTATCTATGTGCTTTTGCCCCAGAATAAAACTCCCTTAATTAATATTCCTTTGGGTTTCAACAGATATAACATTTCAGAGCATACCTGAGCCTCTGGCAACTCTTTTCTTCCTCATCTTAGTCCTCATCCGTCTTAATTATTAGAGAGTTTTAATACCTTATTTCAAAGTCACATCACAGTTATTTATATTGGGCATTGACTGACTGAAAGTGACATGTCCTATGCAGAGTCCTATACAAAGCATTTGTACTGATTTCTAATTTTGGTTCCCTTACTAATTACCTGTCTGATTTGTCAGTGATTTGAACCCTCTGACCTTTCCATTGAAAAGTAAGAGGGTTGGATTAGATGATCTCTAAATTCCCAGCTAGTGTTTACATTCCTAAGGAGTATACACTGATGTGTTGTGCATTTCTGTTATGATTCTAAAATATTGTTAAACTATTTTAAGAGAATGTTTTTGTGCCTGTGTGAGGGATATGTGGAGAAAATAAAGTAATTGCATAAAGATGAAAAAATGAATACAAAAATCCATGGAAGAGATCTGAACTTGGGAGTGAATAAGATGGAATTTTCTGTATCAGTTAGTATTTGGAAGAGGTATTTGGATAGGCCAGGAAGGCTTGGACTTGTTGATAGCACACAACAGAGGCAGCTGCCTTCTCAGTCAAAGGGCTGTCCTGTAACTCCTTTCCTCTTTCCGTTTTTAAGTAGGTGAGAGGGTGTGAGAGGAAGTAAAAGGATGGTAATAAATTAGGAGTGGGAGAGGCTGCAGTGAAGCACGATGACAATGAAACTGTTGCCCCAGCCCCTCCACCCCTGCAGTTCTGTGCAACAGAGAAAAGCAAAATACCATAATGGGAGGGCCCTGACCCTCAGAGTTATTTTAGGAGTTTGGCACATGATCCATAGGAAGGGTGGTCTGGTTTCCACAGAACCCACTCAACAGACAGTCTTGTGTAAATAGTTCCTATCATTCCTGCCTTGATGACAGAGTTTGACTGGGTGCATTTTTCAATACAGGTAGGTAAGGAAGCAAGAGCTTTAAGATTCTTTGTCTGTCACCACATAGAAATCTCAACGAATTCCTCTTACATTCCCACCTCAAACACTTGAGCCAGCTGAACACATCCATCCTATCTCCCACACAACCCACCCAATCAACACAAAACAGAGCACCCAGGACCTTGTACAAAGAAAAGATTGTCCCATAACACCACCCTGTCTCCACTTTGAATTCAAAACACTTTCACAGCAAGACGTCAGCTCTCTCTCCTCTCTAAGCCCTGTAGACTTCAAATGGGATTCCTAGTAATGTATTCATTTTAATAACATTTCATTAAATAAACACTTTTTTACCCATTGAAATAGGTAAAAATGCCTTTTTAAAAAATTGTTTTCAAAAACATTTTTAACTACAACCAGTTACAGAATGCAGGAAGGTGTCTACCTGTGATCCATCTCTGGAAAGAAGAGAACCAGGAAAATTTGGCTTAATTTGTGGCAGAAGGATTTTGAGTGAACATGGAAAAGAATTTTCTGTATAAAGGAAAACTGAAATAGCTCACTGAAGAATGTCAGTCGTTTTCTTCACCCAGAGATGTTTAAGCAAAGAATAACTCATCCACCCCCTTCTCTGCCTGGAAAGAAGAGTCATCCTGTGGGCAACTATGAATCAGCAGCCATGTTGTTGTCCCCACATCCTCCCTGAAGTGGGAGCTGTGTTTGACCCATGCAGGACCACACACCCACACATTCACATACAACTGGAGCCTACTGAGGCCACTGGCAGAGTCTTCACCTCTCTGAAAAAGTAGGAAATAAGAGTGGGTTGAGGCAGATCATTTTTTCTCTGGATAAAAGTCTCATATTATTCCAGAGTCTTGCTTAGTTTAGAGTAGACAGCACTGAACCCACTGAGCAAGACCACACTTATTTGCATTAATTCGTCAGGCCAAGAAAAGCTATGCAACATGCAAGGTATAATAGAGGTGACAAAAAGTGTGATATGCTTCCTCTCTACCTTCAAGGATCACACATATTGTAAAAGCTACGACTAGTAGTGTAAAGCATAATATGAAATGGAGTAAAGGACTAGAACTAAGGAAAGTGTTTTACAGATGAGGGCAGAAGAAAGAGTAAAAAGTATGCCTCCCTAGGGCAGCTTCAGGAGTGGTATGAACAATGCTTCTTCCAAATTTTTTCCCTCTTGCCTTTGGCTCTGGGTTAAAGAAAACACTTAATTTTCCATCCAGAAAAAAAGATGGCTAACTTGTTCGCATGTTTGGATCCCTCCCTGCCCTCCTTCCTCTCTCTGTTGTAATTACAGCTGTTTCTTGTGAACTTCCTGGGCTCCTTAAATGCCGTGGACTGCTGAGAATTTAGACAGAGGCCATCTTCAAAAGAACTATGGTCGCTACAGAACCTGCAACCAATCAGAATGACTTTTCATCTGGATGCAGTCTAACCGGACCGGAAGTCAGCCATGAGCAAACCTGGAAGTGGCTAGACCTAGATGCTGGGTCTTTGTGTTCAGTATCTCTGTGATGAGGATTTGACAAGTCCTGCCTTTCTTTGACACCTAGGTCTGAATTGCATTTGTTATTGAACTGAAAGGTGATTTGCTCCCACACTGAGGAGAGGCACACAAATCAGACAATTGAATGTGAGCTTCCATTATCGGGATCCCCTCCTCCACCCCACTCCCTCACTGTGGGCTTCAGGAAAGTTGACTCAGGGGTCTCTTCAACAAGCTCTTGCGTTTTACTTCCCACAAACAAAAGGAAACTTGACTGCCGCAAAGCTCATCTCAATAAACTCCTCCCAAGAGACCATGTAACCAAAGGACTGCAGGAGGCCTTAGGCAGGCCATTTGGTATATTCAGGTTCCTCCTTGTGAAGAGCGCCCCAGCTCCTTCAAACAACCCCATCTCAGTGCAAGTCCTGTGAATGAACTGCACAGGGGCTCACTCATTCATTTATTCAATGCTGGGTGTTTCAAAGCATTTCCACAGTCCCAGAGAGGCTGCCTGAGCAGGGAGTGCGATCTGGCTGGTCTTGCTCTGCAGTGATTCTCTTTCTGCATGTACTCTGCTGTCTGCTGGAAGTAGAGCCCCAGAAGGTCGTTTGTCTCTTTTGCCACCTGTGGGGAACCTTTGAGGCAGCCCGTGTGATTTGGGTGCCTTGAGTCAATGAACAGCACACTGTTAGTCAGTTGCAGTCTCGGTCTCTGTTTCTTTCTCTCTTTCTGTAGAATAATTTTAAAGGGCAGGCTGAGCAGTATCCACTGCACACCCTTTCTCTTTATCAGTCCACTTACAGAAAGAGGAAATGCAGTTTATGCCTTCCACAGCACAGACATGAACAGCCTACGATTGATTTCATTTATGATCTGGGTTAAGTGGAATGTCTTACTATATTGTTTATTTAATAACCTTGCTGTACTTTGCAAACTCAGTCAACTACAGCTAATTCCTGCCTAAGAGAACAGCTTCCCTACAGTATCCGTTGATATGAATACACAATATATGTACTTTCACTTTATTCACTTGACTATAATACATGCATACATTCATTTGTGCCAATCTAATCTCCGTGTGGCTTTGAAAATTTGACCTTGATGTTCTCTCTCTCTGTGAAATTATAGTCATATTTATTCTATTTCTGATTGGAGCTAAGGACTGTTACTTTTTTATTATGAGGCTGGAAGAAAGAAATGTTTGATAATAGGTAACAAAATCATACCCTTAAAGTTCACTGTGATAACTAATTTCAATAGAACATTCCAAAATGTTTAAGCAGTTTTTATTTTTAAGGCTTACAATAACATCCAGTTAAACTTCAAAAACATTTAGCTAACATGTAAAGACAGCTTTTTTTTAAAAAAGTACCTACATAAAATTTCCATTACATTATACATGCTGTCTTTACATAAAGATAAAAGGGTACATTTCTTGAATATTACATACCTAGGGACAAAATATCATTTTGTTATTAAAAAAGCTTATTATAATTTTTGAAATAAACGCATTGATGACTATTTTTAAAGTGTGTCAAATGGTTACTTTTTAAAATAGTCTAGACATTCTGTTTGTATACTCCAGGCTGTTTAATTTCTTGTACTTCACTAGAACTTCCACAGGGGGCCACAAAATTTTGTAAAAATATCTGTGACAAATATGAATATGTTATGTCTAATCTTCAAATGGGAAGGTAAATTAGTCATGTTTCCAAAGATACTTACAGTGGCAGAGCTAGAAAGAATGAGATTTTTTTACTCTATTACACCATTTAATTGCCTGGATGGGTTGATTGATTTCCAGACAAATTTGTTTCTGTTTTTATGATGATTCACTATTGTTTTTTAGGTTAAAATATTTAAAAAAAATAATTTCTGTGTTGTGTTATCCAGTCAATTCCATTTCCACACACTATCATTTTGCCACCTAAATATTTCTTAACAATATTAGATGCTCAGCACTGTGTGAGGAGGAAGCTTGTATTTTTTTCCTTGTGTGTTTAGGGTAGTCTGACTTGCCTTCAAAAATCCATTCTCTCCATATTTTTCTAAATATGCTACTTAGTGAGGCTAAAGCAGAGTATATAGGGAAAGGTAATATTTTACAATCAGATTTTTTTTTTTTTTTTTTGAGACAGAATCTTGCTCTGTCACCCAGGCTTGAGTGCAGTGGCATGATCTCAGCTCACTGCAACCTCTGCCTCCCGGGTTCAAGCAGTTCTCCTGCTTCAGCCTCCCAAGTAGCTGAGACTACAGGTGCACAACACCATGCCCAGCTAATTTTTGTATTTTTAGTAAATACGAAGTTTCACCATGTTGGCCAGATTGATCTTGAACCCCTGTCCCCAGGTGATCCACCCGCGTTGGGTTCCCAAAGTGCTGGGATTACAGGCATGAGCCACTAGGCATGGCCTACAATCAGAACTTTTGATCTTTATGTAGTTTGTGATAAACATTACCAGGCTCCAAGCAAGGCGTGGTCATTGGGCTAAAATGTCCAGCAGCAACCTTTAACTGTGGGCACATATATAAAGATATGGGTCAAGATCATATGAAGAAACAGTGACCATTGGAAATCTCTCTCACCTCCCACCTCCTTTTATGGTTCAGTTCATCCATGCAGACTGCGTGAGATGATGAAGAAAGCCACTGAGTGGGAAAACTTGGCATTCCTATGCATCTTATGATTTTCTTAAAATTTGTATGAATTGTCATTGCAGCAGTAGAATATGACTGCACACAACACTTCACAAAATAACAGAGAGAAGCGTTTGATGCTAATTAGTAGTTCTGATTTTTATTTTTCACTTTTATTTATTTTTTTGAGAAAGGGTCTCATTCTGTCACCCAGGCTGGAGTGCAGGGGTGTGGTCTTGGCTTATTGCAACCTCTGCCTTCCGGACTCCAGCAATACTCTCACCTCAGCCTCCTGAGTAGATGGGACCACAGGCACACGCCACCATGCCTCGCTAATTTTTGTATTTTTTGTAGAGACAGGGTTTGCCATGTTGCCCAGGCTAATCTCGAACTACTAGACTCAAGGTTTTCACCCGCCTCGGCCTCCCAAAATGCTGGGATTACAGGTGTGAGCCACTACACCTGGCCTGGTTCTAATTTTTAAAGAACTAACCCACAGTGACCCATGGCTTATATTACCAATATATAGAATTTCTCTAATAAAGAGACTTGAAGTTGTTCATGCATGAAATAAAAAACATTTCACTAAAAAAAAAAAATGAGGCTAAATAGAGCAGACCGGGGTGAGGCAATTAGCACCTGAACTACCAACCAAGCAGTAGAAAATTAAGGGATCGATGGTAGAGATGTTGTAAAAGAATCTTCTGGACTTGGTAACTGAGAGGCCTTGGCAGGGAAGGAGAAGTAAGGGAGAAGGAAGAATAGAACATGAGCCTCAGAGTTTTAAGTGTGCATGACTGTCATTGCCAAAAGAATAACCAAGAATCCATGCAGTTTTTGTAAGGAAAATCTATGAGTGTGGTTTAGACATACTGAATTTAACATAAAGGGATGAAAGGAAAACCCTAATAAGCAGGTGGAATTGCACGCTGCATCGGACATCCTACATTTACCAGATATGAATGGGCATGCCATTTCTTTATAAAAATTGGCCTCTGAAGGATCAGGGCCTGAAATGTGCCTACATCAAGCCCTCAGGGGAAAGCAGACACCACCACGGCAGCCTCCCACCACCCACTTCTGTTCTGAACACTGAAGACCTATTATACTCATTCTGTTCAGTTCTGCCTCCATTTAAGACAGCATGGTGCAGTACTCAATGACATTCCTGGCAATTTGAGAATTCCTAATGGCATCCATGAGGTCATTAGAAGTCATCCCACTGCCCTCTGTAACCTCCAGTTCCTTCTAACTTCCAGGAATTCTTTGAAGCTTCCTGTGCTTGATTTATTTTTAGATTCCCATACTGATATCCATTGATGCTTGAACTTGACCACAGTCAATTTTTAAAAGGCCCTGCATTGTAGACATTGACCTGGTTATAGTGGGGAGCTGTAAGGCTGCCTGCTTCAGGCTACCTCCTCTGAATTCAGCATTGAGAAGGAATGCCTGGGATGGGAACTTGGGGGCAAGAGGCTGTGCTTGCAACCCTTGGTGCGAATGACAAATGGCATTGGTTGTGCTTAGAGTGATCTCCAATTCCTCTGAAATATGCAAGAATGTCTTCCTCTGACCAGCCAGTGCCTGTGAGATAAAAGAGCTATCAACTGTCGTGAAAGAGAGTGAGAAAGCACATTCCAGCTGGCACAGCCACAGCAAAAAAACCAAAGCCAGAAGTCTATGACCTGCAGAATCTGAGGTGGAAAAGGCCTTTTAGAATAGCTCTGGGAACCCTTGAAAGCCTGCAAAGAGGCTTCTTATTTTTCTTTTTATTTTTTTTAAGTCAAATTGCAAAGATTTCAAGCAATGAGTGTTCCTTTGTGATTGCTCAATAATCAATGAAAATATTAGATCTGCTGTCTTCAAGGCTGGAGTGTATTTGCCTCGTTATCCTTTCTTTTGTGTATTTAGACTGAACATTTTCTCTCCTTTGCTGTCATCAGCACATGGGAATTTAAACCTTCTCCCTGCATTTTATTTAACAAATTATATTGTATATCATGAGTGACAGAGAAAAGAGGTACAGAGTCTCAAAGGGCAGTTTTAAGGACTATTATTATGCCTGTCAATTGAGAAGGGATTTTTTTTCTCCATATGTTGAGTTGGGTACTAAATTTCCACTGGAATCAGAAGGAACAGGGAATTTTTTTATGTCAGCAATAACTGGAGCTCTTCATCTTCCCCTTCCCTTTTTCTTTGTTCTTGAATGATTCATTCCTAAAGCCATTATGCAGGTGTTTATTTCAGAAGGGGAAAGGGAGCCTCAGCAGCCCAGAGTGGGGAGTCAAAACTTAAATAGAGAGATGGGAAACCTGGTATGGTGGTAGAAACCAAGTGGAATGAAATCAGGTGGGGAGGTAAGTGGCCCAGTATCAGAAGTCAGAGAATAATGAGGGTGAGATGGGTGTCTCCAAAGGCAAAGGGAATTTGGAGTAAGGTTTCCGAACCCAAGCATGGAGAGGAAGCTGTCTGCATGGGATGGGATTGGGCAGCAGTGATGGGAAACTGTGTATATACAGAGAGATTGACCATGCACGCAATATTAAGAATAAGGGGAGCCAGGTTTCTTAAGTGTCAGAAAAGGGAATTACAAATACAGAAAGGAGGAATAAAATGAACCCTGTGTGGTGTTAGATTGGAATTAGATGTATCAGGATAAAGTCATAGTTTTCAGTATATGAAATAACCACAGAGGCAATTGTATGTGTATATGTGTATGCTCTAGCTCTGTCCACCGAAAGGACCTGGGATCACGACACCCCAGAAACAATCAGCACCCCTAGTACCCAGACGCTGGCTACTAGATACCGTGTTCCACTAAAACAAGCTGAATCTAGAGCTAGGGCAGGGAAAGTACAAATTGAGCCTCAAGTAGCTTATTGTGCCTTAAAGCAAGGAAATGCTCAATGATGTGGGCATTAAGAGAACACAGAAGCCAGCTTGAATAGGCTCCCACTGGCCACATACAGACAATTTCAACATCAAAATAAATAATAATGTAAGAGTTTATAACCAAATGAATAAAGGAGGAAACAATGATTTCATGTTGATATAAGTCAATGAATGCTTTGAGAGTTTGAGGAAGAACAGAATATTTACATAGTTTCAAAGTACTTCCTCACAAACGCTTATTAATTACAAAGGGGAAGAGAATAACTGTATCATAGAGAAGACTGGACAGATACGTTCTTAATCAAATGATCAGAGTGAAGATAGTGGGACTAATTGTAATTATGCATCACCCAGTAGGATGAAATGAGGATACTGCATCACTTTGATGATATTCCTGCCAAAGATATGTAACTTGAATGTAATCATGAGGAAAATTAAATCAAAATTGAAGGAGATTCTACAAAGTACCTAGCCTGTAATCTTTAAAATGTTGAGGTCATGAAAATGAAGAAAAGTCAGACTGAGGAATTGTTATGGATCAAACAAAACTAAAGAAACATGACAGCTAAATGCATCGTGTGATTCTGAACTGGATTCTTTTACTATAAAGGCCATTACTGGGACAACTGGAGACACTTGGGTAGAGTCAGAAGATTAGATGGTAGTTGTGTATCAAGGTTAACTTCCTGAATTTGATGATTGGATTTTATTTACATAGAAGAATGTCTTTGCAGAAATAGACACTAAACCATTTGGTGATGACTTAGCACTAAGCAGCAATTTTTTCTCAATGGTTCAGGAAAAAAGTTCTTTGTACTGTACTTCTAACTTCTATAAAGGTGTATGAGTCTTTCAAACAAGAAGAAGAAGAGAGTGGAGAGGTCACTCAGCCAAGGAAAGTTGTCTTATGTTTATTTGCATGGCCCACAATCTCTCTCTCTCTCTCTCTCTCTCTCTCTCTCTGTCTCTCTCTCTCTCTCTCTCTCACACACACACACACACACACACACACCCCAATGTGTTCCAATAACAGGAATTACTTTGATTGCTGTACCCACTGAGAACACTTAAAAAGAACTTAATTGCCAAATTTAGCCTTGGGTCTTAAGGGAGTTGATATTTCTATGCACTTGTTTTATGAGCTGTCTTTAGAGAAATGTAAACATCTTTACCTTTGCTGTTTCTCTCCTTGACTTCAACGAACTGAAATAAAGAACTGAGTAAATTTAGTATGGTGAAAATTAGCAACAAATGTCCAACAGTAAGGGATTACTTAAATAAATGGCTACATCCATGCAATGAAATACTATACAGCCATCAAAAATCATGTGTAGGACAAAATTTATTTTCATGAGAAACTGTACATCATACTATAAATTCAGTGTAGCCATTTAAGAACAATATTTCAGCAATATTTCAATACTCCAATATTTCAGCAATGTTTCAATACTTCCTATACCAGAAGAGTGCATATTAAAATATTTTTAGTAACTATCTGGGGTGGTGAATTCTGGGTGAGTTTTATTTCCTAATTTTGCATATCTGAGTTTTCTGAAATGAACATGCATTAAAGTGAAGGTTATAATAAAGCTTTTGCAGGGTAATTTTGATCAATAATCACTTGGATAAAGTGTAAATATTCAGCAAAGACATTTGTTAAGTATTAAATGCCTATAGTGGATCCAAGTACACAAAAAATGGAAATCATGCTCTTACTGATCTGAAGATACAACACATGTTACTTGCTCAAAAATACTCAAGGATCCCACTGCCTATAGATTGTCTTAAAATTCACAGTATTCTAATTTCTTTCTTTTTTTTTTTTTTTTTGATACAGAGTCTTGCTCTGTCGCACAGGCTGGAGTGCAGTGGTGTGATCTCAGTTCACTGCAACCTCCACCTCTCAAGTTCAAACGATTCTCATGCCTCAGCCTCCCGAGTAGCTGGGATTACAGATGCACACCACCATGACGGGCTAATTTTTGTATTTTAAGTAGAGAGGGGGTTTTCACCATGTTGGCCAGGCTGGTCTCAGGCTCCTGACCTCAGGTGATCCACCCACCTCAGCCTCCCAAAGTGCTGGGATTACAGGCATGAGCCACTGCATCTGGCCCATGGTATTCTAATTTCTAAACAAGCACTGGCTCATAGATAAATAATATGAGCCCCACAGGTAATGTTAAATTTCCTAGTAGCCACATTCAAAAAGTAAAAAAAGAATAGGTGAAATTAATTTTAGTAGTGTGTTTTATTTAACCTGATATATCTAAAGTATCATTTCAATATTTAATCAATATAAAAATCATTCATAAAATGTATCTTTTTTCACATTAAGTTTTCAAATTGCAGTGTGTATTTTATACTTACAGCACATTTCAGTTGCTCAATGACCACACTTTGGGTGGCTACTGCACTGGGCAATGCGGCTCAACAGCAGGCTATGTCCCTAGTTTAAGTCACAATCAGTTTTTCCTCAAATATACCATTTTATGTACATAATTTTTTTTTGAGATGGAGTCTCTCCCTATCACCCAGACTTGGTTGCAGTGGTGCCATGTCTGCTCAGTGCAACTTCTGCCTCCTGGGCTCAAGTGATCCTCCCATCTTAGCTTCCTAAGTAGCTGGCTGTATTAGTCTGTTCTCGTGCTGCTAATAAAGACATATCTGCGACAGGGGAATTTATAAAGGAAAGAGGTTTAATGGACTCACAGTTCCACATGGCTGGGGAAGCCTCACAATTATGGCAGAAGGCAAAGGAGAAGTAAAGGCATGTCTTACATGGCAGCAGGCAAGAGAGCTTGTGCAGGGAAACTCCTCTTTATAAAACCATCAGATCTCGTGAGACTTACTCATTACTGTGAGAACAGTATAACTGCCCCCATATTCCATTATCTCCACTTTCACATTCAATTATTTCCCTACCGTTGACAATTATCTCAAAATCTCATCTTGATTATTACAATTCAAGGTGAGATTTGGGTGGGGACACAGCCAAACTGTATCACTGGGATTACAGGCACTCACCACCATGCCTGGCTAATTTTTGTATTTTTGGTAGAAATCGAGTTTCGCCATGTTGCCCAGGCTGGTCTCAAACTCATTAGTTCAAGTGATCCTCCCACCTTGGCCTCCCAAAGTGCTGGAATTACTGGTATGAGCCACCACACCTGGCAATATTTTTGGCCTTTACTCATGCTGCTTTCCTCAAAGTGGAATGCTTTCCTTCACTTATTTACCTGTAGATATATCACTCCTACTTCGAAGAAAAGTTCTCTTGTTGACTCCTCCAGGAGACATTCTCGATCCTCCAGTCAAATGCATCCCTCTCTCCTGTGAGCCATCACTTTTGCCTTTGTTTGGTGTGTATTTAAGTCTGCCTGGTGTTAGAATTGGTGGTTTACTTATCTTTCTCTTCACGCAGACCAGAGAAGCTGGTGGCAAGCAGCCTCTTATTCATAGGTACTTATCATATCTTCAGTAAATACTTCGCTCAATGAAAGTTCAGTAGGCAGAATATACACTAAGTCCCCCCACCTCCACCAACAACAAAAATCAAACTAGGCAAAAAGAGAAGATGTTTACAGTTGTGGAACTGAGAACAAATAACCGCAGGGCTGAGGGCCTGAAGGTAGGGGAGCACTGATTGGCATCAGGACTCACTGAGGACCTAAGCCCTGGACTCAGCCAACCCCTCAATCCCTCTTTTGTGAGCTCCCTTGGAGTCCTGAACCAGTGTTTTTTTCTTAATATACCAACCTTTTTCCTTAGGGCAGAGGTTTAACACGTTTCAACACTGTGTTTTTCTCTGTTGTCTAACAGAATGATTGAGCCAAGTCTAATCTTAACAAAATTAGCCTGCCACATGGAGCAAAGTTGACTTGTAAACAACCACTCCTATAAAGTGTAATTTGTGAAACAGGTGATTTCCCTGTCCCTGTGACTCTAATTTTTTTTTTTTTTTTGAAATGGAGTCTCACTCTGTCACCCAGGCTGGAGTGCAGTGGCACGATCTTGGCTCACTGCAACCTCCACCTCCCAGATTCAAGCGATTCTCCTGCCTCAGCCTCCCAAGTAATGGGGATTACAGGTTCTCACCAACATGCCTGGCTAACTTTGGTATTTTTGATAGAGACGGGGTTTCACCATGTTTGCCAGGCTGGTCTCGAACTCCTGACCTCAAGTGATCCGCCCACCTTGGCTTCCCAAAGTGCTAAGATTACAGGTGTGAGCCATCGCGCCTGGCCCTTGTGACTCTAATTTTAAGGGCTCCAGGAAGAACCATCCCAGCGTGCTCACTGATGCCTGAAATATCTTTAATGATGCCAAATCCATTGATTGTTAAAATGCAGCTATCAGTTGGAGGAATAAATTCATAGACTTAACTTCATATGAAAATAGCTTAAAGTGAGAATGCATGCCATTCTGTAGAAAAGAACACAGGATTTGAAGTCGGAAGAGTTGTTTTTACAATATCACAAAATTGTTTTCCTAATAGGCAGTTCACCGTATCATTCTTTAGAATGTCAACACCTTGAAAATACCCATCCCAAACCCCCAACTATAGGGGAATGGATAGTATATCATGAGGTCAAACTTTCATGGTAAAAAGACTGCAACAGAAAGGGGCTGATCAAGGAGCTGCCTGGAGCAGGAGTGAGGGATACCCGGAGCAGCCATCCAAAAGAGAGGTTCTGCCCAGATCAAGAGAGTTGCAGAAGAATGGACCTAGCAAGAAATAAAGAGCCAAAGTCAAGAATTTCCAGGAACAGTGAGTGTGAAACTTCACACTTATGATGGTCAAGTGGGAACTATCCTTTCCCCATTCATGTGCCTCCCTTTCTTTCAGTCCTGAAGAGTCATAGATGATAGCTAGCTAATCTGTAACCAGGAGAGAGAGGAAGACATTGTCTCTCTGAAATAAATATTGAAGGGGCAGGGCACAGTGACTGACACCTGTAATCCCAGCACATTGGGAAGCCAAGGTGGGAGGACCACTTGAGGCCAGGAGTTCAAGATCAGCCTGGGCAACATGGTGAGACCCTGTCTCTAAAAATTTTTTTTTTTAAGTCATGACAAAATTGACATATTAAATAACATATTGGACTAGACACTCTAATTTTTTAATCTTACTCTAATTTATTATGGGATATCCTTTTAGTCAGGAGTAATTAGAAAAGTCATGGTACAGCCCATGTGTGTATTCAGGGTCAGGGGAAGGACCCAGCAATCAGTAAAGAGTCCATGTTAAGAACTCAGAAAAAATATCATAAAGCTGTTTTTGTAATCACACTTGTTGAATCCTACATGTTCAATTATTGATTGACCATCAGAAACATCAGATTGGCCAGATGTGGTGGCTCACACCTGTAATCTCAGGACTTTGGGAGGCCGAGGCTGGTGGATCACTTGAGGTCAGGAGTTCGAGACCAGCCTGGCCAACATGGTGAAACCTGGGCTCTACTAAAAATACAAAAATTAGCTCGGTGTGGTGGCATGCGCCTGTAGTCCCAGCTACTCGGCAGCCTGAGGCACAAGAACGGCTTGGACCTGGGAGGAGGAGGTTGCGGTGAGCTGAGATCGCACTGCTGCACTCCAGCCTGGGTGACAAGGAAGAGCAACACTCCATCTCAAAAAAACAAACAAACAAAAAGAACAGAAAAGAGAAGCACCAAAAGCCCTGGCACAAAGGAGGTACCAATAAATATCTGAGTAACTTAATGAATGAATCAATTCTCTTTGACTCACTGCAACTCATCAAAAAATTGGTTATTGAAGAGGAAAATAGACCAGGAGGAAAAAAAAAATCCAAGGATGAGCTATGAATGCATGAGAAAACTGGTTTATGATTCAGCGAAGATTGTGCTGATTTTAAGCTCTTTCTGGAAATTTTATATCCATGAGTCCTCTAGTGGGTGAGTAATTGCAGAGAAATGTAGTTCTTAAAGGGGAAATAAAGCCTTTGGAATTCCTGATGTTAAGCATCCTATTTTTATAGGGCCAGGATGAGGATTATACAAGACAGTGTGGTGGAAGGTGTAAACTTCAAGGAAGCCTCACTCTCAGAGCCAGACCAGCACTTGCATGACCCCGGGAGAGACTGAGCATCAGGGCCCTAACAAGGAGACTGACTCTGGGAGACCTCAGGGCTGTGGCTGGGTGAAGGGTCATTTGCCCAGGCAATCAGAGCAGATGGAACCCCTAAACATTAAAGGCTTAAAGAGACTGTAGAGGGTTCAACCAGAGGAGCCAAATCTGTTGTACTTATGAGTCAGTGAGTATTTGGGGAAATGCAAGGCATAGGCAGAAGGAGGAGGATGGATGCTGAATCAGAAAGAAGAGGCAGAAAGTGTAAAACCAGAGGGCGTGGGAAGCATGGCCTGGGGATGTTTTGGGAACAGGATTGAGACTGGGCACACCTTTCTTATGGGAGATGGCTTCAGTTGTGTGGTTGCTTAGGCCCAAAGCAATGAAACAGAAATAAACCAAGTAAAGAAAATAGGCTCTTTTTTTTTTTTTTTTTTTTTTTTTTTTTTTTTTTTTTTGAGATGGAGTCTTGCTTCATTGCCCAGGCTAGAGTGCAGTGACAAGATCTTGGCTCACTGCAACCTCCACCTCTGGGGTTCAAGTGATTCTCCTGTCTCAGCCTCTTGAGTAGCTGGAATTACAAGCATGTATCATCATGCCTGGCTAATTTTTGTATTTTTATTAGAGACAGGGTTTCACCATGTTGGCCAGGCTGGTCTTGAACTCCCGACCTCAGGTCATCCACCCGCCTCGGCCTCCCCAAGTGCTGGGATTACAGGCGTGAGCCACTGCACCCAGCTTGCAAATAGGCTCTTAAAGCCTCAATTTCCTCATCTGTGAGATACAAGTAATATCTTTGTCATATGGCTGTTAGGATTAAATAGAGTGATTGTCTCCAGTGTTTCCATTTATAAAGTTCCCATCATCCTAGTCGTATGGAGTGAGAGAATATAGGTTATGCAGATGTGGGAGCCATTTATGTCCTTTTTAGAAGTTTCATGTAATATAGGGCAGGAGGTCTTAGGTCACAGACATAGGAATCAGCTATGTGTGTGTGTGTGTGTGTGTGTGTGTGTGTGTGTGTGTGTGTTCATACATTTGTGTCTAATCCTTAGCCAAATTAACCTCACCTTCTAATGCTGCTGGTTAAGGTTGTGAGGTTCCCCTTGCCTTTGGAATGTTCCCTGGTTCCTCTCTCCCTCTCCTCTAAAACTGTGAGCTGCTACAGCATAGGAAGTAGGGCTCCTCCCCCAGCACCCACTACCATGCACAAACAAAGAAAATGCTTCCTAAACACTCAGAGAATAAACAAAGAGGTGAAATCCAGTGTCTACAAGGAGATCCACTCAAAGGTCTAATGGTCAAACATAGGATTTTCCCTGAAATGTACATTTTGGTGTCTTCTGAGGTTATTGTGCCTTTTTCCTTGCTCATCTTTTCCATTTGAAAAATTGTCATCGTGTTTCCCTAAATAGACTTAGGACATCAAAGTTGGGGCGACAAATTAGAAATGTTGCAGGGCCAGGGATGTAGTGGCTCATACCTGTGATCCCAGTGGTTTGGGAGGCCAAGGTGGGAGGATCGCTTGAAGCCAGGAGTTCCAGACTAGCCTGGGCAACAAAGCAAGACCCTGTCTCTACAAATACAATACAGTACAGTACAGTACAATACAATACAATACAATACAATACAATACAATACAATACAATACAATACAATACAGTACATAAAATAAAATAAAATAAAATAAAATCCAGGCATGGTGATACATACATGTAATCCCAGCTGCTCAGGAGGCTGAGGCAGGAGGATGACCTGAGCCCAGGAGTTCGAGGCTGCAGTGAGCTATGATCGAGCCACTGCACTCCAGTGTGGGTGACAAAGTGAGACCCTGTTTCAAAAAAAGAAAAAAATGAATTGTTGCTGGGTCTTAAGTTAGAAGTTAATGTTTGAGACCTGTTATAGACCTGGGAGAATGAGGTGCAGTGGGGAGAATCAAGCTTTAGAGTCTGAATCCCAGATCTGCCATTTACTGGCTATGAGACACTCAACAAATCACTTAATCCAGCTGTTCCTCAATTGCCTCATCTCTAAAATGGGAATAAGATTTGTCTCATCAAGTGGTTGAGGTTAAATGGGGGCCCAAGGTAAGCTTTCAGGATCACTCTGTTTAAAATAGGAAAGCTCGTCCCCACCCCAGTCTCTTTTTCCATTTTACTTTTCTACACTGCACTTATCCCTTTGTGATATACTATGTTATTTATTTATTTTGTTCATTGTCTGTCTCTCTCTACTCATGTGTTAAGTTCCATGAGGCTAGAAATGGACCTAATTTGAGAAGAGGAAGTATTTTGGGACCAAGCCTGATGGGAATTCTGCTGCCTAGATCCTGAGTCCTGGTATCTCTACCCCGCACGTGAAGGACTGGGTCATGTCAGATTCCAGGGGTCACCCAGTCCTTCTAGAATGTGGTTCTCAAAGAGTAGTTCATAGATACCCCCAATATGGTCTGGTTCTGTGTCCCCACCCAAATGTCACCTTGAATTGTAAGAACCCCCGCACGTTGTGGGAGGGACCCAGTGGAAGGGAATGGAATCATAGGGGCAGGCTTTTCCCATGCTGTTCTCGTGATAGTGAATAAGTCTCAAGAGATCTGGTGGTTTTAGAAAGGTGAGCTCCCCGGCACATGCCCTTATCTGCCACCATGTAAGATGTGCCTTTGCTCCTCCTCCACTTTCCACCATGATTGTGAAGCCTCCCCAGCCATGTGAAACTGTGAGTCCATTAAACCTCTTTCCTTTACAAATTACCCAGTATGGGGTATGTCTTTGTTAGCAGCATGAGAACAGACTAATACACCCCCCTACCACCACCAGGGATCTTTGCAATCATTTCAGTGGCTCCACGAAGTCAAAACTATCTCTCTAACAATATGAAGGTCCTGTTTGCTTTTTCACTGTATTAACATCTGTATGGATGGGACAAATGCAATGGCGGGTAGAACTCTTGGAGCCTTGGCATGAATCTTGACAGTGGGAGCTAACTGTACTAAGAGTTATTTTCTTTACAACTATACATGCACAGTGAAAATGAAAGGAAATGGGGCCAGGGGCAGTAGCTCATGTCTGTAATCCCAGCACTTTGGGAGGCCTAGGTGGGCAGATCACTTGAGGTCAGAAGTTCGAGACCAGCCTGGCCAACATGGTGAAACCCCGCCTCTACTAAAAATACAAAAATTAGCTGAGCTTGGTGGCAGGTTCCTGTAATCTCAGCTACACAGGAGGCTGAGGCAGCAGAATTGCTTGGACCCAGGAGGCAGAGGTTGCAGTGAGCCAAGATCAAGCCACTGCACTCCAGCCTGGGTGACAGAGCAAGACCCTGTTTCAAAAAACAAAAACAGAACCCGAAATAAAATAAAATGAAACGAAATCCCAGTTTTACTTAAGAATGTCTTTGATAAAGCCATAAAAATGATTAACTTTAAAGATCTTCACTCTGTGGCGTATGTATTTTTAATATGTCACATATTTTTAATATGTGACACAATAGGAAGCACACATAAGGCACGTCCACTGCACACCTCAGTGTAACAATTGACTTGAGGGAAAGCTTGTATAATTGAGTTGTGAGCTGAACAGGCTGCTTTTTTTGGAACATCACTTTTCAGTCAAAAAAAAAAAAAGACTGATAGATGAACTATAGTTATTCAGACTTGGGTATCTGGCAGACACATTCTCAAAAATGAAAGACGTGAACTTGTCACTCCAAGGAAAACTGAGAGTATTTGTTGCCAGTGCTAACATTTGACCTTTCAAGAGAAACGTTGATTTTTGGAAAACTTGTATCTGCCATCTTGAGCTTAAGCTAAATACCATGTCTAAATACTTCCAATATTTGAAGAGTTTTCTGCAGTGATCGGGGGCAATATTAGCAGTTGTGACTTTTTGTCAGGCATGATGTCTCATCCCTGCAATCCCGGCTCATTGGGAGGCCAAGGTGGGTGGATTGCTTGAGCTCTGGAATCAGAGACCAGCCTGGGTAACATGGTGAAACCCCATCTCCACAAAAAATACAAAAATTAGGTGGATGTGGTGGCACTCACCTGTAGTCCCAGCTACTTAGGAAGCTGAGGTGGGAGGACTGTTTGAGCCCAAGAGGTCAAGGCTGCAGTGAGCTGTGATCACACCACTGCATTCCAGCCTGGACAACAGAGCAAGACCCCCATCTCAAAAAACAAAACAAAACAAAAAACCCATTTTGACTTTCAGGTAATAGAAAATAAAATGTGCTACCGTCAGGAATGCTATCATTGATATTTTCAGATGACCAATACATAAGGTTACAGAATCATGCATGGGTAAAAGATCCACTCAAAGCACAAGAGAGACCTTTAAAAATACATTTTTAAAGATCTTTAAAAGCAATTTTAATGTAACAAAGCATGGAATCTTCATTCATATGATTTCAGATTCTGCATCCGTTATTTCTTCAAAAACAAGTACCTCTAATTATCTGAAAAGGTTATTTAAATACTCTTTCCTGGCCGGGTGCTGTTGCTCACGCCTGTAGTTCCAGCACTTTGGGAGGCCGAGGTGGGTAGATCACTTGAGGTCAGGAGTTCGAAACCAGCCTGGCCAACATGGTGAAACCCCGTCTCTACTAAAAATATTTAAGAAATTAGCTAGGCATGGTGGCGTGGGCCTGTAGTCCCAGCTATTCGGGAGGCTGAGGCAGGAGAATTGCTTGAATCGAGGAGGCAGAGGTTGCAGTGAGTGGAGATCATGCCACTGTACTCCAGCCTGGGTGATAGCGAGACTCCATCTCAAAGTAAATAAATAAATAAATAAACAAATAAATAAATACTCCTTCCTTTTCTTAACTACATGTTTGTGGGAAGCCACATTTTCTTCATGTGTTTCAACCTAAACGACATCACAGCAGATGGAAAGCAGTAACAGCTAAGAAAATCCAGCTGCCTTCCCTTAAACTAAACATTAAAAAGACTTGCAAAAGTGTGCAGTGCCACTCTTCTCTTTTCTTTAGAAAACAGTTATTTTTATAAAATATTTATGTTATCATGAAATGGATTTCTTATTTTCACTGGATAAATAAATATTTTTAGAATTCTGTTGTAATTTCTAATATGGCAAACATTGATAAATATAAACCACATGAACAAAAGCTTTTTGGGTCCTCAGTCATTTTTAAGAGTGTAAATGGGTCCTGATAACGAAACGTTTGCAAGTTGCTGTTCCAGAGTATTTTGGAATTCTAGAGCATATGGAACATGCTGAGTAACAAAGAACATGATCTTTGGGACAAATTGCTATTTTTCCATTCTGGATTTGCCATTTGCTAGCTGTTGACTTTTGGCTAGTTATTGAACCTCTCTGAGCCTCAGTTTTATCGTGCATTGAAGTGAGGATAATGGAGGATTTCTCTCCATTTTTTTTGAGATAACGGTTTTTAAGAAACTTGAAATGTGGTAGACAACTTGCAGAGGTTGACTTCCTTTCTTTTTTTTCTTCATTAGGCCTAAATACACAGTATCAAGGCCACTCAGTGAGACCTTTCGCACACCCAAGCAGATCTGGGTCTTTAAGAGTAGTTACCTCCTCTCAGAGTGGACCAAAGACAACCAAATTAAAATACAAAAACAGGCCAGATGTGAGGTGGCTCACTCATGTAATTCCAGTACTTTGGGAGGCCAACACAGGTGAACTGAATAAGGTAAGGAGGTCAAGACCAACCTGGGCAACACAGTGAAACCTTGTTTCTACAAAAAAATTAAAAAATTGCCAGTCGTGAAGCGCACCTGTAGTCCTCCTGGCCAAGGTAGGAGGATCACTTGAGCCCAGGGGTCTGAGGCTGCAGTGAGCTATGATTGCAGCACCTCACCTCATCCTAGACGACAGAGTGAGACCCTGTCTCTAAAAATCAAAACAAAACAAAAACAAAAACATTCACAGAGGAGCCCACACCGTGGAAGTTCCTGCTCAGCAAGCACCCACTGATGGTTTACTGAGATCACCTTCGCAACTTGTTCCCCACCTGGTCCTTCCAGCCTCAGCCTGTTTTTTGATCGGGATGATCTACTGTCTTTGAGATTCTGTCCCTACTTGACCTGGTCCTCCACCTACCTGAGTTCGTCTTCTGGACATGACCTTTGATCTGATTGCTCCAAGCTGCAACAGCTTTGTCCACGGGTCCCACATTATGCTAGACTCGCCAGTGATGTAGAATGGAACACTTCATCCCTGCTAGAATCAAGGCCGAATCCACTCCATAGAGGACTCTCTCCTGAAAGTCTCCCAGGGTGAGAGCTCAACCTTCTCTCTGGCCTTTGTTTCAACATTGTTCTTTAGTGCTGAGGAAGTAAGACATGTGTCGTATATTTGCTGCTACACATTTACAGGGGCAGAAGCAAAGTCTTCCTGGAAAAGCTGATGAATAAGAGGAGTCGAGTTCTTCCGCCTCCATTCACGAAACTCTCCAAGATCCCACCAGGACGGCATCGTGTGCATAATTGTGAGGATATCTTGCAGAAAGCTGGATGGAGTTTTGAGTACATTCTGGATCCTCTTTGACCCCTGGGGACCAGGACCATTTCTATTTTCATAGTCCAAATGAATGCTTAGATGCATTCACTTTTAAAACCTGAGTCAGGATTCCCTGGAAATTCTTTTCCATAGCTGCAATGCTAATCTGGATTCCAGACATTTTTACATCTGATCAAAGGAAGCAAATAGCTGCCCTGGGAATATTTTAGCATGTCTGCCTATTCACTGTGGAAGTCAATGAGCGTTTGTTTGGCAGAATGCAGAGGGCACAAACATAGGGATCGAAGGAGTGATGAAGAAGAATGAATTATTGAAAGGGGAAGGAGGGAAAGGGCCAAAGGGATGTCCGCTAATCAAGAGTGAGAAATAAAGCCAAGAATTACGTCTGATTTTTAAAATTTTACTCTGTTGGTGAATTTTTGCCTATCTACTATCTTCTGGCAGCTCTTGCTAATGAAAGTACACATGACCTTGGTAGTTTGTCTTTTGGCATCCTGCCAAAGTTGGACAATGGCCAGTGCAAAGCTGTCAGAGAGGGTGTTTCTGTGAGATGAGAAGCAAACTTTCTAGCCGCAAACACTTACTGCCATCCTGCCTGCCATCCACCTCTATGATCATTTGACTTTGTATGCCTTGGTCATCTCATGTTTGAAACTGGAATCACATTTAGCCTGTCCTCTGCTGTCAACGCTGATAAGTATGCTCATCCAAAATCAGCCATTGGCCAGGCATGGTGGCTCACGCCTGTAATCCCAGCACTTTGGGAGGCCAAGGTGGGCGGATCACTTCAGGTCAGGAGTTCCAGACCAGCCTGGCTAACACGGCAAAACTCTGTCTCCACTAAAAATACAAAATTAGCTGGGCGTGATGGTGCACGCCTGTAATCCCAGCTACTAGGGAGGCTGAGGTAGGAGAATTGCGTGAACCCAGAGGGCGGAGGTTGCAGTGAGCCAAGATCACGCCACTGCACTCTAGCCTGGGCGACAGAGTGAGACTCCTCTGAAAAAAAAAAAAAAGTCAGCTGTTGCCATTTTCCTATTGAGAGCATCCAGCAAGATGGTTTAGAAAATTTTGTTCTACAGTCTCAGCACAAGAAACCTGGCAGACCCAGACACCATGCCAAGACCCCTCCCTGCCTGCTGAGCTTCCATTTTAGCCTCTTGCACTGGCTGGTAGCCGCCAAATCATAAAGAATTGCCCCTCTGCTGACTGCCTCCCAAGAGTACCCCCCTAAATGGAGGCCATCTTAATCCAAGTCCTTGCTGTGTTGGAAATCTGAGCGGCATCATAGATTCTTAGAGTACCGTTGTCTCACAGCACCTAGCATGGTGCCTACAACATTGCAAGCCAACTTGTTCACTCTCTCTGTCTCTCTCCACACACACACACTCCTTCAACTCTGTCTCCCTTAAGACTTTTGCAAGACCTTACTGTCTCCCTCCCTATTTTGTTTCATGTTTCCATGTCATGTCCTGACTGCGCAATAAAAATGTAGGTTTATATCCAATCGCATTTTTCTCTCTGTGTGTTGTTTTCTTTCCAGAGCCAACTATCTCTTGAGCACTGGTTTGGGGTTTGTGTGCAGTCTTATCCACAGAAAACAAATTCTCCTGCTTTCAGACAAACCTAATTCTCAGAAAACTGGAGCTCCACAGAAAAGAGTTTTTAAATTTTTCATGAACTTCTAGAGTTTTGCCGATTGTTTCTTAAACTTTACTGAAGAAAACACTTAATTTCTCATTTAAGAAAGACACCACCCCTCCATTACAGGTGGCTCACACCTGTAATCCCAATGCACTGGGAGCCTGAGGTGAGACGATCGCTGGAGCCCAGGAGTTTGAGGGTACAGTGAACTGTGATTGCACCACTGCATTCCAGCCTGGTCAGCAGAGTGAGACCTTGTCTTTATTTATTTATTTATTTATTTATTTTTTGAGCCGGAGTCTTGCTATCATCCAGGGAGGAGTGCAGTGGCATGATCTCTACTCACTGCAACCTCTGCCTACCAGGTTCAAGTGATTCTCCTGCCTCAGCCTCCAGAGTAGCTGGGACTACAGGCATGCACCACTACACCTGGCTAATTGTTGTATTTTAGTGGAGACGGGGTTTCACCATGTTGGCCAGTCTGGTCTCGAACTCCTGACCTCAAGTGATCCACCCACCCTCCTCAGCCTCCCAAAGTGGTGGGATTATAGGTGTGAGCCACTGCGCCCGGCCAGACCTTGTCTTTAAAGAAAGAAAAAAAAAGAGAGACCTCCTCATTTTAATACCTGTTCACTGATTAAATGCCTCAACGCTTCTATGGTAAAGACCTACTTTGAATTTTCTGAAATTTAGCTCTTTGATCGGGGTTTACTTAAATTGGGCTGAAAATCTTGGACCAGGAGGAACCTTTTGGGAAGAAGTAAAAGAAGCCTTTGAACATCCAACACTAACAATAGAGACAACAAAGAATCAATCTTTTGTATACCGTATGCACCCAGCATTTTCCTACGCTTTTGGTTTAAGAAATTGGCTTGTCTTCATCGTTCAGTATGTAAGGCTAGTGGTCAGGTGCCCTAGAGAATCTGTGGATAAGCCACAGGAATACTCAAAACTCATTCTTGCTGCTGCTCCCTTGTTGGTTCCAGATGCTACTAACATGTCAGCTTGTCCTTAAAAACAAGAAAGCAGAGCCGGGTGTGGTGGCTCACACCTGTAATCCCAGCACTTTGGGAGGCCGAGGTGGGCAGATCAGCTGAGGTCAGAAGTTTGAGACCAGCCTGGGCAACATGGTGAAACCCTGTCTCCATTAAAAATAGAAAAATAAGCTGGGCATGGTGGGGCATGCCTGTAATCCCAGCTACTTGGGAGACTGAGGCAGGAAAATCTCTTGAACCCATGAGGCAGAGGTCACCGTGAGCCAAGATCATGCCACTGCAGTTCAGCTTGGGTGACAAACAGAGACGCTGTCTCAAAAAAAAAAAAAAAGAGAGAGAGAAAGGGGGTAAGCGCCTTATCCCTCCCTACTAGTTGAGAAGGATCAAAATAGAAAAAGAAAACCAGGGTGATGGTTTCAAATAATTTGAATTAAAATTCTTGTTCTGATAGTTACTAAGCTGTGTGACTTTGAGAAACTTGTTTAACTTCTCTGTGCCTCAGTTTCTTCACATGTACAGTGTGATTAAGGATATCTTCCTCATCAAAGTAGTATGTAATAAGCACTCAGTAAATCATACTTGTTATTTTCAATACTATTACCAATATTAATAACTACTAATAGAAACTGTATCATTGTATGACAGTAACAATCCCAAACTTGCCCCAGGTTAGGAATAAATCCACACCAAAATCAAGATCCTCTGCTAATGCTGTAGCTTTACTCTCTCTATATAGTACAAAGTCTAGAAAAAATGTAGCTAGTCTTGCCTTTACCATTGCAGGCTCTGGTGAGCTCACACTCATATCCCAGCTGTGGTTGTTTTCAAGCATGCCAGATGGTAGGGCTTGTAATTAATGTGCCCATCAACAATCAGAATTAAATTCCTGACAGATACAGTTCAGGGCATGGCCAATGAACTATTTGCATTTTATTCCTGACTAAGGTTTGTGTCCCAAAACTTTACCAGTTTTCCTAAACTGCTGAGTTGAGCCAAACACAAAGAAACCTCAAGGTCCTTTTTTTCTCTTCTCCTCTATGGTCCAGAATAGAGCCAGCCCACACTTTAGTTCTCGTTTCCTGGACTTCACTACTCATCCTCTTCGTCATCCAGAACAAAGGGACGTCTATTCCTTCCACAGGGAAGAGCAAAAAAAAAAAAAAAAAAAAAAAGAAAGAAAGAAAGAAAGAAAAAGAAACAAGACTTTTATCATCTCTCTGGTCTTTTAGTCCTCTGGGGTTAGAGGTGGGGGTGGGGACCAGCCATGGAAGCCCCTGAGAGGTCAGGCCTTCCCTAGGGAGGTGTAGGGTTTCAGGAGAAGTAGAGGCACAGCCAATAAAGATCTTTGAGATCAGCTGCCCACCAGGGGCCTTGAATAGCGTAGCGGCAGCTTTTGCTTCCTTGTCGCCTGCCCTGGCCTCGCCTAGAATGGACAGACTCCCAGTTCACCTGCTCCATTAGTTCACAATTGACATATGCACAGAAAAATAATATTATCTCTCTACATCTGCTTTCCTAATTCCTCTACATCAGAACATAAGGTAATCCTGGGAAAGAAAGCACATAACCAGCTACCATTTGCTCTTGCAATGAACTTTAGAATTCTACTGTGAGGCCAACATCGGAGGCTCTGCCTATCAGTTCATTTGCTCCCTGAAACTGAGGGAGGAAATTGATCATGGAAAATGGAAAACATTTTTCTTTCAAAATGAAAATAGGCCTCCTGGGGCCCTGACTGTCGTCTCTAAATACTGCACACCACTAAAATGAACCAGACTCCTTAAGAAATGGCTGACTCCAAGTCTGGGATATAGGGTGAGCCTGGAATATCTTTTCATACCAGAAAGCAAGTAAACCGTCAAAAGCTAAGAGGGCCAAAAAGAAACAGAAGCCAACTTGAAGAGAATCTCAATGGTTAAAGCTGGAATAATTTAAGAATCAAAAGAATAAGAGAATAGGGCCGGGTACGGTGGCTGACACCTGTAATCCCAGCACTTTGGGAGGCCAAAGCAGGTGCATCACCTGAGGTCAGGAGTTCGAGACCAGCCTGGCCAACATGGCGAAACGCCGTCTCTACTAAAAATAAAAAAAATTAGCTGGGTGTGGTGGCGCATGCCGGTAATCCCAGCTACTGGGGAGGCTGAGGCAGGAGAATCACTTGAACTCAAGAGGTGAAGGTTGCAGTGAGCCAAGATCATGCCATTGTACTTCAGCTTGGGTGACAGAGTGAGGCTCCATCTCTAAATAAATAAATAAATAAATGATAACTGCAATAGACCAAAAGAACAAATATATTTAGATCCTTTAGTTTATAATGATATCAAAGACAAACAAATCTTCCTTCTTTCAGAGATTGCTATGGAACTAACTCATTATTTTGCAAAGTGGCAAGTAAAGAGAAAGAACCTGGCACCTCCTTTGGTACCACACAGCAACCAGCTAGTTAATTAGGCAATTTCCTCCTTATTGATCATTACAGATAACACATGAGGGACTGCTGTAATTAGAATATCATGATTCTGCACTTCTCAGTGAATGAGTGGATCTAAGCAATGATCGCTGATGGCTCCTAACATCACACATAAAGAGACAGTTGAATAGTTTGCACCTTCTGATGGAACGTACACAGTAGTACCTATGAAGTATCTTGCTAAAGACTTAAGCCTGACCAGGCGCAGTGGCTAACACCTGTAATCCCAGCAATTTGGGATGCTTAGGCGGGTGGATCACCTGAGGTCAGGAGTTCGAGACCAGCCTGGCCAACATGGCGAAACCCCATCTCTACTAAAAACACAAAAATTAGCCGGGCATGGTGATGTGTGC
Source organism: Homo sapiens (assembly GCF_000001405.40). Taxonomy (NCBI): domain Eukaryota; kingdom Metazoa; phylum Chordata; class Mammalia; order Primates; family Hominidae; genus Homo; species Homo sapiens. The sequence goes on from NW_018654717.1 coordinate 4,826,317, forward strand.
CTGTAATCCCAGATACTCAGGAGGCTGAGGCAGGAGAATTGCTTGAATCCAGGAGGCGGAGGTTGCAGTGAGCCGAGATCGAGCCACTGTACTCCAGCCTGGGTGACAGAGCGAGACTCTATCTCAAACAAAAAAAAAAAACAAAAAAAAAAACAAAAAAAACTTAAGCCTCACAGGGCATGGAGGCAGACAGGGCCACCAGATCTGAGCGCCAATTCAAAGGAAGTGAGGAAAAGGGAACATGCTAAGTGACCCAGGGACTCGGTCACCAAATCCTGACCAAGGGAGAGGTTCTTTATCCAGTAAATTGCAGGAGAAAAAAAAAAAGGAAGAGGAGGAGCAGGAGGAAGAGGACAAAGAGAAAGAAGGGGAACCTGTAAATTGAAAGGGACTTAGACATTGTGTCAATCAATTATAGTAGATGGTCCATATTAGAATCCTGATTTCAATAAGTTGTTTAAAAAAAGAAGCAGATATTATGAAGCAGTCAGGCAAAATTTTTATTATCCTGAGTAATGGATCATATTAAGGAATTATTGTTAATTTGGGAATAGGTCATAGTATTGGTGTTTCGGTTACTTGTTTTTAAAGAATTCTTATCTATTAGCAATGCATACTGAATAAGACTAAAATGATAAGATATTGAGATTTTCTTCAGAGTAAACTTGGGAGTGGGGAAGATATGGTTGATGTGAGTAAAAATGTTAACAGTTACCCTAATTTTGCATGTTTTAAATTTTCCATACAAAAAAGTTAAGGAGTAAGTAAGCAAAAATAGCTGTAAAGACTTACTTTCCTACTATAGGAATGCTAAACGTTCATTGTAAAACTTCTTCAAATATTTTTGTGTAAAAATTGTAAAAGTGTCCTGAAATCTTAGGGAGATGGACAGTGCAACCTCATATTTTCCTGTTGAAAAAGCACAGAGGCAGTTCCGGTGACAAGTACCTTCTTTTCTAAGCTTGGCTTCCAGATCTCATACAAGTGGGAGAGTGAAAGATGCTTGTAACATGCAATGAAGATGATTCAGTGACCAGTTATTCCAGAATAGGCTTAAAAAGTATACAGTTAACCTTGTTCAAATGCGAGTTTAATCCAGTTGTAGTTTTCTACAATAGGATGTGTTTATTTAGTCAGGAGGGAAGGGTTGACATTTTACTCACTTTGGAGAAAAAAGAGAACACTATTATATTTGCCTATCAACTTGAATAAAATCCAGGACAATGTAGTTACACTATAGTTATAAGTACAGGAACGAGCAGTTGGCATATTAAAAGTCCAACCTCCAAAGTCTCCTGGAATGTTTCGAAAAGTTCAGCACAAGTAAAGTTTCAACCTCGGTAGTCTGTCTGGTTAAGCTCTTAGAATCAGAAAATATTTAACGAGTTACTGAAGAGCCTCAAATTTCTTCCCAACCTGTAATACAAACAAAAGTGAGAACTAGGTCAAAGAAAACAGAGATTTGGAATATTATCAGCTTACGCCACTCTGGGGAAATTAACCTATTTAACTTCATGTTCTTTAAAGGAGTAGAAACAGAGACTTATTTTGATCAGGGGATAGAATGACATTTGAGGGAGAGCTGAGACACTGAGAAGAACATAGAGGAAGTGGAAGCATATTGACTTCTTGTGATATGACCCCCACTCCATTTTAAAATTCAATTGCTTTGCCTGTAAAACGAGCTCCGCTATTCTGTACAGTTTATGCTAATGCAAAATGGAAAACAGATTTTCTTTCTCTTCATTTTTCCTAGTATCCTCTTCATGTCCAGTGGCTTATTACTTTTTTAAAAATCATTAGGAAACACAATCTACTTTACTGAGGATTTTCCAAACATTCTTTCTGCCTACTTTGGGGATGTATATATATATCTATATCTATCTATCTATCTATGTATCTATCTGTCTATCTATCTATCTATCTATCTATCTATCTATCTATCTATCTATCTATCTACCTATCTATCTATTTCATTTTGAACTGGCTAGACACAAGGCTCTATTTCCTTACTTTAGTAAGGGTTATCAGAAAAGTCATCTCAACTTGAAAATAGACGAAAGAAAATAGTGAGTAGATGTTCGGTTTTTCATTTTTTTGTTGTTATTGTTGCTGTAGAATGCACTTCAGGCTTGACTTTCTATTTATTGCCCTATTTTACACCTTTGTAGAGAAAGATCAACTTGTAATTTTGTGTTCAGTAGAGATGCAAATAATTTCTCTCTGGTAAAACAGATAATCCCAAGGGTTACAGTTTAAACATAATTGGACATTAAGCAGCTTTATATCTAACCCAGGAATTTATTAAATTGCTCATGTATATGTAGTCTTCCAGATGCCCTTTGGACCAATTTCAATATCTTACCAGTTTCCTCATTAGTAAATGAGCTGAATGCAATCGTTGGCACGTGTTCCTTTTATAGTCATACATGTGCTATGTTTTTTAACCCTTTAAAAATTATACTTCGATTGGATTTTTGTGTTCCCCAAACAAGAGTTTGGCAAGTGTTTTGCCTTTTTCCTCCCCCTACTCCAATTTTAATAATGATATTTCACCGATGATTTAAAGATATTTAAAGATGTTCTAAAAATATGCCACAAGTTGACTTTTTGTTTCTTACATGTATGTCCCATTCGGTCTAGCATTTATGGGAGAGTAATAATTTCTCAGTGGTCTACTAGTAATTTTACTTTTCACACCTAGTTATGCTATACTATAAATACACATATAGGAGGGTAACAATATTTGCCATTGTTTTCACTGCAATATGGTATAGTGATTGAGAGCATGAGTTCAGAGTCACATCCAGCGATACCATGTACTAGCCATAGAGCCTTGGACTAAAAGTGCTTAATCTCTCAGGGCCGCATGGACCTCATTGATAAAATGGCACCGCTAGTAGGATGGTTACAAATACGGTTATTGCAAGTAATAGGGAGATCATCATGTAAAATGCCTAGAACCATGCTTACCATATAAAAAGCACTCAATCATGTTGGCTGTTATTATTATCACACCCACTGAATGGCATAGTCTCGAAACTAGTGTCTAGTTACTAGAAATTATTTTACTTACAATGGGTCGCGTGGGAGAACTCAGTCACCACCCAGAAAGATGCCTATTGTTACTATCGCCTGGAGAAAGAGCCTCTGTTGGCCAGAAACAGGCCTCCTGTCTGCTTCATGAGTTGGCTTTGAATCATTGCCAGGACTTTTAGGAAAACGGAAAATGGATTTGTAGCATGTATGAAATGAAGTCCTTATCTGAGTTCCCAAGGCTGGTTTGTCAAATGGAAATGAGCTGTTTCATGGCTTTATTCCCCTTGGTTTAGCCTCCGAGAATCTGCTCTGGCGCATTGCTGTTTCCACATGTTAAAACTTGGTGAGGAGTCTCTGCTGGTGTCTGTTTTCTTTGTAACTTGGGATGACATAACTTGTTTTTGTCGGCACCTTGAAGCACTGCATTGTCATTCCATCTTAGCAGTGAAGAACAGTGAGTTTGGCAAAATATTTTGAAAACTAAACTTTGAAAATCATTTTTTTGTCAGGTAAACAGTTGGGTTCTTTTTTTTTGTCTTTTATTATTATTTTTTTTCCTATTTGGTAACCAGATAAACTCGAAGACGACAACACAGAATAAGAAAACCTCTACCTTTTATAAGGATTTGGGGATTCAGGCGTGAGAGTAGAAGGAAGACTTACCAGTCGGGTGCAGTGGCTCACGCCTGTAATCCCAGCACTTTGGGAGGCCAAGGCAGGCAGATCACTTGAGGCCAGGAGTTCGAGACCAGCCTGGCCAACATGGTGAAACCCCATGTCTACTAAAAATACAAAAATCAGCCAGGCATGGTGGGGCGTGCCTGTAGTCCCAGCTACTGGGGAGGCTTAGGCAGGAGAATCGCTTGAGCCCAAAAGGCAGAGGTTGCAGTGAGCCAAGCTTGCTCCACTTCACTCCAGCCTGGGTGACAGAGAGAGACACTGTCTCAAAAAAAAAAAAAGAAAGATTTATCAAAAAAGTTTTGCTCTGAGTCACAGTGTGACCATGGAAGAGAAACGTAACCGTGCTGTATCTAAATGTTGACTCCTCTTTAAATGCAACATTCATCACTTTTACCATCAATTTCTTCTCCCGGATCCCATCACTGTTGTTAAATGGAGGAAAGAGATGGCTTGTCAGAAAATGCCTTGAGCTCCCCTAAGGAACATGTGTGGATTGTAAATACTGGATATTAGGTTGTGAAAACATAAGAATAAGGCCAATTCTTTCTTTCATAGCTGCAGCATGACACTGAGGGAGAAAAAAGTTTACCAGGTGAATTGAGAGCCCTCTATAAAGTGCTATTTATTCCGTGATTACAACATAACTAGCAATGGCGAATGCTCCTGTATGCCCAGAAACACCAAGCCAGAAGAGTTGCACTTATTCTATTGCAGACTTTGGCTTAGTGGCTACGGCATTTACAGACTCTGCTTTCCTAGTCAGTTCGCACAACAGCATCAGCAGCTTTTTTTGTCACAGAATGAGCAACATGCCTCATGTTTAGACTACTAGAAAGACTTTGTAATTTTTTCAACCTATCTTGACTTTAAGGTAGCATCTAAAGGAAACTTGTTTGTAGCACACCTGAAATAATTCAATTCAATACCATTTATTCTGCACCCATATAATAGTAGACACTTAGAATTATGTATGAGTCTTGTGTATAATTTTTGATGCTAAAAGTCTCACCTTGGGAGCTAAACTCACAATTTTATTAATATCCCTGTTGAAATATACAACAACGTCCCATGCAACCATTCCAGTATTACTGCACTTGAGTAAAAAGGAGAGATAGCCTTTACTGAAGTTTGCGTTATGAAGGATATACTTGTATGATTAAGATATGAGGCAATTCTTCTGAATATTGTCTAGAACAAGCTTGTTCAACCCACAGCCCATGGGCCACATGTGCCCCAGGATGGTTTTGAGTGCATTCCAACACAAATTGGTAAACTTTCTTAAGACATTGTGAGTTTTTTTGCAATTTTTTTTTTTTAGCTTATCAGCTATCGTTAGTGTCAGTGTATTTTATGCGTGGCCCAGGACAGTTCCTCTTCTTCCAGTGTGGCCCAGGGAAGCCAAAAGATTGGACACCCCTGGTCTAGAATGAAAGTCGAGGAAATCAGTCCTGGAGTGGTGGATCAACTTTCCGATTGTGAAATCACGCCTCTTATGTTTAAATGTATATTTTGAAATATAAACGACTTTTGTCCTCTCAGCATTTCCTCTTTCCCTTGGCCTGTCTCTGTCCAGCTTGGCCGTTGCACACGCATTGCCTCAAGGAGCTGTGACACAGCCAAGTCCTCCAGAGATACCAAAAGGTGATGAATTTGGATGAATATGCATTGCGGGAGGTCTCAGCCTGGAAAGTTGATAGGAAATCCCTGGGCTCCAAGGAAGAGGAATGCTTGCACAGACGTGATGAAAATTTAGGTACTGGCACTTCTGTACCTCTTGTACTCTGCCCTTGTCAAATTGAGCAGGTAGGGGGTAAGGGGTAGGGATGAAAACTCCAGATAGGTTTGGTGTAGAGACACTGGGAAGTAGAGAAAACCTGTGTCCTTTCCTGGGTAGAAGCCTAGAGAGTTGGCAAGACCAAGAGAATGTGGTGTCCCTAAACAGATGGGGCCAGAGAGTGTTACTCAGCTCCCAGGGTGAAGGTAGGACCTGAAGGACCTGGGGGTGGTGACTCAGTATTGACTTGTCTGTACCTAGGACTGAAGACCTGCTGTGGCATGACCCATTGCCTCCCATGCCTTAGCACTGCACAATTACCATAAACCCACCCAGTTCCAGGAAGTGGAAGGAATCCTGAACTGACTGTGATTATTTTTTCTTCCTGACATCTTAGCAGAATTAAATCATAAAAAAGAGGTCTAGAAAATAAGTGCATTTCTTGAACACTGAGTTTGTAGATTGAGCTTTGTAACCAGCTCATTCCTATTTTCAACCTTTCCTTTTTGTACATTCCCTCCCCTCAATGATGCCTCCTTCTCTCCCTCAGGTATTCAACACCCTTGTATTCTTTCCTGCCCCTATTAAAATTTGATGTCAAAGCCGGGCACAGTAGCTCATCCCTGTAATCCCAGCACATTGGGAGGTCAACGTGGAAGGATCACTTGAATCCAGCAGTTCGAGACCAGCCTGGGCAACATAAAGAGCCCTCATCTCCTTAAAAAATTTTTAAAACTTAGCTGGGTATGGTGGCAGACACCTTTAATCTCAGCTAGTAGGGAAGCTGAAGCAGGAGGATCGTTTAAGCCTGGGAGTTTGAGGCTGCAGTGAGCCCTGATCATGCCACTGCACTCCAGCCTAAGCAACAGAGTGAGACCTGTCTCAGAAAAAAAACAAATAAATAAATAAAAATAAAAAAAAACTGATCAGACAAGGAATTCATAGATCCTGATACCAAGATATAAATAGATGATTAAAAGTATTACCTTATCCAGGCCAGGTGCTGTGGCATATGCCTGTATACCAACCACTTTGGGAGGCCAAGACGGGTGGATTACCTGAGGTCAGGAGTTTGAGACCAGCCCTGCCAACATGGTGAAACCTCATCTCTACAAAAAATACAAAACATTAGCCAGGTATGGTGGCGGGCGCCTGTAATCACAGCTACTCTGGAGGCTGAGGCAGAAGAATCGCTTGAACCTGGGAGGCAGAGGTTGCAGTGAGCCGAGGTCGTACCACTGCACTCCAGCCTGGGCAAAAAGAGCGAAACTCTGTCTCAAAAAATAAAAAGTATTACCTTATCCAGAGATATCTGCACTTTGGGGAGTATTAGAAATTTAGGCCATAAGAGAAAATCCATGATAGCAGAATCCCGTATTTCTATTAAACAGTGGGACAATGGTTTCCTAGGAGGATTTACCTCTTCCCAGGCCCACAGTCACCCTGAAGCTTGCTTCCCACAGAATGGGGAAACTTCACGTTCAATGATTATCAGTAAAACTGCTTCTTAGAGAGCAAGAGTAGTGTTTCTCAACCTTTTGGTTTCCATTTTTGCTCCCCTAACGAGCCTCTTTAGATGTTTCTTTCCTAATTGGCCTCTCCCATGAAATTTTAATACCTCAGAAACATTATTAAGAGCTACTCTTAGTGTACTATATGCATAGCTATGCTTTATATATAAAAAGGGTAAAAGTGGGTTTTTTTGTTGTGGGTTTTTTTTTTTTTGTGCCTTCCCTCCCAAAAACCTATTTTTGTTCCCTTGGGGGACATATTTGCCTCATTGAAAATGCATGTTATGAGTCAGCACAAAACTGGGTCCCCAGAGCCATAAGAAATGAAGAGGGCCTATTGCCCGCTCCCACCCAAGCCCTGTTCCCAGCTTTCTTTCCCTCCTGTTCTGTTGGCCAGGCTAGAGTCCCATGACCCGAACACAGCTCACTGCAGCAACGACCTCCTGGGCTCAAGCAGTTCTCCTGCCTCAGCCTCCTGAGTAGCTGGGACCACAGGCCTGTGCCACCACTCCCAGCCTCATTTTATTTTTTTTTTAAAAGTAGACATGGGGTCTCACTGTGTTGGCCAGCCTGTTCTCAAACTCCTGAGCTCAAGTGATCCCTCTGCTTTGGGCTCCCAAAGTACTGGGATTACAGGCATGAGCTACTGCGCCCTGCCTTTTTCCCATCTTTGAAATAACTCAGGCTACTTGTAAGAAAGATAGAGAACATTCTCAATCTATAGGTTCTCACTGCCTCAGGTGGTCCAATAAATACATTTCTTGGAAGTTTAGGAAGACATGATTTTTATTCTTTGAACTTGTTAGAATTTAGTCCGTGTTCAAGACTTGGCCAGTGGAATTTGAGGTACTTGACTCACATCAAAGTGTTTCTATTAACAGTGAGCCAACCCAAATCCTATTAAAATGGCATCCCGTGGACTCCTTGACCCTCCCAACAATTGCCTTTTGTTAGAGCAGCATGACAGGGTACATTGTGTGATGGGTGTTTATAATGAACTGGCATATCCACAGGCTGTAATTATAAGAAGCATAATGGTATCTCATGTTTATATTGCTTGCTTTCATCTTCGTGAATCCCAAGGCATTTGACACATTATATTATTAATAATAAAATAGACACATACATTAATTAAAGCATCCCTCTTTTTAAATGTATACACTTATACAATAGACTACATAAGTTTATTATTATGTAGAAATGTGCACAATCGAGTTAGCACTTGCAGAAAATGAGCTTCCTCATAGTCAGTGTGATATTGCACTAGAGCAATCTAACTGCTCTGACAGGGTGCACCCTTATCCACTTCCACCTGGTGGCGGGCCAAGCCCAGGAGCAGTGAACTCATAAATTTGCTCTTTCATTCATTCACTCATTCATTCATTCATTCATCCATTCCCTAAACATTTGTCTCAGGTTGGCTTCTACCCTGTAGCAACAACCATCCTAGGTGCTGGCTTTCCTTGGCTAGTATGTGGCAGGAAGTCAGTAAGTCAGGGATGATGTTAATATATAGAAGCTGCAAGCCATGGAAAATGTGAAGTTTCCTTCCTGGCACTCACTTTTGGGTGTGACAGTCACTTTAAAGACACATGCACACATGCCTGAAGCTTAAAGTTCTTGTGCTTCCACTAAATAAATCAAAGCCACAGCATGCCCTCATCCTTGACTACTCCTAAGAATCCTGCAGTCCCCAGACAGACACATGCATCTGCTCAAAGTCACAGCAACCATCCTGGCAGCTGCTTTCCCTCTGAGAATTTTATGTTGCTCCCAACAGAGGAAGGGGTGGCCTAAGTTGCTCAGCAGCCCCTAGTCAAGCTCCAGTCTGGTCTTTCTAGTGATGCGTGCTGGCTTGTTTTGTTCGCACTAGCTGGTCTTATTCAGTCAACGCTAGGCACGTCCATGAGTCCCAGGCAAGTCTTCCGAGGAGAGAGACAGGTAGGATACACCTAGGAGTATGAGCAATGGTGGCTGCCTCTACAACATGATTGGGAGTTGGACGACTTATTGCACCACAGAAGTATCCGCCACCAGCTTACAGATGCCTGATGTTCACTGCAAAGTCCTCTTTTGAATCTTTGAAAGACTAGTTCAGTCTGGAAAGGCCTCAGCCTCTCATCTCCTGATTGCTTTGGAAGGGTCAGAAGGGATCAAAGCAATGGAGGAAGGAGGGAAATTAGGCACAGGCAAATGCCGTCACCAATTTGGTTGGAGGCAAATTCGGCCAATCTGACTGACAACTGGGCATTTCCTCCTGACAGTTGCTGTATAATAGCAGTGCTCAGGTAGATAGTCCCAGCACAGAATATTCAAGGTGCTTGCAGGTACACTAGCTTCACATCATTTCTTCTCCAGCTTCTCTGGCCTGCACAAGAAGCAGGGACAAAGAATACCACTTGCTTTTTCTTTAACAAACATTTTGCCCTGGGAGAAGCATGGGTTTAGTACCATAATGTTACTGACTTTTTCTTTTTTTGAGACACTAAGAATTTCACCTCTCTGAGTCTCAGAAAACTTCTCTAAAATGAGAAGATAATATAGAGGACATTATGTTAAGTGAAATAAGCCAGACACAGAAAGACAAACATGGCATGTTCTCACTCATAGGTGGGAGCTAAAACAAAAAATGGAACTCATGGAGATAGAGAGAAGAGTGATGGTTACCAGAGGCTGGAAATGGTAGCAGGGAGTGGGGATAAAGTGTGGATGGTTCATGGATACAAAAATACAGTTAGACAGAAGAAAAGATCTAGCGCTCAGCAGCCCAATAGGGTGACTATAGTTAACAATAATTTATTGCATGTTGTAAAATAACTAAAAGAGTAAAATTGGAATGTTCCTAACACAAAGAAATAATAAATGCTTGAGGTGATGAATACTTCTATTACCCTAATTTGATCATTATGCATCATATGCTTGTATCTAAATATCACATGTGCCCCAGAAATATTTACAACTATATGCATCCATAATAATTAAAAATATGTGTGTGTATGTATGCATATGTGTGTGTGTGTATGTATAAATATACATATAAACTCTTTCAAAAAAAGACTGGACAAATGAGGGTCTTTCTCACTCTAAAATCTTTGGTTGTGTGGCTTGCTGAATGCTGTTTATCCACACTCTCTCTCACCCACGTCCTGGGGACCCAGAGAGCTGCACCAGCTTCAAGAGCATGTGGCCTATGCAGTTGCACCAGTCTCTGAGGTCAGAAGGTCTCATGTTTGATTTAATGTTCTGCTGCCATTGTCTTGAAATTCTTAGTAATTTTTGAACAAGGACCTCACATTTTCATTTTGCACTGGGCCTTTCCAATCACATAGCCAGTCCTGCCTGAGGGCATGCATCTTGGACATTCCTTCCTCTTGGAAGCCTTTTCCAAGCCCTCAAGGAGAGCTGGCTACCCTTCTGGGCTCTTTAGAAGCCTGATCTATGAGACCGGGCGCGATGGCTCATGATTGTAATCCCAGCACTTTGGGAGGCCAAGGAGGGTAGATCGCTTGAGCTCAGAAGTTTGAGACCATCCTGGCCAACATGGCAAAATCTTGACTCTACTAAAAATACAAAAAATTAACTGGGCATGTTGACACATGCCTGTAATCCCAGCTACTCATGAGGTTGAGGCACAAGAATAGCTTCAATCCAGAAGACGGAGGTTGCAGTGAGCCGAGATCGCAGCCTGGGCGACAGAGTGAGACTCTGTCTCAAAGAAAGAAGAAAAAGAAAAAAGCCTGATCTGTGAGACTCATCACACCATTTGCTAGTACTTCTCTGTTAGACTGTGAGCCCTTTGAGGAAAAGAACTATGACAACATTCTTGTACCTTCTATGGCAGTGAAGTGGTTGGCACTATTGGGCACATAGTAGATGTTCAATAAATATTCCTGGAACGAATTTCAGTGTTTTGAATGTGCACCGTCTTCCTAACAAGTGTTAATATAGCTGTTAAATATATTTATTAACTAATTTAGCAAGTATATATGAAACTTTTATTATGTGCTAGGCCCTGAGTAGGTTATTTAAATAGTATAGAAAACAAAAGGATCCCTAATATGGAAGCTTCACTCAAATGGGGAGATAGAAAATTAATGAGAGATCCAATATATATATTATCAAAATTGTGTTGATTCCTCTAAAAAAAATAGGGCAGAGTAAAAGAAAACAATGTTACAGCACTTATCTCTCTCTACAGAGCTTAAAGCTAAGTAAGACATGAAAAAGTGGGTTCGGATGTTCGGTAGGTTAGGCGTATTAAATGCATTTTGACTTCCCTACAGTGGCTGAATGGCATGTGATTTTCCTGAGAGAATGGGGAGACACTGAAGGATATGACATGGTCAGTTGACAAGTGGAGGGAAAGGATGAGAGATTGACCAGATGGAAGCAGACCAGGGAGAGGTCATTACAGTGATCTGAGGCCTTGGCCTTTAAAGTTGTACTTATGCACCACATGTTAAAGTTTTTGAGCGTGGCCTTCAAAATATAAATATCCATTTATAAATTATATAGGCTAGTGTACAGAGGTCTAATTGACTCACAGTTCCTCAGGACTGGGGAGGCCTCAGGAAACTTACAATCATGGCGGAAGGGGAAGCAAACACATCCTTCTTCACACGGCAGCAGCAAGGAGAAGTGCAGAGCAAAGGTGGGGAAAAGCCCTTAGAAAACCACCAGATCGTCTGAGAACTCATTCACTATCATGAGAATAGCATGGAGGTAACTACCCCTATGGTTCAGTTACCTCCCACTGGGTCCCTCCCACGACACGTGGGGATTACGGGAACTACAATTCAAGATGATATCTGGGTGGGGACACAGCCAAACCATATCACCCATTAACCCACCAACCCATTAACCTATTAATCCATTCATGGATTAACAGGGCAGATCCTTCATGACTCAATCACCTCTAAAAGGCTCCACCTTTCAATGCTGCCATATTAGGGATTAAGTTTCAACATAAGTTCCTCAAGAGGCAACCATTCAAACCATAGCAGTATATATTTCAAACAAATACATGTGTATACATAAACATATATTACATATACTTGAACATATATAATAAATACTATTTTAAAGATGAAACGAAATATGTAAAAATAGAAGTTCTTACCCTGTTTTCCTCTCACCCTGCAGTGGGTTTGCTGAACTAAAAATTCTGATTCTCAGAGTGAGTAGGATTTGGGATACTATTTTTGTGCATTACCGTAATGCACACTCAGGTCTGATAACCATGGGCTTAGACCACATTTTCAGAGCATTTGAATACTAGTAACAACAAATTCTAACACAATTGTTTCCATTGTTTGGGGAAAGTGAATTTTTTGTCTATGGTCGCCATTACAGAAAATAGGAACAGCATCTTACCAAAGCGAAGATAATTTTCACAAATTTTTTTTTCCGTCTTAAAAATTATATTTTTGTATAACTGTTAAAAATTATTGGGCCAGGTGCTCATACCTGTAATTCCAGCACTTTGGGAAGCTAAGGTGAGAGGATCATTTGAGGCCAGGAGTTCGAGACCAGCCTGAGCAACAAAATGAGATCCTGTCTCTAAAATATTAAACAATTAGCTGGGCGTGGTGGCACATACCTGCAGTCCCAGCTGCTCGATGGGCTGAGGCAGGAGGACTGATTGAGCCTAGCAGTTTGGGGTTACAGTGAACCAAGATCACACCACCGCACATCAGCCTGGGCAGCAGAGTGAGACCCTGTTCTCCATCCCCCACAAAATCATTTTGGTGGGGGGACCGTGGGAGAATTTCTCATTGGCCTAGTTAAATTTCTGAAATTACTCACTAATTTTGACTTGACAGTCTACTTGATTTTGGATGAAAGAAGGCGTGTGTTCATCTAACTTAAGTGTTTCAGTGATGAAACTGGTGGTATCGGGGGCTTTTGCCATGATATGTGCCAGCACTGTGCTGTGGCCCATCACTGTGAAGGGTCTAAGCAATGCCAAAGGGGATGCATATGCATAAAGAACCCCATGCCCCTACGCAGATACTGCTGCTGGAGGGGTCCCTAGACAGAAACTCCCAGAGCCGATTGCCTGCCAGAAGTCAGCAAGAACATCGAAGGCTGCTCGCACTGGCTGAGCCACGCTCTCTCTGGACCTGACCTTTTCCTTCCTTTTTGTCAGAGTGGCCTTGTCCTGTTCCCACCCATCTCCTTATGGTCTTACCCCAAGAGCTCAGACACCATGACTCACATTAGCCCCTGAAGCACTCACAGAGGGCAGGAGGTCCAGGTAATGAAACGTTCCTCATGCCTTTTGCTCCTTCTAGGAAAGGGTTTGAGATTCCCTCCCGCACCCTCCCCTAACAAGACAGATGCTCTTTTCCCAACCAAATCCCCATGCTAACAGATGTATATTTGTAAGTCAGTTTCACTAGGGCATCTGTGAAGGCAAATTTCCTTATCCAAATATTCACTGGGACAGAGGGCAGTGGTGGAGGAGTGGAGGGAAAAGAACAATAAAATGTTTCAGGGATTGTAATTATTTGTTAAAAATCATTCTTCCTGATTGTGTTGTATTTCAGCATTTGTCAGGTTCTGGTTTTTATAGATACAGATTTTCCCAGGGACCCACGATAATGTCTCCCTGTTGGATATAGACACACTGGGAACTTTAGGAAGACACAGGTCGACCTCTCAACCACTAGGTTTCATAGGAGGTGTGGGAATACTAAAGTTGTCACTCACTGAGATCGAGAGGAGATTAAGCTACATAGAAACTCAGCAAATAAAGCCCAGGGCATCAAATTATGGGAAGGCTTTAAAACCTAGTCATTAAAATAATAATTCATCTTAAAATAGACATTTCTCTAGATGCAAACTACAGGCCTTTTGTCTCCTTAATGCTCATGTATTTCTACTTTTTTATACTCTGAGAAAAATCAGTTTTAAAAAATGTTTTCCCCAGATTATTTATTCCTTATTTTATTTCTATTTGGTTTTTCTCTTTTTTAAATGAGAAACAATAGTGGACAGAAAGCAAAGTTATTGATAGAAATCAACGATTAGAAATGAAAGCTATTTTTTGTTCTTGGCGTGGCAAATAAAGAGCTAACCTGTGTCCCTACCCAAATCTCATCTTGAATTGTAGCTCCCATAATTCCCATGTGTTGTAGGGGGGACCTGGTGGGAGATCTTTGAATCGGGGGGGTGGTTTCCCCATACTGTTCTTGTGGTGGTGAATAAATCTCACGAGATCTGATGGTTTTATAAGGGGAAACCCCTTTTGCTGGGTTCTCATTCTGTCTTGACTGCTGCCATGTAAGACGTGCCTTTCACCTTCTACCATGATTTTGAGGCCTCCCCAGCCATGTAAAACTGTGAATCCATTAAACCTCTTTTTCTTTATAAATTACCCAGTCTCAGGTATGTCTTTATCAGCAGCGTGAAAACGGACTAATACAGTACTACACTAAACCCTTAATATACACCACTTCCTATGAACCTCACAATGGTGCTCTGATTTAGGTTGTTACTATGTCCATTTTACAGATAAGGAAACTAAGACTTCAAGACTTTCTAGTGCTTAATAGCATGGACTTTGGAGTTTGGGTTTAACTCTGGCAACTTACTAGTTTTAGGAATCTGGACAATGTCCTTTCTCCTTATCTGTAAAATAAGGATAACTGTGGTATGACCCTCGTTGGCTTATTGTGAGGATGAAATGAGCTTTTTCATGTAAGGCACTGAGAAAAGAGTTTGGTATGCCACAGGTTCTCGGTTAATGCTTGTTATTATGATCATTCCTCAGGGTCACACAGCTAGTTGTGACCATTTGCTCTCATCTGTCAGCTGTGCTAAGTTCGAATTGCCATGAGCACTGGAAACCTGCTTGCTCCATACAACTCCACTGCTGTCCAGCACAGTGCCCAGCTCCTGGCAGGGACTCCATAAATATTTACTGAACTAATGAATCACTGTCAGACTCCACATCCCAAGCTTATAACTGCTCTGCCATATCACATCTCAAAATGTTATCTTCTAAGTGAAGAAAGCTGAAACTTAGGTAAAGTTCATTTGCCCAAGATCCTACAGGATCCTGCAAGATCCTGGTTCTTTGCAACTGCTGGAGCAACCTGTTCTTCCTTTCCCTGAATCAAAAGTACACATATTTCAGAGTCTCTTCCTTGCTCTGTTGTCACTGTTCACTTATGAATACAAGAAACCTTGTTTAAACTTCCACTCATACTGCAAGCAGTGTCTTGAAACACATAAGCAACCTTAGTTACAGAATCCAGTTAATTTTGCTTCTTATGGGGGTATAAATCTGGGCAGCTGTAACTTAGGGTAAGAATCTTGTCTTAACATCTTTTTTTTTTTTTTTCGAGACAGAGTCTCATTCTGTCATGCTCAGGCTGGTGTGCAGTGGTGCGATCTCGACTCACTGCAGCCTCCGCCTCCTGGGTTCAAGTGACTCTCCTGTCTGAGCCTCCCGAGTAGCTGGGATTACAGGCTCCCGTCACCATGCCCAGCTAATTTTGTATTTTTAGTAGAGATGGAATTTCACCATGTTGGCCAGGCTGGTCTCAAATTCCTGACCTCAGGTGATCCACCCACCTCCGCCTCCCAAAGTGCTAGGATTACAGGCGTGAGCCACTACGCCTGGCCATCTTAACATCTTTAATGGAAGCTGCTAAGGAGAACATTTTTAGGCGCTACTTCTCAGTGTCTTTTAATTCAAATACATAACACATGCACACACACACACACACACACACACACACACACGTGCTGCCCAGTGGGAATGTGAAGAGGAAACTGTGCAATTAGTATCAATGAGTATTGTAGATAAATGACTACGAAGTCAAATCACATAAATCCAATTTCAATTCTTCGACCATGGACTTGTTCCTTCTAATTTAAAATTCATACTCATTTTAATATATTAATGAGAGTGAATTACATTCACTTACCATTATCTCACTGAGGCCCAGAAATAACATTTGTTACAGTGCAAACTGAATAGTACTTTGTGGGTGTCTGCTGGAAGAGGATGTGAGAAACTACTACAAGGGAATTAACCCTTGCAGTCCCCTGGCCCTGCGCACCACTATAACCCTCTGTCTGAGAATGAATTCCAGCTGGGCAGATGTTGAATTTCAGCTGGGCAGCTGCGTAGATCTCCCTGGCAACCACCAATTACCAAGTTATACCTTGTTTCCAGCCACAATACCTTGACTGTATTAGTATTTAGAGTTTCAGCACTTCTGAAAAAATGCCACTGTCACTACCCCTTGCCAGTGTCCCTGTGAAGTTTGCATTTGTGCACAATATTAGATTGGTACAAAAGTAATTGTGGTTTTGCCATTACTTTTGCACCAACCTAATATATATTTGTGTGTGTATGTGTGTATGTTTCAGAAATTCACTAACTCCAGGAAAGTAAATTTGAGTAATGTGAACAACAAGGCTGTATTTCCAGTCTGGGAAGGTTCTCCTTTAGATGCCATCATGTAGAAATAGTTATCTAGGTTTGGCATTTTAACCTGAAATGAAGTATTTCTCGTTTGCTTTGCTAAGTCGGAATGTACAATGCATTTTCACTTGTTGTTTATTTATCCATTTATTCATTGCTACTATGCAACAAATAATTTTCTAAAGAATATACTTTTCTCTAAATGAGCTAATAAACATAAGAATACTGTATTTACAAACTGACCACTATTAGAGCAAATGCTAAAGTGATACACACATCCAGGCACAGTTTGTTACCTTTAGCACTGATCCCTAACCAGATAAAAATCATAATTTAATCCAATCCTGGCCTCACTCAGGCCCAAGGAAAAACTAGCTTGCTAATTATCTTTGTCTTCTCTTCAGCTTAAAAATATTTCTAGGGAATATTCTAGAATTTAGTGTTGTGGTTTGTTTTCAGCAGCCTCAGCAACTCTGGGGAACTTGTTAGAAATGCAGTATCTCAGGCCACTTCGGAGCCACTGAATCAAGGCTGGACATTTTCATATGATCCCTGGGGGATTCATGCACATATTAAAATTTGAGAAACACTACCGTAGACAATAGCTAGTCCTGTTTTAACAGAAAAGCCACTCTCTAAATTTTGCAAGGAAGGCCACATTGGTCCTTCTAACTTCCTCTCTATTCCCTGGTAAACCTCAACTCTCCTAGAGTCAATCTCTCTGTTCTGACATAGTAGCTGCCTCAATAGCTTAGAGGTCTTTTCACCAAGACTGCTTCTCTCTGAGTGTCAACACACACCTGCTAACTCTAGATTCATCACACCCAGCAAAGAGTGCGATGGAATGTGGCTTACCTCCATGCTCAGCTCATGATGGTAGCACTACTGTTAACAATGGAACAAAGCCATTGTTATAGAGGCCCACATACTGCCTGCTCTTTTGTCCATTTGATATAAATTCCAAGAGGTTCATTGATTCCTTGCCTCTCTCCTGCTTGGTTTGGAGCTCCTGAGCATGTCCATTCAGACTTAATTCCGTGTCTGCCTTGCTGAATTGCTGCAGGATGAATGTCTAGGTCTTGGCCCATTTACAAATCTAATCAGTAGAAAAGCTGCGGGTGGCAAAGTGGTCAGGCTGACCTGACTGTGCAGCAGATTCCTTCCGGAAATTTGCTAATCTATGATCTTGAATCCTATCCAGGCAGCCCCCAGCCAGCTTCCTCCTCCAAGCTTTTACCCCTTCCACCCAAGACTGTTAGACTCAGTACTGATAGTCTCTTGTGTTGAAAAATAAAAAAGACTAAGAAAAGACATATTATAGATATAGAGTGATATATATTATCCAGCAAATGCCCATCTTCCTTTCCCTAGCCAAATGAGATTATTTTTTCTTCTCCTATCGGGTATTTTGCACCACTGTATTTGCAGATTAATTCTCCGCTTGTAAATGAATGCTTTTCTTCCTAATAACCCTATTAGGCTTCTAAAAATCATTCAAAGGTTTAAAAGGACTATACTTTTTTCCTCCTAAATCTATCTATCTATCTATCTATCTATCTATCTATCTATCTATCTATCTATCTATATCTGTCTATCTATATTATCTATTTCTCTGTGTGTGTGTATATATATATATATTTTTTTTTTTGAGACAGTATCACTCTGTTGTCCAGGCTGGAGTCCAGTGGTGCAATCCCAGCTCACCATAACCTCCACCTCCCAGGTTCAAGTGATGCTCATGCCTCAGCCTTCTGAGTAGCTAGGATTACAGGCGTGTGCTACCACCCGCAGCTAATGTTTTGTATTTTTAGTAGAGACACGGTTTCATTATGTTGGCAAGACTGGTCTTGAACTCCTGGACTCAAATGATCCACCCACCTTGGCCTCCCAAAGTGCTAGGATTACAGGCATGAACCACCTCTCCCAGCCCCTAAATATTTTAAAGTGCTTATACAGATACAAAATTATTTCATCAATCTATCTAATGGGATCCTTCATGTGTTGTGGGATGTAGCAGCAATAGTGAACTAATCACATTTATGGTGAATCTATTGGGTAGATCTCCACAATGTGTCTTGCAGATGACACATTCAATGGTTATCTGAACATGGCTATGTACTTAGCTGGTATAAACTAGCATGGCAACCAGTCCTTGACCTGTGCAACCCATGTAGTTTTGCAGCCTTGGAGCTGATGCTCTTCCTCCATGAAGGCTAAACTAATGAGTAGTGAACAGCAAGGTCATCTTGGGCCTGGTTAGCTGTTTTTATGCAAGTATAAATTAAAAATTCTACAGCACATTTTTCAGATCGTGTCACTCACAAAAAATGGCGACATTCGTACGGTGCACTGAGGTCACCTGGAGATAATTCATATCCCCTAACAAGCCTGCTGTCATGAAGATGACCACTCATGGGCCTCTGGCCACCCAGCCCCAGCTTGGTCATGTGGCAATGGGGTGTCAGTATCTCAGAGCACACTGTTTGGGAGTGTTTGTTCTCCTCAGAACAAATGCCACCGAGTGCCACCTGAGGGCAATTTTTCACACTCTGCCACTGAAATGGGAGGGTTCCCTTATTCCCCTTGCAGGACGTGTGACAGGGGTGTGGTTCACCCTGTGAGTTGCCCCTCTGCCCTGCTGCTCAAACCCCTAGGGGGAGCATGCAGACATGCAGTGCAGAGGCTTTTGGGGGTGGGTGCTGTTGAGCTCCAGGCCCATGGCAGCATCTAGGAGTGGGTGTCTACGACTCCCGAGGCCGCAGTGCACATGTGTTATAGTGTATTCTTTCAGCTTTGCCGTCTGCCGACAGCTTGTGTTAATCAGCTAAATGGAACCTCTGCCTTATCGCAAGGGCAGGGGCCAGTGTGACAGTGTGAGTTCTTGCCCAGTGTACTGGAAGAACTGGATCCCATGTGGGCTGGAAGGATGAGTACAAGGTTTTATTGAGCGGTGGAGGTAGGTCTCAGCAAGATGGATGGGGAGCCGGAAGTGGGGATGGCTTGGGAAGGTGGTCTTCCCCTGGATTTGGCCACCCAGCAGCCAGACTCTTCTCTGACTGCCCCCAGTTGAACTCCCCTCAGCATCCAGAGATCCTTCTTCTTCTCTCTTTCTCTGCCATGCAGCCCCACCGCTCTCTGCTGCTCTGTTCCTCTGCTCCTCTCGACGTTCAGCTGCCTGTGTCTGTGCCTGCTAAGGTCTCGAACTTAAAAAGACACAGGGTGGGGGGCGTGGTGAGCCAAAACAGAAATGCCCGTCCTCACATAGGGCCACGGGTCTTCAGGCTTGAGGGTGGGACCTTTGCCAGGGAACTGCCCTCTTCTACCCAGTATTTCCCTGTCTCCTGTGTGTATCACCACTACTTACCATACCCAGTGCTTTTTCTCAATGCCACCTTCCTATATCGTGCAATTCCTCTGCCTGTCTTCTTCCTTCTTCCTCTCTCCTTGACCACCACTTATGTCTGGTATGGGAGCTGTTAGGGTAATGAAGTTGTTCCTACCTTTAAAGGCTGGATCACACATGCAGATGACAGTGAGGCACGTGCTTGGAGGGCGGACGGTGACAATGCTTATTGCTGCGGGCCAGGAGAAGGATATGTTCTTTTTGTTTTTGAGACGGAGTCTCGCTCTGTCGCCCAGGATGGAGTGCAGTGGCGAGATCTCGGCTCACTGCAAGCTCCGCCTCCCGGGTTCACGCCATTCTCCTGCCTCAGCCTCCTGAGTAGCTGGGAGTACAGGCGCTCACCACCACGCTCGGCTAATTTTTTGTATTTTTAGTAGAGACGGGGTTTCACCGTGTTAGCCAGGATGGTCTCGATCTCCTGACCTCGTGATCCGCCCGCCTCGGCCTCCCAAAGTGCTGGGATTACAGGCGTGAGCCAAAGCGCCCGGCCAAGACATGTTCTTAAGAGGAAGCCCTGCAGAAATAACCTCCTCTGAGGTTATGCACAAGTCAGAGACCATTGCAGTCATCACTCGTCTCACATTTTTTTGGAAATGAGGTTTCTCAGTCCCATCATGCCAGGTCAGTGGATACTTCCAGGACAAACATTTTATGAAACTGAGAGCGATCTTGGAATTTCCTCCATTGCATGTTAGAAGTACATACTATCTTGTTGCGTAGTCTGAAAAGTCTGCCACCCACCTACAGAAGCAAAAATTCTAAAAGAAGGTCCTTATCTTTTTTTAGCCTCAAAGAAATAGATTTCCAATATTCTCAAAATGCTGGAGTATTCCTGCTACATTTGTATATATTTCACAATAAAATAGCACTTGGCATTTCTCAAATTTGAAAATTATATTCACTTATTTCAAAGAAAATACAATTCTCAAGAATCCCAGAAAATAAATGCTGACTTTAGAAACTAGTCTGTTTCACAAAAACATCTCTTAGTTGCAAATTGCCATTGCACTAAGAATGTAATATTTTTACTTTATATTAGGAAAAATTTCAAATATATACAAAAGTATACAGACACAAGTGATATAAGCAGGCGATACGCATACCGTCACCCCGTTTCAACAATGACCGTTCATGGCTAATCTTGCTTTTCCCTTTACATGTACTTTGATTGAATTACTATAAGGCAAATCCTAGACATCGTTATCATTTTGTTTGTAAACATTTCAACATGAATCTCTAAAAGACAAAGACTATTTTTTCACAAGATAAATCACAATTCCATTATCTCATTTAATTTTTCACTGTAATTAAATATCTAGTCTGTTACATTTTCCCAGAATATCTCATAAATGTTTTCGTTACAATTGATTTGTTCAAATCAGAATTCAACTTTTTATCTTATAACAAGTAAATAAGCAAATGTTTACTATTATCGTCAGAATAAAAACACCATCTTTTTTTTAAAAAAATTGGGGGATTATTTCCTAAACTCTAGGCCCACAAAATCAGTGGATCAAAGTTTGTGAAACATTTGTGCAAAAGTTAAGTGTGGGCTTGGGAATGAAATCAGTTCTGGGTTTGAATCTTGAGTCCTGACTGCTGTGTAATCCCAGCCTGTCTTGGAGTTTCTGAGGAATTCTGACTGAAATGATTACTGACTGCAGCTTCAGGTGACAACCATCTTACTGATGGTCAGTGCGTGCCAGCTAGGTGACTTTGAGCATCTCACAAATGAACAACTTCTTTCATAAATAAAGTTACGACCATCTTGTACTCTCATGCAGGGTCACCAGATAAAACACAAGAGGCTCAGTTACATATGAATTTTAGAAAAACAACAGATTTTCATAAGTATATCCCGAGCAAAAATCCCAATGTCACTGAGCCTCCAGTGTTTTTATTTGCTAAATCTGGCAGTGCTGCCTTCATGGTTATTTTGTGGCTTTCATGGGGTGACACATGTAAAGTGCTTAACACAAAGCCTGACACATCGTCACTGCATGATCGACATCAGCTGTTCCGCAGAGTCCACCCTTCGGGAGAAATGGGAGGGAGGGGCCCCTCCTTGGGCTCCCATCTGCTCTCTGCTTTGTTTGAGGACTGCTCCCCAGGTGGGAGACAGCCATCTTCTCCTAGCTAGAAGTTTGAGTTACAGCCAGTAATTACCTCCTGCAGGATTCCAAGTCTAGCTAAAGCATTGTAGTTTGCTTCAGCAGCCTGCCATGTTTCTGATAACAAAGATATTTCTGACTTCTACTTAAAAATTGAGAGCTCTGGCAGCTCTGGGGCTACACTCCCACCTGGCACCCATCAGGGGAGCTGTGTAGCAGCTGCTCCCTTTAGTTGGGCATGTGCTTGCCAGTTTGCCATCTGGTCCATTCACCTACTCAGATCACTTGCCTGGACCCTGTGGGTATTTGAGTTTGCTACCGCCGTGCCTCATCCCCAGCCCTCTCCCTCTGCTGCATCTTTGGCTCCAGAAAATGCTGAGCATTTTCTGTATAGAGAGGAGAGGCTGGGGGTTGGAGAGCGGGGTTTGCTAGGAGAAAAGGAGAAAAAAAATGATCCAAAGACAACATCTTTAATGGCCCAATTCAAGCAACTGTGAATTGCATTGCCCATGACGCAGAAAAAAAAAAAAAAAAAAAAAAAAAGAGAGAGGGGTTTAGTACGAATAAGAATGGAAACAGACAAACCAAAAAAGGGAAGGGCAGTGTGGTTATGAGTCTGGCTGGGGTTTAAGGGGCTCAGGAAGAAAATAGAGAAGCAGATGAAAAAAGACAAGTAACCAAAAACTGCAAGGAATGAGGAGGTTAGCTAATAGGAAGAAAAGAGAGAGAAGAAATGACAGGTTCATACTAACTATTAGAAACAAACATTTTCCTCAGTGGAGTAGAGTCTCTGCAAATAGAATCCCGGCCTGTCTTGGAGTTTCTGAGGAATTCTGATTGAAATGATCACCAACTGCAGCTTCAGGTGGCATCCATCTTACTGATGGTCAGTTTGTGCTAGAATCCAGTTTGGGATCTGAAGGGTAGCGAATGGGATTTAAGGCCTTTGCACCTCATGTGTCTTTCCCACTGGTGTGCCCAAAAGCTGTTGACAGAGTGACTTTGAGACATGGTGTTGCAATGACTGCTTCAAATGGACCTTTATGTGGTTCCCAGCCTTTCTTCTTACTCACTGAAAGCAGCTTCTGAAAGATCCTGTTTCTCCCAAATGGGCATGCAATTATTGGAAAGAAAATCTGCAGAAGGGAATTCTGTCATGTAAGAGCTGCTTTGAGAAAGAGGAAATAAGGGTCTTTGCCTTCTGGGGGAGAATAAGCAACTTCATAGGGAGGAGATATACCATGTTCAGCAAGAGCCCTCCTGAAGCACATGATTCTCTGGGCTTCAGTCACCTAGGCAAAGGACCATCCCTCTCTAGTGGGGAGGTAGCTTCCTCATCCATAGGCAGCTGGTTTCATCAAGACGAGAAGCACAGAGGTTAAAAACAATGTGGGGGAATGATGGAACTTATTGTACAGGAACTCAGACTATCTCTGTTTATGCAATTGGCATTACATGCCTTTCTGTAAATAACAATGCAATTGTCATTACATGCCTTTCTGTAAATGTGACAGATTTTTCCACCTGGATCTTGCACATTTCTTATTAGGATATTCCTAAGCATCTTCTTTTTTGTTTCTGATGAGAATGGAAGTCCTTTGAAATTGAAATTCTCACTTGGTTATTTCCAGTGAATATCCTGCTATCTACATTTGTATGTAAATTTTGAATCTATATATCTTGCTGAACTTTTTTATTAGCTGCAGGAGTCAACTTGTGAATATTTTATTTAGGATGTTTGTACCTTTTTCATACGTGTGATTTGCATGTCATTTTCTCACGCTCTCCTTGTCTAGTTTTGCCATCAGGGTTATGCCAAACTCATTAAATGAATTAGAAGGAATCTCTTACTTTAGCTCTGGGATAATTTACACAGTATTGGAGGTATCTCTTCTTAAGAGATTGGTAGAATGTACTTGTCCAAATTTCAAACCGAGTGGCATTTATTAGGAATATATCTTTGATCACTGTCTTTCAGGTTTCCTGTGGGGTGTGTGTGTTTGTGTGTGTGTGGGGGCAGGGGAGTGTTTCATGTCAGATCTTCTTAAGCCAAATTTTGATTAATTTTTTCTCTACACAGAAAATCATCTTTCTCATTTATATTTTCTATATTTAAGGCAAAGTCACAAAAAGTATTCTTCATTGTTTTAAAAATCTGTATCTTGAGTCCTGCTCTTTGTTAATTCTAATTTTTCTTATGTATGTGATTTCATCTTGTTCTTGATGACTTGCCAAAGATTTGCCAATTTTATTCAGCTTTTGTAAAGTACCAAGCATTTGTTTTGTTCATCCATCCTACTAATTTTTTTAAATAACATTTTGCTTAATTAGTTGATTTTTTTCTTACTCCTTAGGTTTGACTTTGTTATCTTCTTAACTCTTTTAGTGCCAGCTTAGTTTACTTATTTTCAATTGTTCCTATTGAATTAGACTTCTTTTACTTACCCACTTCTACTTAGTATTTATGTTTTAGGTGGAGCAGACCCGCTCCTCATTCAAAATGGTCACATTGAAGTTAGTGGACTCTTGCTTCTTAGCAAAGATGCTCATTTTCTCTTAGGGTTGGTGAACTGAGGGTGGATAGGCCACGCACTGCAGCTGATTACTATTTTGCCACTACAGAAAGAACCTGCCTAAGAACAAAGGCAGCACAGAGGAAATAGGAATTGATGGTGTTTTTTGAGCACCTGGATCTAACCATGTTCGAACTCTACTCTGGACTCTAATTATGTAAGCCAAGTTTTTCCATTTGCTTAAGCCGGTTTGAGTTGGGTTTTAGACTCTTGTAACTAAGGAATCCTGCCTTGTCTTTGAATAAGGGCTTTTAGGCTTATCTATTTTTTTTTTTTTAGCATATTGACTATATGCTGCGGGTTTTGATATGTTGTACTTACTGTATAACATTTCTAAACATGTAGCTAATAATTCTTATTTTAAATTTCCCTTTAACTTGAAAGGATTTAGAGTTTTAAAATTCTAGTTTGATAATTTTTAATATATTTTTTGTTTCTGTCTATCTCTATAATATTAATTTTATTGCATTATTAGTGAATGTGGCTTAATTTTTGCTTGATTGGGAATTTCAGAATTTGTTGAGATTTTCTTCCCATTAATACATGAGCAGCTTTAGGAATGTTTTATGTAGGTTTAACAAATATCCCAGCACTGTTCGGAGGCCGAGGCAGGAGGATCACTTGAGGCCAGAAGTTCAAGACCAGTCTGGGCAACATTGTGAAAAAAAAAAAAAAATTAGCCAGGTGTGTCCCAGCTACTTGGAGGGCTGAGGTGGGAGGATCGCTTGAGCCTGGGAGGTAAAGGCTGCAGTGATTCATGATTGCACCACTGCACTCTAACCTGGGTGACAGAGTGAGACCCTGTCTCAAAAAAAGATCATATATTTCTTATGTCTGCACAGATATAATTTTGGTTTTTGTATAAGTATTGTTTTGTAAACAGTAATATATACATATAGATTAAGGTTATTAATTGTATCATTCAGATGCTGTGTATCTGTCTATCCATTTTTGTGGGAAACACTTTAAAATCTTTCTTTAAGATTGTGAATTTGTTTATTATTCTTTGTGTTTGTGCCAGTTCTTGCTTTATGTAGCTCAGGCAATTTGTTGGTTATATTAGAGTTCATGTTATAATTTCCTAGTTAATCGTAACTCTTCACAATATGAAATACAATCTCTTTGTTTCTTTCATTGCCTTTTCTTTTGCCTTGCATTCTATTTTGTCTGGTATTGTATTGTCACACTTGAGGTTTTTTGTTAGCATCTGTTTTGCAAAACTTTTTCAACCTTTCTGTATCATAATTGCATCTCTGGCAAGTAACATATAGTTGCATTATCTTATTGTTTTTGTTTTGTATCCAGTGTGAGAATATTTAGCAGGTGAACGTAATTCACTTATTTTATTGTAATTGCTGGTATGTTTACTTTCTGAAAGTAGAAGTAAAATTGAACCAATTAGTGCTATAGTTCCACACAAGGAAATATTCTTCTAAAATTATTTCCCTAAAGTTATGTTCTTAAGATTTTCTTCCCTTTCTTCTTTCTATCCTTTTCCTTAAGGTAGATGTTACCATATTTGGATATGTTCTCTAAGACCTTCCTTTCCCATTTTCCATCTTTCTGTCGTTTGGAACTATCTTCTTAGAGAACTTTTTAGCTCCATTCTCCAGCACACCGCTTTTAAGATTTATCTATTTGCTATTGATCCATCTATTGAAATTGTTATTTCAATAATTATGATTTTTATCTTCAAGTCCCCTATTAGTCATACAACCTGATTTTGCTTCGGGAATGTGTGATATCCTATTCCTTCTGAAGATATTATTCATAATGACATCTCTTTTCATCCTCCCATCTCTTTCCTCTATTGGCTCTGTTTTCTTTTATTTCAGTTCTCCTGTTTATAAGTTATAGTGTCTCTCTTAAGTTGTTTATTTACCTAAAATGTTACGTAATTTTGGTTGTGGTTCACATTTGCATTTGAGATTCTCTCCTGCCTGTTTGTAAATGCTACATCTTGTCAACCTCACTTGTCCCAGTGATGTAAGGAAGGGGGAGGGTGTGCTGTCAGGGTGTGTTGTAATCAATAACTGGTATCCTGGGTCTAGGTCTCCCATGCTCCCCCTGGCTGTGAGCTGCTTCTGGGTCCGAAGTGCTCACAGCCACTCCTGAATGTAACTGAAGGGAAACATTCCCGCCTGCCATTTTGTGACATCCCAACCTTTCATGCTGTTGTGCTTTGTGCCACGTGGAAGCTAAAAACACCCTTAGCTTCCAAGGGTGTTCCTGGAACTACACCCACCATAGACAGCAGGCTTCTTCTCTCTTTGGGCTTCATTTATTTTATTTTATGAATATCCAATTTTTAAATGTGCTGGATCAAAATAGTTTGCAGCCCCCTGACACATCGCAGGATCACATAATAGAATTGACTCCTTTCATAACCTTAGTTTCAGAAGGTCTCACATTTGTATTACATAATTTAAAATATTTACACTTTGAATTTGCTTCAGACTGTCCCTTTAAAAAACAAGGAAACATTTTCCAATTTAAAGTGAGATGTTTCTTGGAATTATGTTGCACATTTCACTGTGTTCCAGAGGGTTTATAATTAATAGTCAAAGCAGCACCTGCTCTAAATCTTAATTGCTTTCTTCCCCACGAAAACTGATTCTGCAAGTGTTGGTGAATTGATTTGTGCTACATAAGAATGGCTGCAATCTCGGCTTTGGCATACGCAGTTTAGAAAACTGAACCCAGTATTGAAATTTTTCCCAAGGAAAAAATTAATTATATTTGTTTCAGATATTCAAGTCAAGTACCTGCGAATGGCTGTGATGGCAACAGTACCATTATTACCATTTTGGGTCACCCATGACTCAGGGGGTGAGGTCTATGTTCAGACATCTGAAGAGATCCAGAAAGTGTTATAATTTATCTGATAACAATAGAAACGTTCTAGAATTCAGTAACTTTGTTTAGCATAAACTGTCTGCAATAGATTGAATGTTTGTGTCTCTCCCAAATTTATATGTTGGAATCCTAAACCTCAATGTGATGGCATTGGAACTTGGGGCCTTTGGGAGGTAATTAGGTCATTACCTTATAATGACCTGGTGTAAGGGACCACAGAGAGCTCTCTCACACTCTGTTATACCTTATGAGGGTTCGAGGAGAAGTGGGTGATCTGTAACCCAGAAGAGAGCTCTCACCAGAACCTGACCTTGCTGGCACCCTGGTCGTGGACTTCCAGCCTCCAGAACTGTAAGAAATCAGTTTCGGCTGGGCACAGTGGCTCATACCTGTAATCCCTGCATTTTGTGAGGCTGAACTGGGAGGATTGCTTGAGGCCAAGAGTTCAAGACCAGCCTGGGCAATATGGTGAAACCCCATGTCTACAAAAAAATACAAAAATTATCCAGGTGTGGTGTTGCACACCTGTAGTCTCACTACTTAGGAGGCTGAGATGGGAGAATTGCTTGAGCCTGGAAGGTGGAGGTTGCAATGAGCCAAGATCATGTAGTTGCCCTCCAGCCTGGGTGACAGAGTGAGACTCTGTCTAAAAAAAAAAAAAGAAAAAGAAAGAAAAAAAGAAAAAAAAGAAAGAAAATTTCTGTTGTGTATTGTGTATAAGCTACCTAGTCTATGGTACTCTATTATAGCCATCCAATCTGATGAAGACCCTGCCCTAATTCCCTTTGTATTCAGCCTCCTCATCACTTTCATTTCAGTGCATCCCTCTGTGTAATGGGGTCCTGGGATCCAAGTCCACCTGTGCCAGTCACGGATGTGCCTGTGAGTCCATCACTCACCTTCCTTGAACCTCGTCTTGCTCATCCTACAGAAGGGTTCAGAGTCAGGCTTGGCAAATGCACAGCCTGCAGCTGTAGTAGAGTTGGCATCAGCTTTAAGACTCTGTGAATAAGATTTAATTCAGAAAATATTTACGGAAATACCGCTTTTGTAAATTAAACTGCATTAAAAAGAATATCTTCCATTACTTTTTCTTTTTTAAAAAGTCACATGTATTTGTTTCAGAAGAGAAAAAGAGACAGAGAGAGAGAAGCGAACGAAGTAAATTTCCTGCACTGCTTTAGTTATAGCCTTCAATACTTAATCAGCTGCATTTTAAATGTCCTAGGGGGATGCGGACCTTAAAAGAAGCAGAAAATGAATTCTTTTGTAATATGAATGCTTGATTTGTTAGCTCAATTTTTCATGTAGTAAATTTACTCTTAAAAGTATTCAGTGGTATTTCTTGTAATAGACTCATCCTTTCGTTCAGAAAACCCTTCAAGGGTCCTTCTGCTGGAAGACCATTTCTTGTCCCTACTTCTTTCTGTGTCACCTCTTGAGTCAAGACTACTCTTTTCTGTGTATAATTGCAGGTGTTTTTGTTTCAATTTCACAGTGTGGGGCAAAAGGCCCACTTGTCTTTTGATTGGCTCACCATCCGTGCATTTAAGGGCCCTAAGTTGCAGAAACTCTGGTGACTCAGTGCAGACAATGAGATACCAGTCAAATACCTAAGTGAGCTTTATTGGTGTTGCATTATAAATCTATTCTCTAAAGGAAGCATTTTTAAAACATGATTTACTTTGGGGGTGAATTTATTGCTTTTTTCCCAGTCCCTTGGGTGGAGAGGTAGGTGAGGGGCCAGGACAGCGAACTGATAATTGCTCCAGAGGGGCTGAGGGAGAGAGCTGCCAGCCTCACTCTGACCATGTATTTCATTAAATGCTTAAGTGGAGTAATCAGATTCAAGCGCAGACCAAAGAGGCGCTGGAAGACTTGAAAGGCATAGGTCATGTCACATCTCAGGTCTTATTGTAGCTGTTGTTCTGACATCCCCTATCTGAATGTAGAACAAGGAGGCCCATTATTAGTCTGCCCTGAAGGAACGATCATCATAAAAGGAAGCCAGGCTGATTAATTCAGTCATGGTCTTTTGGATTCCCAGTTCAGCTTCTCATGTTAATGAAACATGCGTAGTCGTTACAGTAGCTGTTGAAATTACCTGTCATATTTACGGTTTACCACAGCCTTTTCTTCTGAGGTTTCTAACAAAATGACAGGGATTTCCCAGTAGTCTCGTTCTTTATTTCTCTGGGTTTATTTGAGATGACAGTAGATGCAAGATGTGAGTTTTAAAAATGTCTATTTTTCCAAAAGAAGATTTATTTGATTCTCCAAAAACGTCTTCTTTTGTATAAAAAGATAGCTATTCACAGTATTGTCTTATTATCATAAGTATAGCATGTCAAAGCACGTTGATTAAAGCAACCAAGTGCACAGTGCTCAAACACAAGTCACCCTCGCAAGGTTTTCAATAGATTGGCAGTATAAATGTAGGCATATATATCTCAAATATATGTACATTTTATATGATGATTTTAGGTCTCGACATAAATTTTGGAGGCTGTTTTATTTGCTTGGTGCATATTTACAAAACATATCCTGAAGAAAATATGAGATCGGTATTTATAATTTCTAATGTACTTTAGACATCAGCTTTATAGCATTAATTATTAATATACTATTGGAAATAATTATAAAATGCTGGAAGCTCTCTAGTCATTTGAATTTATCTACAGTGAGTTTTTAAGGGTTTAATCAGTCATTACTATTATTATTTATTTTTTTTTGAGACAGAGTCTCGCTTTATTGCCCAGGCTGGAGTGCAGTGGCATGATCTCGGCTCACTGCAACCTCTGCCTCCTGGGTTCAAGAGATTCTCATGCTTCAGCCTCCCAAGTAGCCGGGACTACAGGCACACACCACCATGCATGGCTAATTTTTTGTATTTTTTGGTAGAGATGAGGTTTCACCATGTTGGCCGGGCTGTTCTCGAACTCCTGACCTCAAGTGATCTGCCCACCTTGGCCTCCCAAAGTGCTGAGGTTACAGATGTGAGCCACCACTCCCAGCCATCAATTATGTATTAAGGGATTTCTCTGCATTGTGTGAGTGAAATAAGACACTATTTCTAGGTTGTAGGGAAATGATGCTTCAGTAGAGGGACAGCATCTTTTGCAGAAAGGGGGCAATGAACTGCTACAGATACGGATGATGGGTAGATATTCAGGCCAAATACAACTGGGCCACTAGGTGAAGGATCATTAGTCCATATGGAGGTAAAAGAGAGAGCTCAATTCTCATGCAACGACCCTGGGTGAATCTTCAATTTGGTCTCACACGGTGACATTCTGACCCACAACGTAAGAACAGCACATAAATGCAACCTACTTAATGTTGACTCCAGGAGTGGGACGAGTGCAGTCAGTGGGTTCCGGCTACTTCCCTAACTTTCCCCACATAGTTGCATCTCTTCCTAAAAACTGCCCAGCTGTGACCAACTCCTGGTCACTTATTTTATACCAAGAGGAACACAGAGAGTTCTCCAGGCTCCTCACAGAGACAGGGTTTGGCCAGGCATGGCGGCTCACGCCTGTGATCCCAGCTATTCGGGAGGCTGAGATGGGAGAATCACTTGAACCCGGGAGGCGGAGCTTGCAGTGAGCTGAGATCGCACCACTGCACTCCAGCCTGGGCAACAGAGCAAGAGTC
Organism: Homo sapiens; assembly: GCF_000001405.40. Taxonomy (NCBI): domain Eukaryota; kingdom Metazoa; phylum Chordata; class Mammalia; order Primates; family Hominidae; genus Homo; species Homo sapiens. Next base: position 4,857,358 of record NW_018654717.1, read on the forward strand.
CGTCCCCCCCGCCAAAAAAAAAAAAAGGAAAGAGAAAGAAAAAAAACTCAGAGATAGGCTCTACTTAATTATTGTTCTCGTATTTGAATTAAAGGACTTACCTGTTTCTGGTTAGAAATTGATGGACATTTTCCTTCCTTGGGTGGGTTAAAAAAATAGCAGCCATGATTTGTATTAGCCTCTTTGGTTTTCTCTGCTACTTGTGTTTTTCTCAGCAGTTTGTCATTTAATGTGTTAAAGTCATGGTTCTCAATCGGAAGTGATTTTGTCCCCCAGAGGACACTTGGCAATGTCGGGAGACATTTTTGTTGTCACAGCCAGGAGGCAGAGTGGTGCGAAGATGTGGAAGAGGCCAGGGATAGTTAATAAGCACCCTACAATACACAGTAGAGCTCCCCCAACAGTTTTCCAATCCAAATTATCAATGGTGCCAAGGTAGAGAAACCCTGTGTTAGAGAATAACATGATCTTTTCAAAGCATGAGGCTGGGGGAGATGTGAAGATGATGGTCTGAGTGGAAGGGGATAATATTTTTCTAGAGGTCGGTCTCTTGGTTGTGAAAACTTAAAGGCACATCTGCCTCCAGAGACATTTAGCAAAACCTATGGCAAGAGGCAGCAGTGGCTTGCTGACCTGTCTGAAATGGAACTCACTGGATTGTTGCTTCTGTGGGCAATTCCTTCCACCTTCCAACCGGCCCACCATCCATCCACGCACACACCTTCCCCTCTCTTCCAACCCAGTGTCTCTGCTGCTCTTCATTTTCCATACTTTCCCCCTTCTTTTTTTCAGATGGAGTCTTGCTCTTGTCACCCAGGCTGGAGTGCAATGGCACGATCACGGCTCACTGCAACCTCCGCCTCCTGGGTTCAAGCAATTCCTGCCTCAGTCTCCCAAGTAGCTTGGATTACAGGTGCCCACCACCACACCCAGCTAATTTTTGTATTTTTAGTAGAGATGGGGTTTCGCCATGTTGGTCAACCTGGTCTCGAACTCCTGACCTCAGGTGATCCACCCACCTCAGGCTCCCAAAGTGCTGGAATTACAGGCGTGAGCCACCCCAACTGGCCTCATATCCTTTCTTAAATGCTGTTTTATTTCACCATGAAATACCACCCATGAGAAACACAACCCTGGAGCCTGCAACCTAATTCATACAGCTGAATCCTTCTTTAAATTAAAGAATGTTGATGGCAGGAGCCGATAACAACTGCACATTTTTTTTTCTGGCATTCGCAGAGAGACATGTATTTCAAAAAGCTGCCTCTTCTTTCCAATAACCATTAGAGGAAACGTAAAGCAATTTACCCTTTGAAGTTTTTTCATTAACAAAGGGTGGGGGGAAGAGTGGTGGAGAGAAAGAATGAAAAAAGGAACTTTCCTCAAAGGAAATATTCTAGACAGATGACTTGATTTAGGGCTCTTAATGCACTCAGCTTTTTAACAGTCTGAATAACTCAGCAAGACTGAAACAAAGAAGGTTCTAAAAAAGCAACCCGTGGCTGGGACTGTGGGTAATGAAATTTGCTTTGAACAATATGATCACTGTATGTGCATGTTTCAAATGATCACCACAACATACACACAAAAATCTTTGTTCTGTTAATGCTGTTCTAATCTTAGAACCAGATTAGATCTTGTGCTCTTCCCACTGTGGAATTTCGCTTCCCATGGAAATAGTTGCTCCTTCCTTATCCTTACGAGTGGGTAGAAGACAGTATTTCAAGCAGTGAGAGATGTTCTAAGGCGGAGGTGGCGAAGATGTGTGACATGAACGTCACAGCTGCTGGTCTCTACTCCCTCTCCTTTCCCATGGACAACACTGTAAAATCATCACCACCTCTTTCTGGTTGAGCCCAAACAAGGTCTCAGAATCCTCACATGGCATTTCCTTCTGTTCTAAGACACTCGAAGAAGTCTCACTGTAGACTAGAAGATCTGGCCAGAGGTGTTTAGTGTCCCTTTTCACCCATACAATGCAGCCCAGAATGTTGCTCTTTATGAAATACAGCCAAGCAACTGCACTACTTTAGCTGGACCAGAAGTATCTGTGAATCCTGAATGATCAGGTGAACTACTCAGTTTTCATAACTGTAGTGGACTGATCACAAAACAGCTCCAACCACCCCCTATATCCATACTCTATGAAATGTGATGTTGCAGCTACTCCCATCAAGACATGTGACTGCTTTGCACCTTGTATTTGATCTGATCTAGTGACTTGCTTTGGCCAATAGAATAAAGTGAAAGTGACAATGTGAGGGCT